>NW_025791777.1:0-300000 GCF_000001405.40 Homo sapiens | reverse complement strand
ACAAAGTGTGGGAAGGCCGTGAGGGTCTGCAGTCCGAGATGGCCTTGTCCTCAACGTGCAGTGCACTGTTGATGCGCTGGAATGCCTTCTCTTTTTCCAGGTGCAGGTCTTCAGCCGTGACCCGGTACCCCAGCTCTAAGGGAGGTGGCAGCATCAAAGGCTCCCCTCGCCTGCGTGGCAGCAGGGGAATCTTGCGTCTACGGGGCCTAGAGTCCTGGGATCTGGGGGAGCCACCCGTTGGGGCGATTGTCTGCCCTGGTGCTGTATCTGCCCCCTTTTCACACCGTGTGTGACCCGAAGAGACAGCCTGAGGCCTGTCCTCACTCACTGTCTTTGAGTAACTGAGGGTCAGCTGGCAGCGGGATGAGGCTGGCCCCCTCCTCTGCTTTAGCCCCGGCAAGCCTCCCGTGGAGCTGTAGGAGCTGGAGATGGCATTTCGTTTGGTGCTCGAGCTCGTCCAGGATGTCTGGGATGTGTGGTTATATCTGATTTCTGAGCTCTGGGCGTGGAGGTCTGTCTGCAGAGGCCCGGGCCTGGGCACAAAGGGAGAGGGGCCTCCATTGTCCCGCAGGGGCCAAAATGCAGACCGTGCATCCCCGGTGACCTCGGGGACCGTTCTCTGATCATCAGGATTTTCTTGGACTCTGGGGTCCTTGTGCTGCTCAGGCATCCCTGCCCCGCTCTCCTTGAGGGCCCTCAACACTATCTTCCCTGGACACAAGTCTGGGGACAGCCGGGTGTTGTGGACCCCAAAGGGGTGACTACCTGCTCCTGGGCCCCACAGAGTCCTTGTGCTCAGTGTAGTGGCTGAGCTGGGGGATGCCCTGGAACTCAGAGCACACAGCACTGGCTTACTGTGGTACCTGTGCAGTGAAGTTGAAGACAGAATCACCAGGATGGGACACAGGTCTTGCAGGATCACGGAAAACCTTCTTAGAGTTGTCTTGACACCACTGATGTCGAGTGTGTGGGTGTTTGTAGGATGGCCTGCCACTCAGTCCAGGGGCAGGAGCAACGGGGAGATCCCACAAGCAAAGTGAACTGGGGGATGGGCTGAAGGGGCTCCAGGCAACTGAGCCCTACTCGCAGGTCCTCGGCCTTGGCCCAAACAGGAATGAGGGGCACAGAGTGCCCGGGTAACCGCTCCTGGGAGCAGTGGGGAACTGTCGGATACTTGAACTCTCAAGAGCTGGGCTCTGAGCGTCCTCGTCCAGCTGCCAACTTGGCCAAAGGCTAAGCCAGCAGATTGTTCTGTTGCCGGGCAACGCGACTTCTAAACCTGAGGGAGTGGGCATGTGAGCACATAATGGCACCAGTGACAGAGCGACCATAATGGATGAATAAGCGCAGCCAGGTACCCGCGCAAGGCACCTGCTGGCAATGGCAGGAGGCGGACGTGGGGGGTCGTGCAGTAGGTACTGGAGGGAGAGACGTGGGCACAAAGGTCGCGGGAGGAACAGGTGCCCACAATGGCTGCATATTTGCCCGTGGATCACTGAAGATTCCTGCTCTCCTGCTGAGGTGGAGACTGCAGTGAGCTGAGATCGCACCATTGCACTCCAGCCTGGGCAACGAGTGCAAAACTCAGTCTCCAGATAAAAAAAAGAAAAAGAAAAAAAAGAGGCCGGGTGTGGTGGCTTATGCCTATGATCCTAGCACTTTGGGAGGTCGGGGTGGACGGATCACGAGATCAGGAGTTGGAGGCCAGCCTGGCCAACATAGTGAAAGCCCGTCTCTAGTAAAAATACAAAATTTAGTCAGACATGGTGGGCAGGAGAGAGCATGTGCAGGGGAACATCCATTTATAAAACCATCAGACCTCATGAGACTTATTCACTACCATGAGAACAGCATGGGGGAAACTGCCTCCATGATTCAGTTATCTCCACCTGGCCCCACCCTTGACACATGGGAATTGTTACAATTCAAGATGAGATTTGGGTGCGGACAGAGCCAAACCATATAATTCTTCCCCGGCCCCTCCCAAATCTCATGTCCTCATATTTCAAAAGCAATCATGCCTTCCCCTAAGTCCCCCAAACTCTTATTTCAGCATTAACTCAAAATTCCATAGTCCAAAGTCTCATCTGAGACAAGGCAAGTCCCTTCCACCTATGAGCCTGTAAAATCAAAAGCAAGTTAGTTATTTTCTAGATACACAGGGATACAGGCATTGGGTAGATACACTCGTTTCAAATGGGAGAAATTGGCCAAAGCGAAAGAGCTACAGGCCCCATGCAAGTCCAAAACCCAGCAGGCAAATCTTAAAGCTCCAAAATGACCTCCTTTGACTCCATGTGTCACATCTAGGTGATGCAAGAAGTGGGTTCCCAGGGTCTTGGGCAGCCCCGCCCCTGTGGCTTTGCAGGGTACAGCCCCCCTTCTGGCTGCATTGAGTGTCTGCAGCTTTTCTAGGCACACAGTGCAAGCTGTCAGTGGATCTACCATTCTGGGGTCTGGAGGATGGTGGCCCTTTTCTCACAGCTCTGCTTGGCAGTACCCCAGTGGGGACTCTGTGTGGGAGCTCCAACCCCATATTTCCCTTTGACACTGCCCTAGCAGAGGTTATCCATGAGGGCCCCCCCCTCCCCTCCCCCCCACAGCAAACTTTTGCCTGGATTTCCAGGCATTTTCATACATCTTCTGAAATGTAGGCGGAGGTTCATGAACGTTAATTCTTGACTTCGGTGCATCTGCAGGCTTAACACCACCTAGAACCTGAAAGGCTTGGAACTTGCACCCTCTGAAGCCATGGCCTGAGGTGTACCTTGGCCCCTTTTACCTATGGCAGGAGCAGCTGGGATGCAGGGCCCCAAGTTCCTAGGCTGCACACAGCAGGGGGTTCTGGACCCACAAAACCATTTTTCCTTCTAAGCCTCCTGGCCTGCGATGGGAGGGTCTGCTGTGAGGGTCTCTAACATGCCCTGGAGATATTTGCCCCATTGTCTTGGTGATTAACATTTGGCTCCTCATTACTTATGCAAATTTCTACAACCCAGTCTCCTGAGAAAATAGATTTTTCTTTTCTGTTGCATCATCAGGCTACAAATTTTCTGAAATTTTATGCTCTGCTTCTTCTCGAATGCTTTGCTGCTTAGAAATTTCTTCTGTCAGATACCTTAAATCATCTCTCTCAAGTTCAAAGTTCCACAGATCTCTAGGCCCAGAAAAAAAAAATTAGCCTGGCATGGTGGCATGTGCCTGTAGTCCCAGCTACTCAGGAGTCTGAGGTGGGAGGATTGCTTGAGCCTGGGAAGTCCAGGCTGCAGTGAGTCAAGACTGCACCACTGCACTCCAGCGTAGGCAACAGAGCGAGTCTGTCTCATAAACAAATAAAAAATAAAATAAAAGACCCCACTGTGTTGTTGCCTATAACAATTCACCTTAAGGCTGGGTGCAGTGGCTCATGCCTGTAATCTCAACACTTAGGGTGGCAGAGGTGGGAGGACAGCTTGAGCCCAGGAGTTTGAGATCTGCCTGGGCAACATAGTGAGACCCCGTTACCCACAAAAAGGAAAAGGAAAAAACAAGAATTGACTTTAAATATAGTCACAGATAGATTAAAAAGAAAATAATCTAAAAGATGTAACATGAAAAAACTAATAAAGGCCTAAAAAATGCTATCAAGGATAAAGAGGGATATTTCTGTTTTTTAGAGACAAAGTTTTACTCTGTCACCCAGGCCACAGTACAGTGGCACAATCATAGCTCATTGCAACCTATACTCCTGAGCTCAAGCGATTCTCCTGCCTCTGCCTCCCAGGTAGCTGGGACTACAGATGCATGCTACCACACCCTGTTTGTTTTAAAAATTTTTTGTAGAAATGGAGTCTAGCTATGTTGCAAAGGCTAGTCTCAAACTCCTCGCCTTGTGCACTCCTCCCACCTCAGCCTCCCAAAGTGCTGGGATTATAGGTGTGAACCACCATGCCTGCTTGGGATATTTAATATATTCTCTGGAATATGAAAGACCAAAGGGCAAAAAAATAGCTAAGACACACTCTTGAAGAGAAAGAACAAGACTATTCTGCAGGAAAATATGAAAATAAGCTCAACTGCCGGGCGCGGTGGCTCACACCTGTAATCCCAGCACTTTGGGAGGCTGAGGTGGGTGGATCACCTGAGGTTGGGAGTCCGAGACCAGCCTGACCAACATGGAGAAACCCCATCTCTACTAAAAATACAAAATTAGCTGGGCGTGGTGGCACATGCCTGTAATCCCAGCTACTCGGGAGGCTGAGGCAGGAGAATCACTTGAACCTGGGAGGCGGAGGTTGTGGTGAGCCGAGATCGTGCCATTGCACTCCAGCCTGGGCAACAAGAGTGAAACTCCGTCTCAAAAAAAAAAAAAAGAAAGAAAAAAAGAAGAAGAAAATAAGCTTAACATTATTAGTAATTACACTGACAAAAATTAAAATTTGGGCAATACCAAGTTAGTGAGGAAGCAAATCAATAGAAACGCATCTAGGCCAATGGGAATGTAAATCAGTGCAACCACTTGGGAAAAAGCTTTGCATTATCTAGTGGAGTTGAACACCCGCAAAGTTCTATGACTCTGCAATTCTTTACTTTGTTATGTATCCTAGAGAAACACACATGAGCACTGGAAAATATGTACAAGAATGTTCATAGGGCATTATTTGAATTTGCAACACTCTGAAAACGACCCACGAGGTTAATCAACAGTAAAATAAGTTATTATATATTCATAAAATAATACACTATTTACCAATGAAAACAAGTGAACTACAACTGTGTAGTACATATAAATATGGATGAATCTCAAAAACATCGTGGAGTAAAACCAGCCAATTACAAGAAGAATCATGCAGTATGCTTCTTATTTGAACTTCAAGAATAGACAAAGCTAAATATGTTTAAGGATGTATATGTAGTTCGTAAAACCACAAAGAGAAGCAAGGGAATAATTAACCCAAACTGAGCATCACATTTACCTCTGGATTGGAGGGACAGGGATATAATCAGAATTAGGGGGTGGTTGGCATGCAGAGTTGTTTTTTTTTTTATTTTTATTTTTTGAGACAGAGTCACGCTCTGTCGCCCAGGAGTGCAATGGCGCCATCTTGGCTCACTGCAACTTCCGCCTCCCAGGTTCAAGCCATTCTCCTGCCTCAGCCTCCCTAATAGCTGGGACTACAGGCGTGTGTCACCAGGCCCGGTTAAATTTTTCTGCTTTTTAACAGAGATGGGGTTTCACCATGTTGCCCAGGCTGGTCTCGAACTCTTGAGCTCAGACAATCTGCCCACATCGGCCTCCCAAAGTGCTGAGATTACAGGCGTGAGTCACTGCACCCGGCCGCAGGGGTCTTTTAAGGCATTGATAATGTCCAATTTCTTGACTTTACTAGGAGGTTCATAGGTTGCTTTTTATTCATTCTTTAAAGCATACATAAAAATTTTAGGTAATCAGTTGGAGACATACTGGTTTGCAGTTTTTTTAAGAGGCAAAGGAAGAGTAAAAATCCAAAAAGGAGTTGGCTGGGAGCAGTGGCTCATGCCTGTAATCCAAGTACTTTGGGAGGCTGAAGCAGAAGGATCATTTGGAGCCAGGAGTTTGAGACCAGCCTGGGCAACAAAGCAAGACCCCATCTCTACAAAAAAAAACTTTAAAAAATTAGTCGGGCATGGTGACACATGCTTGTAGTCCTAGCTACTTGGGAGGCTGAGGTGGGAGGATCACTTGAGCCCAGGAATTTGAGGCTACAGTCAGCTAGGATTGTACCACTGCACTTGCTCCAGCCTGGGTGACAGAGCCGAGACCCAGTCTCTTAACAAAAAAACACTAAAGGCCAGGTGTGGCGGCTCACACCTGTAATCCCAGCACTTTGGGAGGCTGAGGCAGGAGGATCACTTGAGGTCAGGAGTTGAAGACCAGCCTGGCCAACATGGTGAAACCCCGTCTCTACTAAAAGTACAAAAAATTAGCCAGGCATGGTGGGGAGGTACCTGTAATCCCAGCTACTTGGGAGGCTGAGGCAGGAGAATCGCTTGAACCCGGGAGGCGGAGGTTGCAGTGAGCCGAGATCACGCCACTGCACTCCAGCCTGGGTGACAGAGTGAGACTCCATCTCAAAAACAACAACAACAAAACACTAAAACTAATAATAATAATAATAGTATAAAAGGGAGTTGATCGATTCCAGAGTAAGTTCTAAATAAGACTAGACTGCATCCTAGCTTATCCTTCCAAGAATTAAGTAGAATGTCCCCATTGTTCTCAATAATTTATTATACACTAAGCCCAAATAAGAAAGAAAAATGAGGTAACTACTGCTATCAAAATACCTTCAAGGCAATAAAATTAGATAGAAGTATTCATTTTGTTTTATTTTTGTTTTTACCACTATACAAATGAGCAGGAAGCATTCATTTTAAAATCTGTATGTGTTCATATTCATTTCTAAAAAAAAAAACTCTTACTAATTACATAGTGAAAACACAAATTTCTTCTTGCAATTAAACATTTCTCAAGAGTTTGATGGGTAAAAAAAATTAAGTTTAAAGATTCATAGAAAAGAAATATTTCTTCGTAAAATTTTAGAACAGATATTTTTCTGAAAGCTTCCAGCACAGGAAAAAAAAAAATTTTGTTTGCAGTAAAAGGATTGACAAGCAGAAAGGCATGGAACTTCTCGACAGCACATTAGGAACCAGTAGAAATGTAGCAGTGCCTCTACAATTTAGAATTAAAATGACTTCCAACCTATAATTCTACACCTAGCTAAACTATCAAATAAGTGTGAGAATACAGGAAAAACATATATCTAGATAGATCTATATGTCTGTATATGCATTATATGCAACTAAAAGTGTGTATTTCTTATGCAGTCTTTCCCAGGGAACTCCGATGAAGTGTTCCAACAAAATGAGCGAGTGAACCAAGAAGAGGATGACATTAGATCCAGGAGATACAACAGAGGAGATAATCTCCAGGATGCCTGTGAAGAAAGATCCCTGGATCCCAGGATGATTATAGGACAAGTTGTTCATAATCCAGCAGGCCAGAAGACTTCCAGGGAAACTCATTCAAGGAGGTGAAAATGATGGATGACTCCTCCAAGATGAAAATGGACCAGCCGCAGTGGCTCACGCCTGTAATACCAGCACTTTGGGAGGCTGAGGCAGGCGGATCACTTGAGGTCAGGAGTTTGAAACTAGCCTGGCCAACGTGGCAAAACTCCATCTCTATTAAAAATACAAAAATTAGCCAGGCATAGTGGTGCATGCCTGTAGTCCCAGCTACTTGGGATGCTGAGGCAGGAAGAATTGCTTGAACCTGGGAGGCAGAGTCTGCAGTGAGCCGAGATCATGCCACTGCACTCCAGCCTGGGTGACAGAGCCAGACTCCGTCTCAAAAAAAAAAGAAAAAGAAAAAAAAAATGATGACTCTTTCAAGAAATGAAAATGATGAGATATCTGGTAGGTCTGAATGACTTAAGAGGAGATTTAAACATTTGGGATAAGTTGAAGATGAGCTGGTGTTCGTCTTCATTTATTTCATTTAAATAAATAAAATTATTAATACATGAATTTTATCTCAAGAAACAAAAATAAGCAATGTACATAAAAATTAAGCAGATGGCTGGCCGGGCGCGGTGGCTCACGCCTGTAATCAGAGCACTTTGGGAGGCTGAGGCGGGTGGATCACGAGGTCAGGAGATGGAGACCATCCTGGCTAACACGGTGAAACCCCGTCTCTACTAAAAAAATAAATAAAAAATAAATTAGCCGGGCGTGATGGCAGGTGCCTGTAGTCCCAGCTACTCGGGAGGCTGAGGCAGGAGAATGGCATGAATCCAGGAGGCGGAGGTTGCAGTGAGTGAGATCACGCCATTACACTCCAGCCTGGGCGACAAAGTGAGACTCCATCTCAAAAAAAAAAAAAAAAAAAAAATTAAGCAGATGGCTATAATTTTTTTAAAAATAGAAAAGTGTTGATGAGAAATGGGAAACCTCATACATTGTTGGTCAAACTGTATGCTTCCATTTAGAGGAAATAGTCAGAACAAATAAATCCATAGACACCAATTAGGTTGGTGTATCCCAGGGGCTGGGCATGGAGTGGGGTGGAGAGAGAAGGAGGGCCTGCTTAGTGGATACAGAGTTTTCTTTGGGGGCGATGAAAGTGTTTTGGAACTAGATAGAGGGGGTGGTTGCACAACATTGTTGTTGGTGGGAATTTAAAATGGTGCAAGCACTGTGGAAAAAACAGTTTAGCATTTCCTCAAAAAGTTAAAACAGGCCAGGCGCTGTGGCTCACGCTTGTAATTCCAGCACTTTGGGAGGCCAAGCCAGGTGGATCACTTGAGGTCAGGAGTTTGAGACCAGCCTAGCCAACATGGTGAAACCCTAAAAATACAAAAAATTAGGCGGGCATGGTGGCAGACACCTGTAATCCCAGCTACTCAGGAGACTGAGGCAGGAAAATTGCTTGAACCTGGGAGGCGGAGGTTGCAGTGAGCTGAGATTGCACCGCTGCACTCCAGCCTGAGTGACAGAGTGAGACTCTGTGTGAGAAAAAAAAAAAAAAAGTAAAAACATAGAATTACTATACAGCTAGCAATATCGTTGTTAGGTATATGCCCCAGAGACTTGAATACAGTTACATGCTCCATCAGATACCTGTACCCAAATGTTCCTATCGGTATTACTCATGGTAGCCAAAAGGTAGAAACAACCCAAATATCTACAAATAGATGAATGGATAAATAAAATGCAGTGTATCCATATGGAATATTACTTGGTCTCAAAAGGAAGGAAGTACTTATGCAAGCTACAACATGGATAAACTTCAAAACAATATGCCAAGTGAAAGAATCCAAATGCAAAAGGTCAAACGGTATGCTTCCATTTAGAGGAAATAGTCAGAACAAATAAATCCATAGACACCAATTAGGTTGGTGTATCCCAGGGGCTGGGCATGGAGTGGGGTGGAGAGAGGAGGGGGGCCTGCTTGATGGATACAGAGTTTTCTTTGGGGGCGATGAAAGTGTTTTGGAACTAGATAGAGGGGGTGGTTGCACAACATTGTGAATGTACTATAATAAATGCCACAGAATTGTGTACTCTAAAATGGTTTAATTGCTGTGCATGGTGGCTCACGCCTATAATCCCAGCACTTTGGGAAGCCAGGATGGGAAGACTGCTTGAGCCTAGAAGTCTGAGAGCAGCCTGGGCAACATAGAGAGACCCTGTCTCTTAAAAAAAAAAAAAAAAAATTAGCTGGGTGTGAAGACATGTGCCTGTAGTCCCAGCTACTTGGGAGGCTGAGCGAGGAAGATTGCTTGAGCCAGAGAGGTCAAGGCTGCAGTGAGCCATGATTGCACCACTGCACTCCAACCTGGGCAAGAGAGAGAACCTGTCACAAAAAATAATAAATAAATAAATAAAATGGTTACTACCTGAATTTTACCTCAGGAAAAAAAAATAAGCTAACATACCAACAGGACAGTTATTACTTCCTAAAAAAATAAAAGGATATACAGGAAGGGAAAAATAAATAAAAATTTACCACAAGCTTCAGCTCCACATAGCATTTGTATAGTCATGATAATGTAAACATGTAATGTGAATATATGAATCTAGCCAAAACTATGCCATAACTATAAAGAGGGGAAGGCTAGTACAGGAAGGGGGTCATGGAGCAAAGGGATGAAAGACATGAAGACTCATCCTTCATAGCCTGAATCCGAGGAGTGGATAAAGACTCAATCTAAAGATAAAATAAGGCAGGAAATGAGGAAAAAGAAAAAAACTGTTGAAGTGCATCCAAAGTTGCAGATGGTTAACATTCATTCCACTCACTTGGGAAAACATCTGGTGTGATCGTCTAATGGGTCATCACCTTCCTGCCATTTCTCTAAACACCCTCCACAGGAAAAGCACTGGACGATGTCCTTTATACCTAAAAGTAAGGAAACTTGATCAGTGCCACTGGCATGGGCATCTGTCCATTAACATGCAGATAATAACCACCAGACCTGTAATAGTGAAAGCCTATTCAGTCTCCAGTTGGGTTTTGTGACAGTCAGAAGTTGGTTACCAGTGAGGCAATTTTCTATATAAGACTCTGTCCACCAATGGGGTAACTGGCAAGTAGTCATTGAATGCTCCTACACACCATGCACTTTGATGCACACCATCCCTCTGCCCCATTCTCCTTTGATCAACAAACAGATTGGCAACCAGAATCTGGAATTGAAGCTCCATGAGGGGGCTGGGCGCAGTGGCTCATGCCTGTAATCCCAGCACTTTGGGAGGCCAAGGCCAGCGGATCTCCTGAGGTCAGGAGTCTGAGACCAGCCTGGCCAACACGGTGAAACCCTGTCTCTACTAAAAATACAAAAATTAGCTGGGCATGGTGGCACATGCCTGTAATGCCAGCTACTCAGGAGGCTGAGGCACAAGAATCGCTTGAACCCAGGAGACGGAGGTTGCAGTGAACCAAGATAACGCCATTGCACTCCAGCCTGGGCAACAAGAGTGAAACTCTGTCTCAAAAAATAAAAATAAAAATAAGCTCTATGAGGGTAGAGGTTTTTGCTCACTAATGAATGACATGAACCTAGAAAAGTGCTTGACACTCATGTGGCACTCAATTAGTATTCGTTTAATGAATGAATCAGAAAGAATATATTTAGAGCTCACGGAAAAAAAAATACCAGCAAATCTAGCAGCCCTTATGTAAGTGAATGCATGAAGAATTAATTGCCTCTTACCACATTATTGCCATGTTTATTACACCAGAAATAGGATTAAGTCTCTTTGTGAAATTATATTTCTTTGGAAAGAAATTGGTATTTAGCTCTGCAAAAGGATCAAACTAGAAACAGAGCATTTCTCATCTTCCTTCCACTCTGGGAAAGCTGGGGCAGAGGAAAGCCTCCCAGAAATATGAGATCCTAGAGCTTGCAAGATCTGAAAACAGTCAGAGATGATTAGGATTTGTGTGGAGTGGTGGAGGATTGGAAAGGAAGAGGGGGAGCACACTGGTCAGAGGGGTCTTGCGGAAGGCTGACAAGAGGAAGACACAGTAGAGTAGGGAGAAATGGCAAACACTCTTTCCAAAGGCTTAAGATTGTGAGGCAGTCAGATTTTTTTTTTCCAATGGCACATGTCTGTTAGGTAGAGTGACAACTATATTCTGCTTCTCTGTGTTGCTCTATGGTATTTGTGACAACTACTTGATCTCTCAGTTAAAGATCTGCATTAACCTCCACTGTAACTTATGCATGTGTTCGGTTTGAGCAAGACCAGCAAGGTACCTAGGAACCTTTCCCTGATCATCTTGTATTTCAGGCAGAGATTTAGCTGACAGGAACCAGCCCATCATTTATAGATTGCAGAGGTGCTTCCTAATGACCAGCAGCTAAAGAGAAAATGCCACAATCTGGTGGAAGGCTCTACGTGTTTAGGAATCATGAAAATTAATTTCCTGATTTTCTCCTGCAGGCAGAATGTGGCAAAGATTGCTATCCATGTTCCTATTATCTCAAATCCTTCCATACTAATAGAAATCCCAATATTTAGCTGGGCACATTGTCACCCAGGAAAAAGATTAGGTTTCCCAGCTCCTCTTACAGCTAGGTATGGTCATCTGACTAATAATAATAATAATAATAATAATTATTATTATTATTATTATTATTATTATTATTATTATTATTTTTGAGACAGAGTTTCACTCTTGTTGCCCAGGCTGGAGTGCAATAGCATGATCTTGACTCCCCGCAACCTCCACGTCCCAGGTTCAAGCGATTCTCCTGCCTCAGCCTCCCAAGTAGCTGGGATTACAGGCACCCGCCACCATGCCTGGCTAATTCTTTGTATTTTTAGTAGAGACAGAGTTTCACCATATTGGCCAGGCTGGTCTCAAACTCCTGACCTCAGGTGATCCACCCACCTCGGCCTCCCAAAGTGCTGGGATTACAGGCGTGAGCCACCATGCCCGGCCCATCCAACTAAGTTCTGATTAAAGAAATATAAGCAGAAGTGTCCTGTGACAGTTTCTAGGAGCACTTTGTCAGGGGACAAGAGGTGAGGAGAGTAATGTGTAGAAAGAAAAGACATGATAATTATCACAAATAGAATACTTGTATTCATTGTTAGTCCAGACCTTAAGGTTTCAAATTTGAAGGTTTACCACCTAAGGGAGGAATAGAAAACTGGGAGAGGATTTATGATGCAGGAAAGAAAAGAGATGTATGCCAGGTGCAGTGGCTCACACCTGTAATCCCAGCATTTTGGGAGGCCAAGGCAGGAGGATTACTTGAGCCCAGGAGGTTGAGGCTGCAGTGAGCCATGATCTCGCCACTGCCCTCCAGCCTGGATGACCATGTCTCAAAAAAAATAGAAAGAAAAGAAAACGAATCTATAAGAAATGCTGAAGAGAGGCCTGGCGCGATGGCTCACACCTGTAATCCCAGCATTTGGGAGGCCAAGGCGGGCAGATCACGAGATCAGGAGATCAAGAGCATTCTGACTAGCATGGTGAAACCCTGTCTCTACTAAAAATACAAAAAAGTAGCTGGGCGTGGTGGCAGGCGCCTGTGGTTCCAGCTACTCCAGAGGCTGAGGAAGGAGAATCTCTTGAACCCGGGAGGTGGAGGTTGCAGTGAGCCAAGATCTGCATTCCAGCCTGGGCAACTCTGTCTCCAAGGGGGAAAAAAAAAGAAAAGAAAAAGAAACGCTGAAGCTAGTGGACATTGCTGAGTGTAGCTAAACGTAAGCCCAGGAGCATAAAGTCTATGTGGGAATTAAAGGTCAAGCAAGCAAGTGGGCACAACCTACTGACTCACCTGTGTAGAAAAGACCTGCTTTGGCCAGTGCTGCAACTCCCACAGCTGATTCCCGGGGCCAGTCCTTAAAAGAGTCCAGCCGTAGTTCTTCGTAAGCAAAGATGCTGTCATTGCAATAAGCTTGAATAAAAAGCACAAGGTGAGACCAGCAGGCTTTAGTCTTTTTTTTTTCTATATCTTTATTGCTGCTGCACAAATTAAAGAGACCAGTAGGCTTTGATATTGCAAGTATCAGCGTTCAAGTTGTCCCTTCACAGTTACAGATGGAATGATGTCTAGAGTTTGCTTCAAAATAAACGGGGCGGGGCGGGGGGGACGACAAAAAGAGATAGGGACAAAAAATCAAAAGAAGAAATAAACAAGCAAAGCCTTTGGAAAATGTTTGAGTTTTTACCTGATGCCATAGGTAATTCTCTCTGGACCCAGGAATTCACAAAATGTTCTCCCTGAGGGAAATTAAAATTCAAGTTGTTGATTATCTGACTTTTTTTTTTTTTTTTTTTTTTTGAGGCAGAGTCTCACTCTGTTGCCCAGGCTGAAGTGCAGTGGCAGGTTCTCGTCTCACTGCAACCTCCGCCTCCTGGGTTCAAGTGATTCTCCTGCCTCAGCCTCCCGAGCAGTACAGGCATGTGCCACCACACCCGGCTAATTTTTTTTTTTTTTTTTGTATTTTTAGTAGAGACAGACACGATGTTGGAGGTCTTTTTTTTTTTTTTTTTTTTTTTTTTTTGAGACAGAGTCTCGCTCTGTCGTCCAGGCTGGAGCACAGTGGCACGACCTTGGCTCACTACAAGCTCCGCCTCCCAGGTTCACGCCATTCTCCTGCCTCAGCCTCCCGAGTAGCTGGGACCACAGGCGCCTGCCACCATGCCGGGCTAATTTTTTTTTTTTTTGTATTTTTAGTAGAGATGGGGTTTCACCATGTTAGCCAGGATGGTCTCTATCTCCTGACCTCATCATCCGTCCGTCTCGGCCTCCCAAAGTGCTGGGATTACAGACGTGAGCCACTGCACCCGGCCCATGTTGGAGGTCTTGAGGCTGGTCTCGAACACCTGATCTCAAGTGATCTGCCCAGCTCGGCCTCCCAAAGGGCTGGGATTACAGGCATGAGCTACTGCGCCCAGCCTGATTGTTTGACTTATGAAGTATATACCTATCTATGAACAAGAACTGAAGGAACTTTACCCCAGAATGAAGAGTTTCACTGGATGGAACGGCAGAGTCGGAGGAGAATTATTCCTTTAATTTTTATTTCTGTTGATGTTGCAATTGTTTTTATGCAGTGCAAGCAAACACACACACACACACACACACACACACACACACACACGCATGCAAGCTGTGAATGTTTATGCATACTCAGGAGGAAGCCTTCTCAGGGTCACTGTTTCCGGAAACTGACCTTGAAAACAGACCTGCATTTAAATATCACAGATGTACTTTGACGAATGAGGAAGTAAGAGACATAGAATGGTAACTAAATTCATCAGGGTATTATATATTGAGCAACTGATTCTTCTGGGAAAGCTGCACCCAGTTTCTTTTTGAGGAAACACCTCTCTTCCCCCACTGTCAGGCCATGTTCTCTATAGAGTTCTGGTCTCCTGAGTCATGTTAATCAATAAATTCTCATTTTTGTTTAAGCCAGTTTGGATTCGATTTCCCATCACTCTCCACTAGGAAATTTTTACTGATTCAGGATAGTTAGCCAGCTAGGAAGAGCCAGCTCTGCAGCCCACTGTGGGTGACAGCGCCTAGGTCAGGAGATCTTAGCAAGCCTGCAGATAGGGGCAGCAGAGGGAAGCTGGGGCAAGTGGCTTCATTCATAAAGGGGAAGACTATCAGGAAGGCAAGCAGAGCCCGTCAGAAGCCAGCCCTGGAAAAAGAAAAAGGCTCTAGGTCAGCAAGTGAATGTGATATTTTTCACTTTGAAGATGGGAGCCAGGGGAATGAAAGGAGAAAGGAAGAAAGAAATCAAACCCATGACATAAAAAGAATGCCTATGCCCTTCTGAGTCAGACACTTACAGGTAATCCAAAAACTTGAGAAAAAAATTGCTGTTATACATTACCGTTATGTCAACAAATCCCTTGTAGCTTTGAATATACTGGGTAATTTCCTCTGAGGATTTCTTACTCCGAAGAAATTCACATCTGTAATTAATAAATATAATTAAAATTTACCCCAGTACTGTGATAGAGCTGTCCTATATCACAATGAACATTTATAAAGACGTATTGAATTGTTGAATTTTATTATACTTCAATAAAATTGCCAAAAAATTTACCACAAAACTTAGGAGAATTACCATTATTCTCATATAATTATTTGTTATTTCTATTAGTGACAACATGTGTAGTTATTTAAAATTAAATCTTCAGGTTAACTTTTTTCTTGAAATAAAACATGCAATACAATCAAAGAGACTGATTTACAGTAAATATAGGATGGAGCTTTTGTTTTTTGGAATTAAGCAGTGGTGACTAAATCTAGTCGCTAGGGTTATATGAAAGCTACTGGCAGTAAAGAGAACTATATTTAAAATAATAGGCCAGACGCAGTGGCTCACATCCAGGAGTTCAAGACTAGCCTGGGCAACATGGCAAAACCCCATCTCCACAAAAAATACAAAAATTAGCCGGGCATGGTGCCACACCTCTGTAGTCCCAGCTACTCAGGAGGCTGAAGGGGGAGGATCACCTGAGCCCGGGGAGGTAGAGGCTGCACTGAGCCATGATCAGGCTGCTACACTCCAGCCTGGGCAACAGACTGAGACCCAGTCTCAAAAGTAAATACAAAAAATCTTTTTAAGATAACAATATATTTATCTACTGAACAAAAAATTACCATGCATTAAAAAGTAATGGCTATTAGGCCAGGCGTGATGGCTCACGCCTGGAATCCCAGCACTTTGGGAGGCCGAGACAGGTGGATCACGAGGTCAGGAGTTCGAGACCAGCCTGGCCAAGATGGTGAAACCCTGTCTCTACTAAAAGTACAAAAATTAGCTGGGTGTGGTGGCGGGCGCCTGTAATCCCAGCTACTTGGGAGGCTGAGGCAGGAGAATCGCTTGAACCTGGGAGGTGGAGGTTGCAGTGAGCTGAAATCATGCCACTGCACTCTAGCCTGGGCAACAGAGCAAGACTCAATCTCAGAAAAAACCAAAAACAAAAAAAGTAACGGATGTTAATGGATAATTTTTGATTTTTTTAAAAAAGAGCACACTGAATACCATTTAAAAACATATTCCTTTCCCATAAAAGAGAAGCAGTTTTAAAATTAACTTTTAAAATTTCCTCCAATTCAGCTGGGCATGGGGGATCATGCCTGTAATCCCAGCACTTTTGGAGGCTGAGGCGGGTGGATCACTTGAGGCCTGGAGTTTGAGACCAGCCTGGTCAACATGGTGAAACCCCATCTCTACTGAAAATACAAAAATTAGCCAGGCATGGTGGCGGGCGCCTGTAATCCCAGCTGCTTGGGAGGCTGAGGCGGGAGGATCACTTGAACCTGGGAAGCAGAGTTTGCAGTGAGTCATGATTGTACCACTACACTCCAGCCTGGGCAACAGAGAGAGACTCTGTCTCAAAAAAAATAAAAATAAAAATAAAAATCCCTCCAATTCAAATTTAAGTTTTCTTTCTATGGTGCTGTAGCAAAGAATGGGCTGGGAACCCAAAGGCTGGAGCATTAGTACCCGCTCTTCCACCAGTGGGGATGTGACCAACCTTGCCATGTTCTCTTATAATCACAGGAGAACATGGATGCCATCAGATGATCTGCATATTTCCCCAGGGCCATGATTCTATGTGATAGGCAGCCAGGGTCCCCAGTTTTCAGGTGTATAAATGTTTCCAAGGATTGCCGTAAGTCTGCACATAACCTACATGGCACACAATGCACGGGGTGGTTCCCTGTCCTCATGATTTATATGGATTGAGGAGGAACTCAGTACCTTAAAAAGTTACCATAAAATCATCTTACATTTATGGAGTGCCACATTTTAAAAAGTGTAAGGGTATACTCATTTTGTTGACAGTTGATAAAAAGAAGCAACAAATTGAAGTCCAGAAAGCTAAAGACAGAGTAACCCAACAAGAAACTTGGGGATTCTTGCTCTAATTCCAGCTCTTAGATTTTATTGACTGACCATGTGCTTATGACGACAAACAAATGAAAGGCAAAACAGTTGGTCATCTGTCATCCTCACATTATACATGGTAATTTTTACAAAGCATTTGATCCATATACTTTGTTTCTCATCCTTACAACCACCAGACAAGCTGTACATTATTATCTGCTGTGGAAGTCGCAGATACCAAGATGAAATCACTTTTATCAGACCCACACAAAATAGGGCTGGGAAGGCACGAAGGAGTGGGGTTCAGGCTTTCATGTCCAAGACAGGAACGGTTCCAAAGACTTTCTAAGAATCCCATAAGAAATCCCTTCACGCCTGTCACGCATCTCCTGCTTTGCATTGCTTGCATGTACGCACATATTTCTATGGCAAGGTTTATCACTGCACATTCTTTTGGACTGCAGCAATTCAGATAAGATAACATGAGATGAGATGCTGTCAAAAGAACACCTGCCCAGGAACAGCATCTCCACCAATGAACACACAAGAACTCTGGCTTTGAGCCTTCAGAACCAAGGAATTCTCTTCTGCCCTCTCTCCTCTCCCCTCTCCCCCGTCCCCTGTCTTCTCTCTCCTCTCCCCTCTCCCCTCTCTCCTCTCTCTCTAAAGAAACTGGAGCCTCATCACATTGCCCAGGCTGGTCTCAAACTCCTGGCCTCCAAAGACCCTCCCGCCTCAGCCTCCCACATAGCTGTGATTACACGTATGAGCTACCATGCCCAGCTATGAACTCTGTTTCTAAGCAGCTTATGTGAACTTCTCCCTTTTGCCAAGAAAAATTCCCTTTACTCTTCCCTCACTGCACGTGCCTGTGGTTTACAGTAGTGCATTCCAAATCATAACCCTCTTTTCTTATTCCTGAATAAATTTGACATATTTGGGGATATCTGTCTCTAATTTTTTTGTTGTTGTTGACACTGCATTTTACATATGAGATTCAGACAAGGTCAGTCACCTGCCTAGGGTCTGGTAGTCAGGTAGCAGCAGATTCAAGCCTGGCTCTATCTCCTAAGCCTCTGCACTACCCCCTGCCCTTGTTTGCTGGCCTGAACTCCTTCCTCTCTAGGAGTGGTTGCTGGACTGCTGTCTCCCCTCCCTGTGCTTATTACCTTACCCTCTGACTATGTTAGAGAAGGCATATGAAGGCCCCTGCAGACAGGATGTGCGGCTCTAGTAGGTGCTAGTCACATGATAATGTGATCATGTGTGAGTGGTGCCACTGGTACTTGTCCAGTGTATAACCCAGCGACACTAAACACAGTGACCCTGAGGCTAAGTGAAGCCTGAGCTGAGGCTAGAGCTGAGACAGGTGCCCACGAGCAGCGGCTTGTGCTCCAGCCGGGGCTGCTGTTCCCTGTTACATATGCATATATGGTGCACTGTCAGCATGGACAAGGACTGCCTGGGTGGCTGTTTTGATTCGTCAGGGAGCCAGAGTGACTGTCAAATGATTTCTCAATTCTAGCTTCATTCGTCCCTATAACCATCTCATCTACTTGTCTAACTTTCTCTCTCTCCTCTTCCTGCCTTTCTCCTCTCCTCCCTTGTTTACTTCCTCCCTCCTAATCTCCTCACTTTCTTTTCAACTATGAAAGTAATATATACTTGTTTCCAAAAATTTAAACAAGACAGCAATGAACAAAATAAATGTGAAAATCCATCACTACTTCACCCCCTGACAAATCCAGATCCAGAAGTATCTACAGTTTGGTTTACATATTTTCATAAGGTTTTCTATATATTTTCAAGCAACTCCATATATAGTTTGAGTGGTTTTAAACATTTTCAAAGTCTCACACTGCACTTATTGTGCATATTGCTTTCCCACACAACGTATCAAAACATACCAAAGATATCCATTCACTTTTTTTTTCTTTTGAGATGGAGTCTCACTCTGTTGCCCAGGCTGCTGTGCAGTGGAGTGATCTTGGCTCACTGCAACCTCCGCCTCCCAGGTTCAAGCAATTTCTTGCCTCAGCCTCCCGAGTAGCTGGAACCATAGGCACGCACCACCACGCTCGGCTCATTTTTGTATTTTTAGTAGAGATGGGGTTTCACCATGTTGGCCAGGGAAGAGGGGAGATAGGAGAGGAGAGAGGAGAGAGGGAAGAGGGGAGAGGAGAGTTCATCACTTGAATGAACTCCTGGCCTCAAGTGATTTGCCCGCCTTGGCCTCCCAAAGTGCTGGGATCACAGGTGTGAGCCACTGTGCCCAGCCTTTTTTTTTTTTTTTTTTTTTGAGATGGAGTCTCGCTGTGTTGACCAGGCTGGAGTGCAGTGGTGCGATCTCAGCTCACTGCAACCTCTGCCTCCCGGGCTCAAGCAATTCTCCTGCCTCAGCCTCCCAAGTAGCTGGGATTACAGGCGCCTGCCACCACGCCTGGCCAATTTTTGTATTTTTAATAGAGACAGGGTTTTACCATGTTAGCCAGGCTGGTCTTGAACTACTGACATCAAATGATCCGCCTACCTTAGCCTCCCAAAGTGCTGGGATTACAGGCATGAGCCACCATGCCGGGCCTCCATTCACTTTTGTGGGCATGGCTGTCCATGTGCAAGATGACTTATAAATGTAAATAACTGTGTCCAGTTTTGTAGTTAATTTAGTATCCAACCAACAACTTTGCATGTAGTAGGTGTGTGACAAATATTTGTTAAAGAAAATAGAATCTGAGGCTGGGCACGGTGGCTCATGCCTATAATCCCAGCACTTTGGGAGGCCGAGGCAGGTGGACTGCCTGAAGTCAGGAGTTCGAGACCAGCCTCGCAAATATGGAGAAACCCCGTCTCTACTAAAAATACAAAAACTAGTCAGGTGTGGCAGTGCGCACCTATAATCCCAGACCTGGGTGGGGTGAGGCAGGAGAATCGCTTGAACCCAGGAGGCAGAGGTTGCAGTGAGCCAAGATTGCACCGCTGCACTCAAGCCTGGGCAACAGAGTGAGACTGTCACAAAAAAAAAAAGAAAGAAAGAAAATAGAATCTGAGCCTGACCAAACTGCTAGATCCAAGTGTCAGGTTCCTGGAAATGCAGAAGGTAGAGGAACATGTTAGACTATGCCAGAGGAACACATTCTGCCAAATCTAGAGTAGAGGGAATTTTACAGGACAGATTACATGGCTTCTTTAACAAATAAGTGACAAGAAAAAAGAGATGGATAAAGAGGAAATCTACGAATTAAAAATCTTAAGGGGCTGAGCACAGTGGCTTATGCCTGTAATCCCAGCACTTTGGGAGGCTGAGGTGGGAGGATCACTTGAGTCCAGGAGTTTGTATAACCAGGAGTTCCAGACCAGCCTGGGCAACAAAGTGAAACCTTGTCGCTATAAAAGATATGAAAATTAGCTGGGCATGGTGGTAGGCACCTGTGGTCCCAGCTACTCAGGACGCTGAGGTGGGAGGATTGCTTGAGTCTGAGAGGTGGAGGTTGCAGTGAGCTGAGATTGCACCACTAAACTCCAGTCTGGGCTCCAGTCTGGGCAACAGAGCAAAACTCACTCTCAAAAAAAAAAAAAAAAAAAAAGAAAGAAAACAACAAATCTTGGTCAGGCACAGGTGGCTCATGCTTGTAATCCTAGCACTTTGGGAATCCAAGGTGGATCACTTGAGGCCAGGAATTTCAGACCAGCCTGGGCAACATGATGAAACCGCATCTCTACTAAAATTACAAAAATTAGCCAGATGTGGTGGCACATGCCTGTAGTCCCAGCTACTCGGGGAGCAGAGGCAGAAGGATCACTTGAGCCCAAGAATTCAAGGTTACAGTGAGCCACAATTATGCCACTCACTGTACATTTCATGAAATCTCTTTCCTCAACAGCATCCCCATTCAGATGTCACATCCATTCCGATAATATATCAGGGAGAGATGATAACAATTATGCAATTATATTGCATAATTGAATTATATTGAAATATAATCCATCGGGAGCAGTGGCTCATGCCTGTAATCTCAGCACTTTAGGAGGCCGAGGTGGGTGGATCACCTGAGGTCAGGAGTTTGAGACCAGCCTGGCCAACATGGCAAAACCCCATCTCTACTAAAAATACAAAAAAAAAAAAAAAAAAAAAAGAAATTAGTCAGGTGTGGTGGCACGTGCTTGTAGTCCCAGCTAGTTGGGGCTGGCTGTGGTGGCTTACACCTATAATCCCAGCACTTTGGGGGGCTGAGGCCAGGAGTTCAAGACTAGCCTTGCCAACATGGTGAAACCCCATCTCTACTAATAATACAAAAAAAATAGCTGGGCATGGTGGCGCATGCCTATAATCTCAGCTACTCGGGAGGCTGAGGCAGGAGAATTGCTTGAACCCACGAGGCAGAGGTTGCAGTGAGCCGAGATCGCACCACTGTACTCCAGCCTAGGCGACAAGAGTGAAACTCCATCTCAAAAAAAGAGAAAGAAATATAATTCACACATCATAAAATTCACCCATTTAAAATGAACAACTGAGGGTGCGGTGACTCATACCTATAACCCCAATGCTCTTGAGGCCAAGGCGGGAGGATTGCTTGAGACCAGGAGTTGAGATCAGCCTGGGCAACATAGCTAGACCCTGTCTCTAAAAAACTTTTTTTTAAAGAAAACGAAAACTTAGCAGGGCATGGTGGCATGTGCCTGTAGTCCTAACTACGTGGGAGGCTGAGGTGGAAGGATCTCTTGAGCCCAGGAATATGAAGCTGCGGGGAGCTATGATTGCAGTACTGTACTCCAGCCTGGACAACAGAGTGAGGCTCTGTCTCTAAAAAAAGTAAATAAAATGTACAGTTCAATAAATATCAGCATATTCATAAACATGCACAACCACCACCACAATCAATTTTAGAACATTTTCATCCCCCCAGAAAGAAACGCTGTGCCCATTAGCAGTTGCTTTCCATGTCCCCCATTACCCTCCTAGCCCTAGGCAACTACTATGTTACTTTCTGTCTCTATAGATTTGCCTACTGGGGACATTTCATTTAAATTGAATCATACAGTACGTGGTCCTTTGTGTCTGGTTGCTTTCACTTTGCAAAATGTTCATGTTGGTAGAGGTGCTTAAAAAATAAAATAAAAAGAACAACAAAAAAAGGAAGCGAAATTCATCCATGTTGTATTGTTTTAGTACTTCATATTCCTTTTCATTGTCAAATAATATTTCATTATGTGGATATACCACACTTTATTATCACATATACCATATTTTATTCCTCAACCCAGTTGATGGATGTGTGGATTGCTTACGCTTTTTGGCTATTATAAATAATACCGCTGTGCACATTAGTGTGCAAGTTTTTATATGGACATTTTTCACTTTTTTTTTTTCTTGAGACAGGGTCTTGCTCTGTCACCTAGGCTGGAGTGCAGTGGCTTGATCACCATCCATTGCAGCCTCAACCTCAAGGGCTGAAGCGATCCTCCCACCTCAGCTTCCCAAGCAGCTCGTACGACAGGAGCACACCACCATTTTTTATAGAGACAAGCGTGTTGGGGGTGTTGGTGGGGGGGGTCTCACTATGTTGCCAAGTTGGTCTCAAACCCCTGGGCTCAAGTGATCCTCCCACCTCAGCCTCCTAAAGTGCTGGGATTACAGGCCTGAGCCACCACACCTGGCCCATTTTTCACTCTTAAACTTACAGTTGTATTGTCATACTAAACTAAGTTAATTGCCGTTTAATTTTTTATTAGCAGGTATAACAATACATTATGCACCATGGTCCAACAATGACAATAAAGTTTTTCACCACTCCGGGCATTTTATCCACACCAATGTAAATGTCCTTGGGTCCCATAGCACCAAGAGACTCTGCCACCCTTTTCTTTACATCACACTGCTTTAAAGTGACTGTAGATTCTGCTTTTGCATCATCCTAAAGGTTTATTTGTTTAATTCATCAAGACTAGGATACATTAGAATCTTGACTGGGCACAGTGGCTCACACCTGTAATCCCAGCACTTTGGGAGGCTAAGGTGGGAGGATTGCTTGAGCCCAGGAATTTGAAACCAGTCTGGGCAACAAAGTGAGATGGAGTCTTGCTCTGTTCACCCAGGCTGGAGTGCAGTGGCACAATTTTGACTCACCGCAACCTCTGCTTCCCAGGTTCAAGCAATTCTCCTGCCTCAGCCTCCTGAGTAGCTGGGATTACAGGCATGTGCCACCATGCCCGGCTAATTTTTTTATTTTTAGTAGAGACAGGGTTTCACCATGTTGGCCAGGCTGGTCTCGAACTCCTGACCTCAGGTGATCCACCCGCCTCGGCCTCCCAATGTGCTAGGATTACAGGTGTGAGCCACCATGCCCAGCCCTTTCCTTTTTTTTTTTTTTTTTTAATAGGAGACAAGGGCTCACTCTGTTGCCAAGGCTGTAGTACAAGTGCAGTGGCATGATTCTAGCTCACTGTAGCCTCAGATTCCTGGGCTTAAGCAATCCTCTTGCCTCAGCCTCTCAAAGTGCTGGGATTACAGGTGTAAGCCAGGACACCCGGCCTCCTTTCTTTTGAATGATATTAATCTGTTCATCATTCAGCACAATTTGGAGCAAAGGAACTAGTAAGTCTTCAACAGGCTTTCACTTCATCCTGCTCCCCCAGTAGTAGGGTCATACAAAAAGTCTACGAAGGTAGAGGCCCTCTTATCACAGCAACAATCATCACTTAAGTCAAAGACATAAAATTAAGGGATACCTTAGTTTCATCACAGAACCAGTCCAAATGTGTTTGTTTGCATTCTCAACATTTCAGTAACCTCTAGGGAGTATTTCTTCTAACAATTATGGGTGGAATTGGGCAGTTCCCCTTTACAAGATATGTTTTATGTACTGCCACCTTTGTGCAGCTCAACCGATTTGGAATTTGCCCAGCTAACCACATTCCGGCAAAAGCTGCAGCTAATTGAAGATCTTCAACGAATTCAGCTAATTAAGACCAAACACACCCTTTCATTTGAAGGTACATTTGACAGTACCTAATACAAGGAAAAGAGCTCCTTTGTCATTCATGTATATCCAACCCAGCAGTGGTTCTGCAGGAAGCTCTGTCAGTCCACAGGCAACTTCACTCTTGTGTAGTTCCCTGTTTCAGTTGTCTCTTGATGCCCTCCCACTGTAGTTTCGTTGGTGATTATCTACCCGATGAGGGTCACATTCCCATCAGAAGAAATATCTGCCCAACTCCTCTTTGGCATCATGTTCCTTCCCTTTACAGAAGGAAATTGGTGGACTTGGCAACACAGGCTCTTTTTTAGTTACTTTCATTTTTGCCAAAGCAGCCTAACCAGCCAGGGAACTGTATTCTTGGCTGACTTCCTCTGTGTCTGGATTTCTTTTTAAATCTATTTAGCGATTTCCTCTTGCTCTGCATCAACCACCTTCAAGTTCCATTGTCATCCCTTTCTTCCCATTGAGAGTTGTAGCACTTCAGCAAATTCAAACAGGGATTCCCCAGCAACTAGCCTGGCACCAGTGGCTCTAAATCTTTCCCCACTTTTCATCTTTCTCCCAAACAAAGCCTTAGCTATCATTTAAATTATAAAGTAAAAAACTGGGGGGCCAGGCGCAGTGGCTCACACCTGTAATCCCAGAACTTCGGGAGGCTGGGACGGGCGGATCACTTGAGTTCAGGAGTTCAAGACCAGCCTGGCCAACATGGCGAAACCCCATCTCTACTAAAAATACAAACAAATTAGCCGGGCGTGGTGGTGCATGCCTGTAATCCCAGCTACTCGGGTGGCTGAGGCACAAGAACTGTTTGAACCCAGGAGGCAGAGGTTTCAGGCTTCAGTGCCACTGCACTACAGCCTGGGCAACAGTGTGAGACCCTGTCTCGAAAAAAAAAAAGAAAAAAAAAAACCTGGGGCCAGGCGCAGTTGCTCACACCTGTAATCCCACCACTTTGGGAGGCCAAGGCAGGCAAATCACTTGAGCCCAGGAGTTCGAGACCAGCCTGGGCAACATGGTAAGACTCCAGCTCTACAAAATAATTTTTTTAAAAGTTAGGCAGCCGTGATGGTGTGCGCCTATAGACCCAGCTACTCGGGAGGCTGAGGTGGGAGGATCTCTTGAGCCCAGGAGGTTGAGGCTATAGTGAGCTGTGATCAAGATACTGCACTCAACTTGGGTGACAGAGTGAGAGAGACCCTGTCTCAAAAACAAAAAAAAAGTAATGATCCTATTCACAGTACCCTCTTCATCAATTACACAGGTTTGGATCATTGAAAAGACTTAGAAGACTCCGCATAGTATCCTCACATAAGGCTTTAATAAAGGTAAAGGATAGATACAAAAAAAAAAAACCCAACAAACCAAAAGGCAAGTGAAACACCACACCCAGTTCCTAGGGTCCTTTTGCAGCCACAGAGGATGTGGAAGATGTGCTTCATCTTTAAGCAATGAACCAGCTAGATGATACATGCAAGACACCTTGGTCTCAAGAGAACTGTAACCTCATCTGAGGCTCTTTTATACTCCTCTGATCAGGTAGCCAACACTAGCTTGCATACCAGGGCTCAAAACCAGAAACAAGCTGGTATAGTCAAGCTGGGGCAGTGGCATGCACCTGTAATCCCAGCTACTTGGGAGGCTGAAGTGGGAGGATCACTTGAGCCCAGAAGTTCAAAGCCAATGAGATTTCATCTCCAAAAAGAAAGAAAGAAGCAAGAAACAGGCTGCTCCCTGGTCTGTCTCCCACCCCAGCACAGGACTCTATTAATCACTGGCTAGTACATTTCATTTAGGTTTGGCCAAGGAACAGCACCAAGGCTTCAGGCCTCCCCAGAGATAAATGAGTACAGAGTTGCAGCAGACCAGCAGACATTGATCCTGTCTGACACAACGAAGTTTGGTGGTCAATCATGCCAGTCTAGAGGCTGTTTCTGGGGGAGGAGAAGTAATTTCCAAGGCCCTTTCCAGGTCTAATATTCTTTGACTACAGTGCTAAGAGTGCCATTGAGGCAACTGTGCCATGGAGCTAGGATTTAAACCCAAGTCTGTGTGACTCCAGTGTCTGTCCTCTTTCCTCCATACCATCCTGCCTCCAAAGAGAGAAACAATAGCAAGACAAAGAAGGGACCATAGGTTTAGGTGTGGAAGAAAAGCACCTTTGCCAGGGATAGTAATTTACTTACCTGAGGTTTATCCACAGTTCTAGTCTAATAGAGGAGAATGCTGGCCAGTGGAAGGAAAGTATGTGGCTGAAGAACAAATGCTCTGTCCGTCCTTTAG
Source organism: Homo sapiens (assembly GCF_000001405.40). Lineage (NCBI taxonomy): Eukaryota > Metazoa > Chordata > Mammalia > Primates > Hominidae > Homo > Homo sapiens. Next base: position 273,841 of record NW_025791777.1, on the reverse strand, counting down.
TAGGAAGCAGTGAGAAAATATTTAAGGAACTAAAATGCAAAAAAAAATCGCGCAGTCAGAGACTTTACCAGTAAATGCTCTAAGGTCTTGAGTCAACAGGATTTAATCAGGACCCAAAAGGAGTAATGAAACCTACAGAGTCTCACACCAGAAGTATTTTATTCTAGTTTTTTTGTTTCTGTTGTTTTTGAGACAGTGTCTCACTCTGTCGCCCAGGCTGGAGTACAGTGGCACGATCCTAGCTCACTGCAGCCTCAAGCTTCCAGGCTGAAGCGATCCTCCCATCTCGACCTCCCAAAGTGCTAGGATTATAGGCATGAACCACCACATCCGGCCTTTATTCTAGTTTGTTAAGATTGGTTAATAGTTAAGGTGCTAGTGTCTTATTTCTGTTATAGTAACAGTTTCTATCTTTCTGGTAGCTTTTAGGATCTTTTCTCCTAAGTGTAGACCTCTCTACATTCATTGGGCTGGGTATTCAATGGGCATTTTCAGTCTGAGCTCTTGGGTCTCCCATCAAGCCTGGGAAATTACCTTCTATTATTTATTTGATAACTTCCTACTGTCTGTTACTCTCTTTTTACTCTTTTGGTATTCCCACTATTCAGGTGAGTAATTAATTGATCACTTATTTTTTTTTCATATATTCTTTTCCTACTTTCTAAGGGTCTCGCTCTGTCATCCAGGCTGGAGTGCAATGGCACAATCACAGCTCACTGCAGCCACCACCTCCTGGACTCAAGTGATCCTCCCACCTAGCCTCCCAAGTTTTGGGACTACAGACGTGTGCTACCATGCACAGCTGATTTTATATTTTATTTTGTGTAGAGATGGGGGTCTCACCTTGTTGCCCAGGCTGGTCTCAAACTCCCGGGCTCAAGTGATCTGCCGGCCTCAGCCTCCCAAAATGCTGGGATGACAGGTGTGAGCCACCGCACCCAGCTGTCCTCTCCTTTATATTCCGGCTCTCCAATCTAGTTTAAAATTTCAGCAATTATAATTTCCCACAGCTCTTTCTTTTCTCTGTGCCTTATTTTCATAGTGTCAATTTTTTTAACCAGTGCCATCTTCCTGAATCTGCTGTACGATACTAATGTTTAAGTTCCTGTTTCCTGAATTATGTTTCCTCAAAGGTTTTTACCACTTACCTTGGTGTTTACTTTTCATATTATCAACTTTCCTCAAATGTGTAGTGATCCTGGGTTTTCAACTCATGTTTAAAAATTAAGTCATTTAAAAACACATTGGTCAAACTAATCATTAAAAAATCAGGAGCCACAGGAGTGGGACTTGAACCTGAGCCTTTCACTCTATGGAGAACAAGAATTACCCTAATGTCAGAATGTCAGAGAAAGATTTCAGAAAATGATTTCAAGTTACTTGGGGTTTTTTTTGTTTTGTTTTGTTTTTGGAGATGGGGTCTCACTTTGTCACCCAGACTGGAGTGCAGTGGCACAATCTCGGTTCACTGCAGCCTCTACCTCCCAGGCTCAAGTGATCCTCTCATCTCAGCCCCACAATAGCTGGGACTACAGGCATGCACCACCACACCTGGCTAATTTTTGTATTTCTAGTAGAGACAGGGTTTCGCCATGTTGCCCAAGCTGGTCTTGAACTCTTGACCTCAAGCCATTTGCCCACCTCAGTCCCCCAAAATGCTGGGATTACAGTCATGAGCCACTGGGCCTGGCCCGTTACTTGTAAAGACAAAGCTAGCAGCCGAAAACTTACTTGGAACGTTCCTTGGACATAAAATCACCATTTCTTAAAAGGATTCTTAGTTTTGGGGTGCCAGTGCCCACACTGGTTCTCTAGGTCAGCTAAGAGAAAGCAATGTGTTCAATTTTGGGGGAAGCAGGGAAGACTCCTGTAATTTTTTGCCCCAGGGTAAACACTTGTGTGTCAAATATTCTGATCATGGGGTAGAGAGAGCTGACTGTCCCGTGCACGGGCTTCCAATTAGTCCCTCAATTTTCAGCCCTTCATGTCACTCCAGCCCTCCTTCCTATCTGGCATCCTGTGTCCGCAGTTACTCCAAGCTTCTCCATAGGGCAGATAGTCTCTCATAGGAGACTCCATATTCAGGAAGCGGTTTCCTTGAGCTGCTTCCTTCCTGACTACTAGTCCATATAGTTTCTACTTTCCAAGAATGTGTTAAAATATTCTATGTGCTACTGGTCCCATTTCTGTTCTATTTTATTTTTTTTTACCTTTAAACTCTGTTGGACTTGACATTCTTGTTTTCTTAATTTTCCTGGGTTTATACTTTTAAGAATCAGTAATATTGTGTATTTATTACCAAAAACATGAACTAAAATTTACATAGAGCCTATCAAGGAAAAACCATTTCTCTACTCACATTTCTGACATCAAATATATGGGTTTTCCACCAACCAATTCTCCAGTTCTCCACAGACAGCAGCTGAGTGTCTTACAATTTTACTCAATTCTGATGCTAATTAACCAGAGTTAGTGCAGACCCCACGGGTTAGGGGCTCAGCCCCCAAGACTGCCCCCTACTTCAGATGCCAGCCACAACTATTAGGACCTCAGGGTACCCACACTTCTGTCTGAGTTCACTACAAATCATGGGTATCTGCAACCCCCTCAGGTTCGATAATTTCTTTCTTGGGGGTTGGGGGAGTTTAGGAGCAGAGGTTTAATAGGCAAAAGAAAGAAAAACGAGAACAGATCTCTCCCTTGTGAGGGGCTTCCGAAAGGAAAATCCGGCCTGCGGTGGACTGCACCAGATTTTATAGGTAGGCCTGAGGAGGCGGCGTCTGATTTGCGCAGAGCCCACAGGTTGGTTTGAACAGGTGTGACGTTTACATAGCACGCGGGGAAGGTTGGGCGCCCCACCCTAATCTTACTATGACAAAGGGCAGAGTGACCTTGACATGCCATGTGCTTTCCAGAGCAAGGGCAGAGAGTGACGCTCACTGTGGTGGGAGAGGAGACCCTCTGTTCCTAGAAAATCACAACAGCATGCCCCTGTGCTATATCCCTGGTTACTACAGCAGTCTTTGTTCTTGCCTAACAAGATTACTTCCCTGAACTGTAAAACTCCCTCAGTACTGCATACAGAGAGAGGTTAGGAGACATGGTGGTCGTGGATAGGAAATGAGGGAATTATGATAGGAAAGTTGGAGGTCCTGTTGCTGACACCCCTTAGGGTGGTCGGAGGCTGGGGTCAGTCCAGAAGCCTTCGGATGGCACCAGGAGGTAGCCCCAGCCAGAAATCCTCAGTTGCTCCAGGACCTCTTCCAGCCCCACACGACAGCTTGGTCCTCCGTGAAAGGAAACTGGTTCAAACATGGCCAATATGCCCAGCAGCCCGTGGGTATTGGGGGGTTCTCCATGTTCTCCCCAGCAAGCCTGTCCCCCAAAACTTGTAAGGCTGGCAGCCACGCTCATAATTTTTAAATGGCTAATTGGTGAAGGCAGAGTTTTCTCATTCACAGAAGCAGAAGGGGGCCCAGTATTTGGTTTGGTTTGATTCTAAAATGGAGGCCAAGAGCCTCGAAATCAAAGGACAGAGTTGAGGTCCGCCCCTTTACTCACCTTTGCAATGAATGCACCTTGGAATCCCAGACGAAGTCCCCAATATGAAGTGGCATTGTTGTCTGGGGTCAATACCCGGGGTTCGTCGTCTCGCACCAACAAGGTTAAGGACACGATACACACGAAGAGTGGGTTTAGGAGCGGAGGTTTAACACGCAAAAGAAAAAGGAGAACAGCTCTCTCCCTTGTGAGAGAGAGCGGCTTCCGAAAGGAAAATCCCAGGTTCGATCGTTTCTTATAATGGCTCACAGAACTCAGAAACTTTACTTATGTTTACTGCTTTATTATAAAGGATACAGATGAACAGGCAGTCGAAGAGGTACACAGGGCAACGTCCAGAAGGGTCCCAGGTGAGCACAGGACCTTTTGTCTTCATGCAGTTTGAGGTGCATCGCCTTCTTGGTATGTGGTTGGGGTTAACCAAACCGAAAGCTCTCCAAACCTGTGGTTTATTTTTTAATGGAGGTGCCATCACTTAGGCATGATTGGCTAAATCACTGGCAACTGGTGGTTAATCAATCGCCAGCCCTTTTACCCTCTCTGGAGGTCGAGGCGTGGGGCTGCAAATCCCAGACCTCTAATCATGCCTTAGTCTTTCACGGGATAGCCCCCATCCTGAAGTTGTCTAAAGGATCCCAGCCACCAGTTAGCTCACTGTCATACACTCTTATCACTTGGAGATTCCAAAGGTCTTAGAAGCTCTTGTGTCAGGAACCAAGACCAAGTATTCTAATAAAAGATGTTTCTATCACCCCTGTCACTCAGGAAATTACAAGGGTTTCTGGAGATCTGTGCCAGGAACTGGATGAAGATCAAATATATATATTTATTATATCACAATATTGCAGCCTACTACTTGCCAGGCACAATTCTAAGCACTTTACATGTGTCCACTTAATTCCTTTAACAGTCCAAAATCAGCTATTGCTATATCATCTCCATATTACAGATAAGGAAACTCAAGCACATAGGGGTTAAGGTTAACCAGTGATCTGGCTAGTCTGTACTTTTACCTGATGTTGTGCTGCCATACAGACTAGATTTTTTTTTTTTTTTTTTTAGACTGAGTCTTGCTCTGTTGCCAGGCTGGAGTGCAATGGCGTGATCTCAGCTCACTGCAAACCCCGCCTCCCGGGTTCAAGTGATTCTCCTTCCTCAGCCTCCCCAGCAGCTGGGACTACAGGCACATGCCACCTCGCCCAGCTAATTTTTGTATTTTCAGTAGAGACAGGGTTTCACCATGTTGACCAGGATGGTCTCGATCTCTTGACCTCGTGATCCGCCCACTTCGGCCTCACCAAATGCTGGGATTACAGGCGTGAACCACAGCACCCAGCCAAGACTAGATTTTTAAGAAAAGGCAATCCAGATGTCCTAGAAGGTTCATTTCCTCTTTTTGGTGGTTTAGTAAATTTCTTAGTAAGGCTTCTAGCTGTTATAGCAGCATTAGTATGTGAACCACAGTTAAGCTCTAGTCCAACAAGGCCATTTCTTCAGCAGAGAAGCAATTGTTAAATAATCGACCAAGTATTCATTGGCTCCCTCTTTTTGTATCAACATACACAATTGTTACAGTGCCAGTGTTTATTGGAACCACTTTCCATGGTGCATCCAGCTGTGCCTAGACCAGCAGGTCTTTTTCCAGAAGTCCAGATGGCAGGGGAACCTCTTCACGTTGTTGACCCTTCTCCCTGTAATTTTTTCCCCAATAAACCTTTTCATTATGTTGCTGTATTTATACCCAAATACACATTACATTTATTTTAGTACCTTGTACATTTTGTTGCCCTTATAAATTGGAGGGGTTTTAAAAACTATTTTTTATTCTCAATATTCATTGATGATGTATAGGACTCCTTCTGGACTGTTTAATATATGACTGTAAATCCCCCTGAATTTTCTTAGATGTTTGTAGTATCTGATTATGACAGTTTTGTCTTTTATTTATTGCCTTGTTGCATTGATTAGGGCCTCTAATATAATGTTGCTTAATAATGAAGATAGATATCCTATCTTATTCTTGACTTTTGGTATAAATTCTTCTAAAGTTTGAGCATTAAACATGATGTTTGTTGTAGATTCTTAGTGGATACTCTTTAGCAGTTAAAGTAACTTCTCTTTTACTTCCAGTGACACTACTACCTAATTTGAAGAGAGGATTTGGAATTTTGAGTTTCAAAATAATACTGTTTTCAAACACTTTTTTAGCTAAAAAGTACACACACATAGGGCAGTGTTTTAAAGTTTAGCTACTTCAGGGCATATGTGTATACTCACTGAAGTTTTAATTTAATGGCTTATTGGTCATTCATGTATCTTCTTTGGTAAGGTAATTAAATTTTTTTCTTTTTTTTTAAAAGACAGAGTCTCGCTCTGTCGCCCAGGCTGGAGTGCAGTGGCACAATCTCAGCTCACTGCAACCTCCGCCTCCTGGGTTCAAGCGATTCCCCTGCCTCAGCCTCCCGAGTAGCTGGGATTACAGGCGCCCACCACCACGCCCAGCTAATTTTTGTATTTTTAGTAGAGACAGGGTTTCACCATGTTAGCCAGGCTGGTCTCGAACCCCTGACCTCGTGATCCACCCACCTCGGCCTCCCAAAGTGCTGAGATTACAGGTGTGAGCCACTGCACCTGGCCGTAATTAAATTCTTGACCCATTTAAAAAGTGCGTGTTTTCCTTTTTATTACTAAATTATAAGGATTCTTTATATATTTTGCATACTAGTCCTTTGTTAGATATTTACATTGCACATATATTCTCTCAGTCTGTTAACCATCTTTTCATTTTCTTAATGGTGTCTTTCAAAAAGAAGTTTTTAATTTTGATGAAGTCCAATTTTAATTTTTGTTATGATTGATAGTTTTTGTGTCCTAAGAAATCACTATCTACTCTAAAGTTGTGAAGATATTCTAAAAGTTAACATTTGTATTGTACAATATCAACTGTTAGTTGAGGATATGGAGCAACTGGAAGCTCATACATTAGTTGTGGGAATGTAAAATGGTATTAATACAATGTCTTTGGAAAAACAGTTCACTGGTGTCATGGAAAGCTAAGTATACTCTTGCCATACAATCTAGCAATTCCATTCCTACATATTTACCCAAGAAAAATGAAAACACATGAACACACAAAGATTTATACGATAATGTTCATAGCAACTTTATTCATAATAATAACCAAAAAATCAGAAACAACCCAATGTCCATTGGGGATAAACACATGGATAAACAACGTATCCATAAATGAAGTACAGGTGGTAAAAAGAAGCAAAGTATTGATATATGCAACAAATGAATAAGCTCAAAAACATTATGCTAAGCAAAAGAAGCCATACATATCATTTAATTTTTAAAAATTGTATATAACAGACAAATCTCATCTACAGTGACAGAAAACAGATCAATGTCACCGGCCGCTGGAACTCCTAGGGAGTACTCACTGCAAAGGAGCCCTTCTGGAGTGATGAAGGAGCCCTTCTGGAGTGATGAAGATGTTCTCTCTCGATTGTGGTGGTCGTGGCATGGGTACAGAACACTTGTCAAAAGGCATGGAATTACTCAAGATGGGAGCATTTTTACTGTATGTTAATTATAACTCAATAAAATTGATTTTTTAAAATTCTAAGTACATATATAAATACATTAATGTTTACAGAGCATTAAGAGAAGTGAAAAAGGTCGGGCGCAGTGGCTCACGCCTGTAATCCCAGCACTTTGGGAGGCCGAGGCGGGCGGATCACGAGGTCAGGAGATCGAGACCATCCTGGCTAACACGGTGAAACCCCGTCTCTACTAAAAATACAAAAAAACAATTAGCCGGGCGTGGTGGCGGGCACCTGTAGTCCCAGCTACTCGGGAGGCTGAGGCAGGAGAATGGTGTGAACCCGGGAGGCAGAAATTGCAGTGTGAGCCGAGATCGCGCCACTGCACTCCAGCCTGGGTGACAGAGCGAGACTCTGTCTCAAAAAAAAAAAAAAACAAAACAAAAGAGAGAAGTGAAAAAATAATTCCATGTTTGAGATTTGTTTTTTTTGTTTGTTTGTTTTCAGACGGAGTCTTGCTCTGTCACCCAGGCTGGAGTGCAGTGGCGCGATCTCGGCTCACTGCAATTTCTGCCTCCCGGGTTCACGCCATTCTCCTGCCTCAGCCTCCCGAGTAGCTGGGACTACAGGCGCCCGCCACCACGCCCGGCTAATTTTTTGTATTTTTAGTAGAGACGGGGTTTCACCGTGTTAGCCAGGATGGTCTCGATCTCCTGACCTCGTGATCCGCCTGCCTCGGCCTCCCAAAGTGCTGGGATTACAGGCGTGAGCCACCGCGCCCGGCCGAGATTTGTTTGTTTATAAAGTTACCTGAATTTGTTTTTTAAGTTTAGTAGAATTCTTTTATCAGGACCTGTTTTTAAGTTACCTATGTACCTCTCTAAATGGGATTACAGGCAGTAGCTCTCACACTTCAACATTTATGGTAACCACCTGGAGGATTTGTTAAAGCGGACTGCTAGACCCATCCTCAGAGTTTCTGATTCAACAGGCCTGTGATGGGGCTCAAGAATTTGCTTTTTTTTTTTTTTTTTGAGATGGAGTCTCATTCTGTTGCCCAGGCTGCAGTGCAGTGGTGCGATCTTGGCTCACAGCAACCTCCGCCTCCTGGATTCAAGTGATTCTCCTGCCTCATCCTCCTGAGTAGCTGGGATTACAGATGCCCTTCACCACGGCCGGCTAATTTTTGTATTTTTAGTAGAGACAGGGTTTCACCATGTTGGTCAAGCTGGTCTCGAACTCCTGACCTCGTGATCTACCCACCTCAGCCTCCCAAAGTGCTGGGATTACAGGCATGAGGCACCGCGCCTGGCCAAGAATTTGCATTTCTAATGACTTCTTGGGTGATGCTAATGCTACTTACTGGTCCAAACACTACATTTAGAGTCACTGACTGTAGAGATCCTTAAAAGATCCCTATTCCTCCAAAGAGTCAATTCTTAATGCTTAAAACTTGAACTAGGCTGGGCACAGTGGCTAACGTCTGTAATCCCAGCACTTTGGGAGGCCTAGGAGAGAGGATCATTTGAGGCCAGGAGTTGACACGAGCCTGGACAGCACAGCAAGAGTCCATCTCTTAAAAAAAAAATTCAGCCAGGCATGGTGGTGCACACCTGTAGTCCTAGCTACTTGAGAAGCTGAATTGGGAGGATCACTTGTGCCCAGGAATTCAAGGCTGCAGTGAGTTGATTGTGCCATTGCACTCCAGCCTGAGAGACAGAGTGATACTGCCTCAAAAAAACAAAAATTTAAATTTAAAACAGAAACACAAAAAACCTAAATTATCCCCTAAGGCTGGCCACGGTGGCTCACACCTGTAATCCCAGCACTTTGGAAGGCCAAGGTGGGTGGATCACTTGAGGTCAGGAGTTCCGAGACCAGCCTGGTCAACATGGTGTGAAACCACGTCACTACTAAAAATACAAAAATCAGCCAGGCATGGTGGCACATGACTGTAGTCCCAGCTACTCGGGAGGCTGAGGCAGGAGAATCACTTGAACCCGGGAGGCAGATGTTGCAGTGATCCAAGATCATGCCACTGCACTCTAGCCTGGTTGACAGAGCAAGACTCTGTCACAAAAACAAAAACAAAAAGTAAATAAATTATCCCCTAAGAGGAGTATATCCCAGGAAAGTGTAACACCTGAAACTTAAAAGATTATCTGCCCTGATGATAAACGATAGAAAAGAGACAGGCCAGGCCAAAGTTTGTCAACTGGTGGACTGAAGATAAGTTTTATTTAGCCTCTGTGTTTTTCTAAATTAGAGGCTAACATCTCAAACTTGGGAGAATTCACTTTAAAAATCCAGTTTTTACGGCTGGGCATGGTGGCTCACGCTTGTGATTCCAATACTTTGGAAGACTGAGGTGTGCAGATTACTTAAGCTCAGGAGTTCAAGACCAGCCTAGGCAACATAGGAAGACACTGTCTCTACAAAAAAAAACTTTTTAAAAATTAGCCAGGCACAATGGCACACACCTGTGGTCCCAGCTACTAGGGAGTCTGAAGTGGGACCATCACTTGAGTCTGGAAGGTCGAGACTGCAGTGAGCCATGATTGCACCAATGCACTCCAGCCTGGGGAACAGAGCAAGGCTTTGTCTCAAAAAAAAAAAAAAAAAAAAAAAAAAAAAAAAATCCAGATTTAGTTTCTCTTTAAGTATCATTCCCAGAAGAAAAAAATAGGCTGGGGCCAAATAATGGTTACCTCACTTTATTTTTACATTTTTTTGAATTAAGTAACAAAATTTAAAAAATACAAAAGGATGTACAGTGAAAAGTACATCTCCCTTCTATCCCTGATCCCCAGACTCTCAGAGGCTGCCTCCTTTAGATGGGGCGGGTGCTTTCCAGATGTCCCCACTCTGCATCAACTGGCCCTCTTTCACTTATCTGCATTGTCTGCCTGACCCCTTTAGACATCTGAGCTGCCTCCCAACCCATTTTACCACGCCTCTCCTGCATCCCCTTAACACTTGGCATGTCTGTCGTTAGCACTTTCACACAAGCTTCTTTACAAGGCTGTGTCTTTTTAGATGGGGAGATTCACAGATGCATGAGGTTAGGTTTACATCTTCTTTTGACTATCTACATCCCTGATAACTAGGATGGTGTCAGACTTATGGCAGATGTACAAGTTTGTTGAGTGAATTAATAAATTAATGAATGGGCAAATTGTGTATTGTTTCCAGGGTCCTGAGGTGTGACGCAAATAGCAATTCAGTCAGGTGAAATCAATAATTTAGATCCCATCAGGATCCCAGCCGAGTCCCCAGTCCATCTTGTAACACTTCTCCCCAGAACATACTTAAATTACCTGGAAATAATGAATCCTCTGCCCTTACAGAACTGGATCCAAAGCAGGCACTAGGGCACTCTAAGACTACTTCTCAGAAGTGTGACAACCTCCTGTACCCTTTTTCTCCTTACTACAGGGCCCAAGGACTGAAACTTCTTACCTTTTCTCCTAAACTCTGCCACCCACTAATGGCCTCAGGACTGGGATTCCACTAACCCACTCCCCAAGGGCTGATTGCACCCTTTCTTTGTCACCACTCATGAAATCATTTCATGCTATGAATTGGCCAACCGTTCTAGAGATATAGCTGAACACAGACATGACCAGAAACATGAGGAAGTTATAAAGTATTGAGAAATCCTTCTAGAAGTAGATGCAATGCCACACCACTGAGCACGAGATCTGGCTTCCTGAGCAGTTACCAAAGGACAAGATGACACAGCCCTGTGGGCAAACTAGGATCAACGGGAAATGGAAGAACTTAGGAAACTAAGTTACTTCTCCTTCCTCCCTTCAATGGACTGCTCAGAGGGGCAGTTTCTCCTTATAAACCTTCTGGAGAAGCCCCACACTCTAAGTGAACACACTTGCTGGAAGGCTCCTGTATCTCGTCACAGCTTGTCATGAAGCCTGGTCACTGCAGTAACACAATGCATCACGTTTTTCCTTGCTTTGCTTTCCCTTTTCTTCCACACTCTCACCCCCCTAGATCTGTCCCTCCCTAATAAAGTAACAATACTTTCATCTTTGCCTCAGGTTCTACTTCCTAGGGGACCTAAGTTAAGAAATTCTTGTTGTTGACCAGGCGTGGTGGCTCACGCCTGTAATCCCAGCACTTTGGGAGGCCAAGGCAGATGGATCATGAGGTCAGGAGATCGAGACCATCCTGGCTAACACAGTGAAACCCCGTCTCCAGTAAAAATACAAAAAATTAGCCAGGCGTGGTGGCAGGCACCTGCAGTCCCAGCTACTCGGGAGGCTGAGGCAGGAGAATGGCATGAACCCGGGAGGTGGAGCTTGCAGTGAGCTGAGATCGCGCCACTGCACTCCAGCCTGGGCGACAGAGCGAGACTCTGTCTCAAAAAAAAAAAAAAAAAATTCTTCTTGTTGTAATTTATTGTTGTTGCAATTTTTGTTTGTTGTAATTTCTAGGGTAACCACTGAAAGAATAAAAACAAAGTATACAATTTTCAAACTAGTGACGAAAAACATAGAATGGTAGAAAGTAAGTAATCAAAAAGAAGGCAAGAAGGAAAAGATCGTATCAAATATGTAGTTAAAAAAATTTAAAAAAACGAAAGATGGAATTGTTGGAACCAATAACACAAAGATAATAGACTTAAACCCAAATATATCAGTGGTAATCTTTTAATAAATATTTATATTTATTAGATATATTTATATATTTTAATATATAATATATTAAAATATATATTATATATAAATATATATAAATATATAAATATAAATATAAATAATATATTTATAAATATAATATTTATAATAAATAAAATATATCAGTGGTAATCTTTTAATAAGTAAATATATTTATTAAATATAAAAGGTACACAGTAAATATAAATGAACTAAATGCTTTAGTTAAAAGACAATAAAAATTATGAAATAAAAATGTATACACTTGAAAGTATTTAAAATAAATCTAATTTTCATAATGAATTTTAAGCATTAAGGAGTTTTGTAACTGAATAGTGGAACTCAGAAAGACATCCTATTCAGAAGGATCTCTCATGATAATAGTTTCCTTCACTATTGTAGTATACTGTAGAGTTTCAAGAAAAAAATTAAAGGCCAAAACTGTCTTACATTACCATTGCTGTTTCTGCAATCTTCAACAAACCAAAATTTTCTCTGTAATTGTGAAAAAAGAACTCCTCCTTAAGCATAACTAAAATTTTGCCTTAACCTTATCAAATACCCAAAACTGTAGAAAGAGATAAAGCTGTTAATAGAGACATGGGTATCCCTTTTTATCAGGTCAGGAGGGTAAGTCTCTAATAGAGAGTTCTAGTAACTTCTCAAAAGGTAACTAATGAAGGCCTTCCTTCTAAACCAGATAGGGGGAGATAGAATGCTCTGAGTATTAAAGGCATCTCCTGCAAGCCACTGATACCTTTGTTGACAGAGCACACAGAAGAAAATAGCAGTTACCAGGTTACCTATAGGTGAAATTTGTTTCCACATAAAGAACCACTGGGTCCAGGCTCATGGAGTATGACTCCTGAGAGAAACTCCCGTTACTCTGATCAGTGTGTGTGTGTGTGTGTGTGTGTGTGTGTGTGTGTGTGTATTAAAAATGAATATTCCTGGGCTCCCAATAAACTCTCCAGGGTGGGATTACGTTGTCTTTACTGATAATGTTCTTAACTAAAAATTCTTAGTTATAAAATCACAAATTTCGGCCGGGCACGGTGGCGGAGGTGGGTGGATGACCTGAGGTCAGGAGTTGGAGATCAGCCTGATCAACAAGGTGAAACCCCGTCTCTACCAAAAATGCAAAAATTAGCCAGGCGTGGTGGCAGGCGCCTGTAGTCCCAGCTACTCAGGAGGCTGAGACAGGAGAATGGCTTGAGCCTGGGAGGCGGAGGTTGCAGTGAGCCAACAGCAGGCCACTGCACTCCAGCCTGGGCGATGGAGCAAGACTCCATCTCAAAAAAAAAAAAAAAAAATCACAAATTTCATAGTGAAACTCAAGTTAGAGTACCTGAAGTTTATATACATAAAATAGACATACCTTTGCTATGAAAGCCTGATTTACTCTTTTTTTTTTTTTTTTTTTTTTTTTTTTCTTGAGACAGAGTCTAGCTCTGTCGCCCAGGCTGGAGTGCAGTGGAGCGATCTCGGTTCACTGCAAGCTCCGCCTCCTGGGTTCACACCATTCTCCTGCCCCAGCCTTCCGAATAGCTGGGACTACAGGCGCCCGCCACCAGGCCCAGCTAATTTTTTGTATGTTTAGTAGAGACGGGGTTTCACCGTGTTAGCCAGGATGGTCTCGATCTCCTGACCTCGTGATCTGCCCGCCTCGGCCTCCCAAAGTGCTAGGATTACAGGCGTGAGCCACCGCGCCCGGCTGAAAGCCTGATTTACTCTTAACTGGATATAACCAGAAAGAGTTCTGCCCACAATGATATATCTGCATTGAATCTAAAACACAGACTTCATCATACATTCTCACCTAAATTTCTCTGATGACCCAGAGTAAGGCAAAAGGTTTAGCATATGAGAGTGAAAGGATTTGAATCTCACTTTCTGTCAAACTTTAGAGCTCTGTTAACCATGGTTAGTATCAACTATGATTTTAGGCAACTTTGCTTATAGTAAAAATAACTCGTTAATTGTTACGTATCTGGATTGGGATGCACTATAAATAAATGGAGTCTTCAAGCTTTAGGCTTTCCTGAGTGTAGTGACTCTTGAAATTGACACATCCCTTGTGGATACCTGGAAGCTGTGTTTATGGAATTGTTAAGAGATATTGGTTCCTTGATGCCTGTGGAGGATCTTATCTCCTTGCACCCAAATTGTACTAGTGGACTGCTACAAGGACTTCCACTGCTAATGAGGACTGCTTGATGCTGTGCTGGCAGGCTGTTGTTTCTGTTTAATATCCTTCTGAGTAAGCGGGTACCAAGTATGGCCATGGCAGTCTTGTGAGTTTGAATGTTTAATGTAAAGTGACTTCTGTTGGTCATAGCCACAAATAATTTCAGATGTACTAACTTGATAAACATATTCCAGATGTTTGGTTAAACCTAAAAAGACCTCTCTGGTGGATGTAGCAGTACATCATTTCATATGTATTAATTTCATAACTTTTTTTTTTTTTGAGAGGGAGTCTCACTCTAGGGTGGAGTGCAGTGGCACAATCTCGGCTCACTGCAACCTCCGCCTCCTGGGTTCAAGCGATTCTCCTGCCTCAGCCTCCCAAGTAGCTGGGACTCCAGGCGTGAACCACCATGCCCGGCTAATTATTTTTTGTATTTTTAGTAGTGACGGGGTTTCACCATGTTGGCCAGGCTGGTCTCGAACTCCTGACCTCAAGTGATCTGCCCACCTCAGCCTCCCAAAGTGTTGGGATTACAGGTGTGAGCCACAGCGCCCAGCCTAATTTCATAAGTATTGATAAATTTTCATCTTACACTGAATTTACATTCAGACTTAACTTTCTTCTTACACTAAATTAATGAATTAACATAAATCATAAAGATTCTATATTTAATTATAAAAACATAAAATTATCACATCAATTTAATTCTTATAAGTTTATACATACTGCATAATGACTTTGAAAACAGTATAACTCAAAATAATAGAAAACAAAATTAATTGAATGAAGTACTACTGAATTTCAGGTATTTCTGTGACAACACAAATTTAAAATTTAATAAAATATTACCTTTTCTTAGCAAAAAGTTTCTTAAGTCAGATTATCCTTTCATGTTTTAAATGAAGCTTCTTCTAAAGAAGTCCTTTTATTCACAGTTGCAAATTTCTTTTTAACACATACAATGTATACTACATGCTGGAATCAAACACCTGAAGGAGCTGGAATCTTATGAATACAGCCAGGGCAACAGTGTAGAGAATCATGAACAAAAACATCACAGTCCACACAGAAAACATTTTGGCACACAGCACAAACATAAACCTGTAGTGAAAAGAAGAAAAGTGATAAACTAGTTTCCAAAAGTTAATTACAGCACAGCTAGATGACATTCAAGGTGTGCTTTGCTCTTTTATATCTCTACCAATTTTTTCCCACTACCTACTTTATTACTTCCAATGTACTCTATATTCTCAAATCTAAGGCAATTAATTTTTTCCCCAAAACTATCCCTTAGAAATGAGGGAATGGTTTTGTTTTTGAGTCTTTAAAGTCTATTCTATTACAGTTCGCTCTCAATTATTTCATTCTAAGGTTTAGGAAAGACATATGAGCTTCAAACCAGCGCTACTTTTGAATGCTTAGCAAGACCACCTGATTGATTCAATTAAAAAGAGAAGCATAAAAATTTAACATCGATTTAATTATTCTTAGGGAATGACCTCACAATTGCAAACATATTTCCCTTTCAAGTAAACCTTTAAAAAAATATGTCAAATGACACAGATAAGACAAGCAGAAAGGAAAAAACTACATTTGTTCTTTCAGCATTACATATATGAGTACTTGCTCCTTGGGATAAAATTTCCAGGGCAGCTTCATACACAGATTCAAAAATCACTAAATCTCAGAAGTATTTGGCTTTGAATAAAAAAAAAAAAAAAGAATGAATAAATAAATTTCAAACAACACAGACAATGACCTATTCTTAAAAACTCAAATGAGGCCGGGTGTAGTGACTCACGCCTGTAATCCCAGCACTTTGGGAGGCCAAGGCGGGTGGATTGCTTGAGCCCAGGAGTTCAAGACCAGCTGGTCAACATGGTGAAACCCAGTCTCTACTAAAAATACAAAAATTGGCTGGGCATGGTGGTGCACGCCTATAATCCCAGCTGCTTGGGAGGCTAGGCATGAGAATCACTTGAACTTGGGAGGCAGAGGTTGCAGTGAGCCAAGATTGCATCACTGCACTACAACCTGGGTGACAGAGCAAGAGTCTGTCTCAGAAAATAAAACCAAAAAACTGTCAAATGATTCAAAAAGTGGTTCCAGTTAAGAGTAAACTACTGATGTCAAAGAGGTATATAAAATTTAATAAAATTACTTTATAAATTGTGACAGTGGAAGAGCAATACTTCTAATTATTATTTTATATAATATATATAGTTTTAAATATGAACATGTAACTAAATTAAAAATTAAAGCTAGACAGTGATCCATATTATTTACATCTATACAAATTTATTTATTAAAGTTGGCCCTCTTCAAAATTTAAAAAAGTATTTTCTCATTGGCATAATGGAAGAATCACCTATTATCTGTGGCCACCTTAAACAATTTCAATGTGTTATCACACAGCTTAAAGTATAATATGAAGAAAATATTTTAAATACTTTCAGACTAAATGCAGTTTAGCTTGAAAGCTAAAGACAAATTACATGTTTTACAAGGGTGTACCAAAGTAGACAAAACAATCAAAGAATTTAAAAAAAGAGGAAAAAAATTAAAAAATTTTTAATAAAAAGTTTTAAAAAGATGAATTACAAAATACTTTATAGCAAAAATTAGAATGCAGAATAACAAAACTACTATTTAAACTATTTTGTTCCTATTTTACCTTCACCTATTGTCATTATCTTTACAAGAAATAAACTGATATGAGCCTGGTCTTTAACAACCTGTTGAAAACTTATAGTACCATTGATTTCAATATTTCTTGTACATTACTTAATATTTAGAAAGCCAAAGAACTTACATGTTGGTCTTTCAATTCCCCCTGACATCCATAACAAAATCTGAAAAAAAAGTTTAACAATGTTTTTTCTTAGAATTTACTCATTAAAATAGTTCAACAAAATCTCACTAACTAGAATCCTTTAATTAATATGTACTTGTCTTTACACATGACTTTCAGGAAAAAGAGTTAAGAATACCAATAGGCCAGGCACAGTGGCTCACGCCTATAATCCCAGCACTTTGGGAGGCCGAGGCGGGTGGATCACCTCAGGTCAGGAGTTCGTGACCAGCCTGGCCAACGTGGCGAAACCCCGTCTCTACTAAAAATACAAAAATTAGCTGGGCGTGATGGCAGGCGCCTATAATCCCAGCTACTCAGGAGGCTGACGCAGGAGAATCGCTTGAACCCAGGACACGGAGGTTGCAGTGAGCCGAGATGGTGTCATTGCACTCCACACTGAGCAACGGGAGCAAAACTCTGACTCACAAAAAAAAAAAAAAAAAAAAAAAAGAATAGCAATAATTTAAAAAAAAATTCCACAGTATATACAAGGTCATCTGACAGCCCAAAATTTAGTTTTTATTTTCATTAAGGTTAACTGTGAGCATGCTTTATTTTTCTTTGTTTTCGAGTCAGGGTCTTGCTTTGTCTCAAAGGCTGGAGTGCTGAGGTGCTATCACAGCTCACTGCAGCCTCAACCTCCTGGGCTCAAGTGATCCTCCTGCCTCAGCCTCCTGAGTAGCTGGGACTACAGGCATGTATCTCCATGCCTGGCTAATTTTTTATTGAGGCAGGGTCTCGCTATATTGCCCAGGCTCGTCTCGAATGCCTGGGCTCAAGCAATCCTCCTATCTTGGCTTCCCAAAGTGTTAGGATTACAGGCATGAGCCACCATGCCCAGCCAGAAGCACTTTCTAACGTTTGTTTGATAGTCACTTATTCTAATAAGTGCTACTTTGTGATTCTTCACAGTTATTGGCTATAAATCTCCAACTATGAAAGAAGAGAATTTAATTATCTTTCAATCATCTTGAACCCAGTAATGCATAAATATTTAACTAGTGTCATTCTCAATTCTTTCTACATAGTGAAGTCTTCCTTTTGGATAGAACAATAATCAATGTTTAGTTTACTATGCCTATAAAAATATTCTCAGCTAAGCCATAAGTTTTCCCCTATTTAAAACATTTTTTTTTTTCCTGGAAATACTGTGTTGCTATTCCCAAGGTTAGTTTCCTATATAATTGACACTAATTCAGGCCCAATCTTCTCCGGAATAGTCTAACTGTCCTCTCGATATGTTCAAATACATCAGGAGTTCTGCAGTTTTCATCCCCTTGGTGATCTCTCTCCTGGAGCATCCTGACTGTCTCCAAACTGGACGGTTCCCCATATGTGACACACAGGTATCATTCTGGAATTTCTCCTTACCATCATCCTAGGCCGTTCTTCAGCCTGTTTTGAATTAGATACATATTACTAGATCCCATGTCATTCTCCTTCTCAGTTCCTTTGAATCACCTACCTCTTCCAGACCTTCCCCAGAAAAATCTCTTTTTGAGACCTTACAAGTCTGAAAATGTCTTTATTCTACCTACACTTAACTGACAGTTTGGCTGGGTATCTAAGTTGGTAACAATTTTCACTACAAACTTTGAAGGTGACTGCTCCCTCTCTGCATCCGGTGTTGCTAATGAGAAGCCAAACAATTTTAATTCCAGATCCTTTGTGTGTGACCTAGTTTTTCCTCTCTGGAAATGTTTAGGGTTAATGGTTTATTGTGTATTCTGAAATTTCACAATTATGGGGTCTGCCTTCCTTCAATACGTTAGGCACTTGGCAGTCCCTTTCTTTTATCTTCGTTGCAGAGATGAGGTCTTGCTGTGTGACCCAGGCTGGCCTGGAACTCCTGGCCTCAAGTGATCCCCCAGTCTCAGCCTCCCAAAGTGCAAGGATTAGAGCTATGAGCCACCCTTCCCAGCCAACAGGCCCTTTCAATCTAGAAAGTTCCGTCCTTCAATATAAAATTTCTTTGAACTATGTCTTTGATGATTTTCTATCCTACTTTTTTTCTTTTTTTCTCGTATCATTCTCATTGGACCTTCTGGATAATTCCACCAGTATTCTTATCTTTACTCTCCTATTTGAACCTCTTTATTTTACTCCTTTTATTGTACTTTCTGGAATATTTCTTCAACTCTATCTTCTATAGTACTGGGTTTTTCATTTTTACTATATTTAACCTCAACCATAAGCAAATAAATACCAAGCTAAAACAATGAGACTTTTTTCTTTTTCTTTTGCCTGTGAGTTTTGGCCAATATAAAAAAGTTTCATAATACCTAATGTTGGCTAAATGTGGGAAAACAATAAATGAAAGTTCTTTGAAGAACAACTTTACAATATCTATCAAAATTCACAAAACATGTAAAACTCTTGACTCAGTAATTTTACCTCTAGGAATTTACCATGCATTTATACTTGTACAAATGTTCAAAAATATAGATATAAGCATTATTTGTTAATAGCAAAAAAAAAACCTTAAATATCCAACAGGAAGCAATTGATTATATAAACCATAATTATACCTGAAATATGCAACAATTTCAAAAACAACATTGATCTAGATATGGTGATACTGAATGACTTCTAAATGATTTAAGTGTGAAAAGCAAGATGGATACATAATTGTTTTCGGCTAGCCAGTAAGTGTTTAATGTGACTCCTAAATCCTGGATGTTCTTTTTTTTTTTGATGGAGTTTCGCTCTTGTCGCCCAGCTGGAGTGCAATGGTGTGATCTTGGCTCACTGCAACCTCCACCTCCCTGGTTCAAGGGATTCTCCTGCCTCAGCCTCCTGAGTAGCTGGGGATTACAGGCACCTCCCACCACACCCGGCTAATTTTTATATTGTTAGTAGAGATGGTGTTTCACCATGTTGACCAGGCTGGTCTCGAACTGCTGAAGTGCTGGGATTACAGGCGTGAGCCACCGTGCCAGCCGATCCTAGATGTTCTTAAAAGTAGTAAATCTTTATTTTCTGAAAACTATTCTATAAAGGATTGACTACCTCTATTTCAGACTTTATTTGTTGTATTTCACACAAATAGCATTCGTAAAAATACTTAAAGATTTTAGATAAATTATGTTATGCCAGATTTTTTTTTTTTTGAGACGAAGTTTCGCTCTTGTTACCCAGGCTGGAGTGCAGTGGTGCGATCTTGGCTCACCGCAACCTCTGCCTCTCGAGTTCAAGCGATTCTCCTGCCTCAGCCTCCCGAGTAGCTGGGATTACAGGTATGCACCACCACACTAGGCTAATTTTGTATTTTTAGTAGAGATGGGGTTTCTCCATGTCATTCAGGCTGGTGTTGAACTCCTGACCTCAGGTGATCTGCCTGCCTTGGCCTCCAAAAGTGCTGGGATTACAGGTATGAGCCACCATGTCCAGCTTTTTTTTTCTTTTTTAAGAGACAGTGTCTCACTATGTTGCCCCAGCTAGTCTTCAACTCCTGGCCTCAAGTGATCCTCCCACCTCAGCCTCCCAAAGTGCTGAATGAGCCTCTTATTTTCAGTAGTGTGCTAGGACTGGATTGTACTGGATCAAAAGGATATATTGTTAAATATGTATTCAAGAAAGCTGGTTGTTAATTGTAGCTAAAAATTGGCCATGGTGGGAGTATTCAAACCATGGAAATCAGCAAATACTACCAATCAGGGCTTTTTTTCTTTTCCTTCTGGAAAACTGATTTAGTAGTACAATCATCACCCCTATTTATACATAGGTGGGTTTAGTGAAATTATTTGGTTTCTGGAGATTCAGATCTATTTAGCAACGAGTCATTTCAATCATAACTATGGCATTCTTTATCTCATCTTCCATATTAGAAGTACTCTTGTCCAAGTTAATCAGATTATTTTTTAAGGTAGTAACAATCTATTCAAACATTAGCTTACCACTTATAACAGATATAAATTAGTCCAAACTGAAATACCTTTCTCCATTATATTCTTCTAGGGGAATTTCTTGAAAAGCATCCAAAGGAAACAAATGATGGTAAGACCGTGCCAAGTGGGGAGCAGACACCAAAGTAAGACCTAACACATTAAGCAGAGAGACATGTTGAGTAGTCCAAACCTCATGAAGACAACGGCTGAAAAGCCAAAAGATGTAACTTCAGCAGAATATGTTCAGTTTCTTTTAGGATGGCAGTTATTAATTTTACCTGTGGCTATAACAGAAGATTGTAGGATGGAGTCTTAGTTCTGTCACTAAGTGTGTAACCAACCTGTCTCGGTCTATTTGCTTACTTATATTATAAATGAAATAAAATTCGACAATTCTATTAGTTTAATTCTTCATTCTTATATATATTTACTTTATAAAGGTAAGAGATGGAAAAATGTCTACTACATCTACTGCACTGCCTTTAAAGAATATACTTTTTTCAGAAAGAGGATCAGGAAACTAGAATGCTACATTTATACATGGAAGTGGAGTACTGGGCACTCAATTTAAAAAGTAATCTATTTTTCTTTGCACAGATTAAATCCAGAAACATAGGAATAACTTAACATTTACATTAATTTTAGCAGCAATACAGATTAAGAAGTCATTCAAGATTTACTGAATAATGAATAGTTGTTTTCTTACCACAGATTTTACATTCAACAGGTAGCTCACAGTACTTTGCCCGACACTGTGGGCAGAAATAGCCTCCTAATGTAAGCCCTGGCTCAGTATTGCCATCCAAATGCCTGTAGGGGGAAAAAGGGTAATATATAATGATCTGAAAAGTTAGAGCGGGAAAGCATGCTATCTTGACCTTAAAATCTTGACACTATTTAAAAATCTATTTAAAAATCTGTATTTTTGGCCGGGCGCAGAGGCTCACACCTGTAATCCCAGCACTTTGGGAGGCCAAGGCGGGTGGATCACCTGAGGTCAGGAGTTCAAGACCAGCCTGGCCAACACGGTGAAGCCCCATCTCTACTAAAAAATACAAAAATTAGCCAGGCGCCTGTAATCCCAGCTACTTGGGAGGCTGAAGTAGAATTGCTTGAACCCAGGAGGCAGAGGTTGCAGTGAGCTGAGATTGCACCACTGCACTCCAGCCCGGGTGCCAAGAGTGAAACTCCATCTCAAAAAAAAAACAAAAGAAGTCTATATTTAAAAAAAAATTTATAACTTATATAGAGATGGGGGTCTCTCACTATATTGCTGGTCTTGAATTCCTAGCCTCAAGTGATCCACCTGCCTTAGCTTCCCAAAGTGCTGGGATTATAGGTGTGAGCCACCATGCCTGGTCTAAAAGTCTATTTTAAAATCTGTGAGTATGTCTTATAACTAAATTATGCTACATTCATTTTTTTCCCCCTCTTCATTTTTTTTTTTTTTTTTGAGACGGCTTCTCACTCTGTTGCCCAAGCTGGAGTGCAGTGGCACAATCTCAACTCACTACAATCTCCGCCTCCCAGGTTCAAGCAATTCTCGTGCCTTGGCTTCCTGAGTAGCTGGGATTACAGGCACGTGCTACCACACCCAGCTAATTTTTGTATTTTTAGTAGAGATGGGGTTTCATCATGTTGGCCAGGCTGGTCTCAAACTCCTGGTCTCAAGTGATCTGCCTGCCTCGGCCTCCCAAAGTGCTGGGATTACAGATGTGAGCCACTACACCCAGCCCTTCTCTTCATTTTTAAAGTCTCTATTACTATCTTTGAATTCACTAATTTTTTCTTCTGCAGTGTCTAATCTGCTGTTAATCCCAGCCAATATATTTTTCATCTAAAACACTGTATTCTTCATCACTAGAAGTTTGATTTGGGTCTTTTTTATACCTTCCATATCTCTTCTTACCATTCTCATGTTCTCTAACATCCTGAACATACAGAGTACATTTATAATTGTTGTCCTAACATCTTTGTCTACTAATTCTTTTTTTTCTTTTTTGATAAGAGTCTCGCTCTGTCACCCAGGCTGTAGTGAAATGGCACGATCTCAGCTCGCTGCAACCTTTACCTCCTGGGTTCAAGTCATTCTTGTACCTCAGCCTCCCAAGTAGCTGGGACTACAGGCGTGTGCCACCAGGCCTGGCTAATTTTTGTGTTTTTAGTAGAGATGGGTTTCGCCATGTTGGCTGTGCTGATCTCGAACTCCTGGGCTCAAGTGATCTGCCCACCTGAGCCTCCCAAAGTGCTAGCATTACAGGCAGGAGCTACCGCACCCAACCCTTTGTCTATTAATTCTACCAACTGGGTTATTTCTGGGTATGTTTCCATTCTGTGATTTTTCTCCATTTTATGGGTCATATTTTCCTTTGCATCCCTGGTAATTTCTGCCAGGGACTATGAATTTTGCTTTGCCAGACATTGTGAATTTTGCTTTGTTTTGGGTGCTGGATTTTTTCTTTTTTTTTTTTTTTTGTATTCCCTCAAATATTTAAGGGTTTGTTCTGAAATATACTTCATTAACTTGGAAATAGTTTAATCTCTTCAAAATTTGCTTTTAAACTTTGTTAGGCTGGTCTAGAACAGCTGTTAGTCTAGATTTTTCTTTTCTTTTCTTTTCTTTTTGCCTCTGGTTCCAGTTCTTGTGATAGAATTAATTTGATCCCATTACTGTGGACTCTATTCAATGCCTGTCATGTTAAGAGGTATTTCCATACAGACTGGTGAGAACATGAATGTTCTCTGTGTGAGCTCTGGAAACTGTTCTGTCTGCTGCTTTCCAGTGATTTTTTCCCTGACTTCCAGTAGTCTCCTCACACAAAAGGGCTGATCAACGCTCAGCTGCTGACTCATGAGCAAGTCTATGCAGCTCCCCAGAGAGTTCTCTCTGTGCAGATCTTTCCTCTCCAGTACTCTGACCTGCAAAATTATCGCCATCTCAGCCTCCTTGAAAGATGAACTTTGTTTCTTCAACTCAACAACATCTCCAGCCTCTGTGTGCAGCCTGGAAATTCCATCCAGGCAGTAAGGTGGAGTGCTCTTAGGGCCCATCTCATTTGTTTCCTTTCTTTCAGGGATCATTATCAGCAAGGCTTGCTGTCCAACGTCTGAAAACCACTGTTTTATATATTTTGTCTGCTTTTTTTGACAGGAGGGTAAATCTAGTCCCTGTTACAGCTTTTTGGCTGGAGGCAGAAATCTTGTTTGTGATTTTTAAGAATTACTCTCTTAAATTTAATTTTGTTTTATAATTATGTAAAATACAAAGCTCTGAAGTTAAAACAAGGTACAGTAATATTCTATATAACATTTTGGTCAGTGATGAACCACATATATGACAGTGGTCCCATAAAATAATACATTTTAGTTGTACCTTTTCTGTGTTTAGTTAAACAAACACTAGGTGTTACATTACAACTGCCTACATTATTCAGTACACAATATGCTGTACAGGTGTGCAGCCTAGGAGCAATAGGCTATACTATATAACTGCGATGTTAGTAGGCTACACTATCTAGGTTTGTGTAAGTGCACTCTGTGATGTTTGCACAATGATGGTATCACCTAATGACGCATTTCTCAGAATGTATCCCTATCATTAAGTGATGCATTCAGAAAAGTCTAGGGTCTAACCCTTTGCTTTTCCCTACACACTCACTGAGGTAAACATTAAAAAAAAAAATTTCCCCCTCCACCCCTTTTAAGTTTTTATTATTTCCATACTATTGTTTTTATTATTAACATAAACAAGTATATACATCCACTTACATCTCTACTTTCTTCTTAGGTGATTAGCAGCATACTACAAAATTCTCTCAAACTACTGTTTTACTTAGTAATTTATCCTGAAGATCACTCCATACAAGTATATAGAGATAGTCTTCATTGCCTATCTTTTGAATTTATAACTTAAAAGAAGGAATTAAAAATGTAAAAACATTATCACTGATATTTTCAAGGTCTTTACTTACGCCATGCTGAAAGAGGGTTTTGCATCCTGGTCAGATAAAGAAGCAATGGTGTGCTGAGGAAATCCTTCATAGAAGAAAATGTATTACTTTCTTTTTCCAAGCAAACAGCAGAATTCTAGGACTAAGAACCTAAAAATGTTCTTCTCAAAAAGCCAATGAAGTTGTACAAAATATCACTTTACTGCCTTTCAGATAAGCTTATTATAGCATGATGAAACTGACTAATTCCAAGCTACAAGAAAAAGTAGAGGAAACGGGGGAAAGACCTGTCTATATATGACCTCAGATTCTGAAGTTCATATATATATTTTTCTTTTTTTTTTTTCTTGAGATGGAGTCTTGTTCTGTCACCCAGGCTGGGGTGCAGTGGCATGATCTTGGCTCACTGCATCCTCCACTGCCTGGGTTCAAGCGATTCTCCCACCTCACCTTCCCATGTAGCTGGGATTACAGGCATCTGCCACCATGCCCAGCTATATATTTTCTAACTTAATGATTAACACTACTTTTTAAAGAGGTTGTAATTTTTACATCATTTCTGATAAAACTGAAGATATCATAGTACACCTTCATTTTATCTACGTTTATGCTTTTATGTTTAAAATTTTGAAATGCTCAAATCTTTCATGTAATTTGTTTTCCATATACAATTTTAAATTCTGAAAACATGTTCAGGAAAAGCAGAAACCATTTTTAAAAAGATATATTACATAAAAAATGTAAATGTATCTACATATCAAAACAAATAAATAAAAGTAAAGGCAAATAACCAACAAGAAAAATATTTGCATCGGGTGACTGAGAAGGGTTAACATTCCTAAAGGACTCTAATAAATAAATTATAAATTTAAATAACTTTAAAATGAAATAAGAAAATATATCAGTAAATCAAAAAGATTAGCCAAACATAAGATCTAAAATATATTGAATGTTTACATCAAGCATTATTCTAAACGCATCATCTGTATTAACTCAATCCTTGAAACACACAATAAGGTTGATAGTTACTGACATCATTAAACACATGAGAAGACCGTGGAAAAGAGAGGTCGACTGGTAATATAAAAGGCCAAAAGTAGAAAAGCATTTTATTTCATTAACATTTAAAAACATACATATTAAATAAGGAGATTATTTTTCTATTAAAAGTTATACTTTTTTCAATATAAATGTAATAAATTTTCATTGTAACATTTTTGTAAAATAGAAGAAAATAACATTTTAAAAAAGTGATCCAAGGCCGGGCACAGTGGCTCAAGCCTGTAATCCCAGCACTCTGGGAGGCCGAGGCGGGCGGATCATGAGGTCAGAAGTTCAAGACAAGCCTGGCCAACATGGTGAAACCCTGTCTCTACTAAAAATACAAAAATTAGCTGGGCATGGTGGTGCCCGCCTGTAATCCCAGCTACTCGGGAGGCTGAGGCAGGAGAATTGCTTGAACCTGGGAAGCGGAGGTTGCAGTGTGAGCTGAGATCGCACCACTGCACTTCCAGCCTAGGAAATAGAATGAGACTCCATCTCAAAAAAAAAAAGAAAAAAAAAAGTGATCCAAAACCAATAATTTCCCCTCCTTTGAGCAATTTGGTGTACTTCCCTGCAAGCTTTGTCTTTGCACAGTTTGTATTACACAGCTTTGATCATCCAGTACAGAGAATTTTGTAGCTTATTTTATTTTTATTTTATTTTATTTTTTTGAGACAGAGTCTTGCTCTGTCACCCAGACTGGAGTGCAGTGGCGCAATCTCAGCTCATGGCAACCTCCGCTTCCTGAGTTCAGGCAATTCTCCTGTCTCAACCTCCTGAGTAGCTGGGATTACAGATGTCTGCCACCATGCCCAGCCATTTTTTGGTAATTTTTAGTAGAGACAGGGTTTCGCCATGTTGGCTAGGGTGGTCTCAAACTCCTGACCTCAGGTGATCCGCTAGCCTCGGCCTCCCAAAGTGCTAGGATTACAGGCATGAGCCACCACGCCCGGCCTTTGTAGCTTATTTTAAAAAATTTTTAATATAAGTGTTTTTCTTTTGTTTTCTTTTTTGAGACAGAGTCTCGCTCTGTCGCCCAGGCTAGAGTGCAGTGGTGTGATCTCGGCTCATTGCCAGCTCTGCCTCCCGGGTTCATGCCATTCTCCTGCCTCAGCCTCCCGAGGAGCTGGGATTACAGGCGCCCGCCACCACGCCTGGCTAATTTTTTGTATTTTTAGTAGAGATGGGGTTTCACCGTGTTAGCCAGGATGGTCTCGATCTCCTGACCTCAAGATCCGCCCACCTCGGCCTCCCAAAGTGCTGGGATTACAGGTGTGAGCCACCGAGCCCGGCTTAATATAAGTATTTTTCTATAAACACAGTTTATACCTTTCTAGCCTTAAAAATAAAGAAAGCCAACAGTATTTTCTGGGTGACAGGACTACTGGTAGTTTTAATTTTTTTTTTCCACTTCTCTGTACTTTCCAAAATTGCTTCAACAAGCATATTTTTTCTTTAAAAATTCTTAAATATTAAAATAACTTGTGCAAATGAAAATAGAGAGCCTAGATATGTATTTTTTAAAAACATAAAAACACTTACCCATACGAATAAGTGAGCATTCAGAACTTGAGCTAGCAGGAGGAGGACTAAGATGATGTGTGAGCAACTCTTTGTAATGGCTTTCATCTAAAATAACATGGTACGTGCCTAACAAGATGAAAAGGGAAAAAAAAACACCTTCATAGACATAACGAACTGTACGTTCTATGTAATTCTGTAAAAGTTGTATCATCTGAAAATGTACATTTTTAAAATAATGATTTTAGCTAAATTATCACTTTTAAAACCTTATTTAAGTAATATATCTAAATCAACTTCTCTAGGAATAACTATAATTACAATTGATTATTATTACTATTATTATTATTTTAACATATAAATAGAGACAGGTCTCACTATGTTAACCAGACTGATCTCAAACTTCTGGCCTCAAGTGATTCTCCTGCCTTGGCCTACCAAAATGTTGAGATTACAGGCATGAGCTATCATGCCTGGCCTGTAATTACAATTTAATTAAAGACAAGTTATAAAATCTTTATAAAGAATTACATACAGTAAAATTTCCAGCTTTCCAAGAGTTATAATACCTCCTCTAAATACTGACATAAGTACTGAAAACTCTTTGCATTTGGAGATGATTTCTTATGGAATCAATGATATATTTAAGATGACTGCCCATATTTTAGACTACTTTAAGTTTAGTAGCTCAGAACAGATTAAAACATCCTAATTTAATTAATAAATTATTTCCTACACAGTAATTATAAGCAAATATTAAATAAATTATATATATACCACCAGTTTCACGAGCAAGTACAGTGCAAACGCGAACTTCTGCAGACAATCCAATAACAGATACTCTAATTTTAGCTGCCTTTAGGGTCTTCATAAAATCCAAGTAGATAGATAGTTTTAGGAAAGAAGAAAAACATTTAAGATTTAATGTATTTGAAAAATAAAGAATGCTCTGAAAACTAGTAATAAATTCAATACATCTACCACAAAGATGAATCACACATACAAAAATACATATATATATAAATCAATTTGCTACAGAATTCTCTTTACAGTTATAACTTTGGTTTTGATTTTTTGGTCTACCTTGATTAAATCATAAATATTAGATGGATCGCAAGTTGTAAGGCTGCTAAAGATGATTAGTACTTCTCGACTTGTATGTCCAGGCATGTGTCTTAAAAGAAAGATAAAATACACTCCAATTAGGTACAACAAATTATACTACCAAAAAATTTACCCAGAAAGAACAGTAAACATAGGATTACACATTTAGACTATAGAATATCTCATTTGTTTCAACAATGCAAAGAAAGGTTGTGAGTATATTTTAAACACTTTAATGCAAATTTTTCTAAAATGAGCTATGCACTTCAAAAAATTGTTAATTGATTCATTTAATATTTACCAAGTACTCTCAAGTTCTGGGGGTAGAGTGATAAACAAGACTGACAATGTTCCCGACATCATTAAGCTTACATTCTAGTAGGTTTGTTTCATACAAAGTCTAGAGTATACAATAAAAAATACAACAATATATGGATAAACTTTAAACTAAAATGTGGCAATATCATATGGATCAGCTTTAAAGTGCAGAGATGTGGCTTCAAAACAGTAACACACACTTCTTTCTCAAAGACTATAGTAGTCCCCTCTTATCTGCAGAGGATACATTCCAAGACCCCCAGTGGATACCTGAAATCAAGGATAGTACTGAACCCTATATATACAGTCGTTCTTCGGTATCCTTGGGGGATTGATTTCAGGCCCTCCTATGGATACCAAAATCTGCAGATGTTCAAGTCCCAGATACAAAAGGGCGTAGTATTTGCATATAACCTATGTACATCCTCCCATATATTTTAAGTCATCTCTAGATTATTGATAATACCTAATACAATGTATACTATGTAAGTAATTGTTATCCTCTATTATTTAGGGGATAATGGCAAGAAAAAATGTCTATTTGTTCAGTACAGGTACAATTTTTTTCCAAAAATTTTTGATGCGTGGTTGATCGAATTCACAGAAGCAGAACCCAGGATTCAGAGGGCTGATTATACCATGTTTTTCCCTATACAGGCATACCTTGGAGATACTGCAGGGTTGGATTCCAGACCGCAGCAATAAAGCAAATATCACAATAAATATTTGCAATAAAGCAAGTCACATGAACTTTCAGGTTTCCTAGTGTATATAAAAGTTCTGTTTACGGCCAGGGATGGTGACTCACGCCTGTATTCCCAGCACTTTGGGAGGCTGAAGCGGGCACATCACGAGGTCAGGAGATCGAGACCATCCTGGCTAACACGGTGAAACCCCGTCTCTACTAAAAATACAAAAAAATGAGCCGGACGTGGTGGCAGGAGAATGGTGTGAACCCAGGAGGCGGAGCTTACAGTGAGCCAAGATTGCGCCACTGCACTCCAGCCTGGGCGACAGAGCGAGACTCCGTCTCAAAAAAAAAAAAAAGAAAGAAAAAGAAAAGTTCTGTTTACACTATACTGTAGTCTAGTAAGTGTGCAACAGCATTATATCTAAAAAAAAAAGTACACACCTTTATGAAAAATACTTTATTGCTAAAAATCGACTGAACTGTCAGTGAATAATATCTTTTTGTTGAAGGAGAGTCTTGCCTTGATATTGATGGCTGCTGACTGATCAGAGTGGTGCTTTCTGAAGGGTGAGGTGGCTATGGCAATTTCTTAAAATAAGACAAAGTAGTTTGTTACATGGGTCAACTCTTCCTTTCATGAAAGGAATGCAAATGCTGTTTGGTAGCATTTTATTCATAGTAGTACCTCTTTCAAAATGGGAGTCATTCCTTTGAAACCCCACTGATGCTTTACCAACTAAGTTTATGGGCTATTCTTTTTTTGTTTTGAGACTGATTCTTGCTCTGACACCCAGGCTGGAGTGCAGTGGTGCGATCTCGGCTCACTGCAACCTCTGCCTCCTGGGTTCAAGCAATTCTCCTGCCTTAGCCTCCCCAGTAGCTGGGATTACAGGCATGCACCACCATGCCCAGATAATTTTTGTATTTTTAGTGAGGACGGGTTTCACCATGTTGGCCAGACTAGTCTTGAACTCCTGACCTCAAGTGATCCATCCGCCTCGGCCTCCCAATGTGCTGGGATTACAGGCATGAGCCACCATGCCCAGCCAGTGTAGATATTTTGACCTCTTTCTATGAATGGCATTTAGAATGGTGAATTCTTTCCAGAAGGTTTTCAATGTACTTTGCTCAGATCCATCTATGGCAGTCACAGCCTTATGATATGTATTTCTTAAATAATCAAGACGTGAAAGTTCAAAGTATTCCTTTATCCAAGGGTTGCAGAATGAGTGCTATGTTAGTAGATATGAAAATAACATTAATCTTCTTGTACATCTCAATTAGAGCTCTTGGGTGACTGGGTGCATTGTCAATGAGCAATAATATTTTGAAATAAATCTTTTTTCTGAGATATATCTCAACAATGGGCTTAAAATATTCAGTAAGCCCATGCTGTAAACAGATGTGCTGTTATCTGGGCTTTGTTATTCCATTTGCAGAGCACAGACTGAATAGATTTAGAATAATTCTTAAGGACTCTAGGATTTTCAGAATGGTAACAAACATTGGTGCCAACATCAAGTCACCAGCTGTATTAGCCCCTAACAAGAGAAGAAGCCTATCCCATGAAGCTCTGAAACCAGGCATTCACTTCTTCTAGCTATGAAAATCCTAGATGGCATCTCCTTCCAACAGAAGGCTGTTTCATTTACATTGAAAATATGAGGCCAGGTGCAGTGGCTCATGCTTGTAATCCCAGCACTTTGGGAGGCAGAGGCGGAGGACTGCTTGAGCCCAGGAGTTCAAGACCAGCTGGGCAATGTGGCGAAACCCTACCTCTACAACAACAACAACAACAAAAATTAGCTGGGTGTGGTGGCACATGCCTGTAGTCCCTGCTACTTGTGGGGCTGGGAGAATAGCTTGAGCCTGGGAGTTTGAGGCTGCAGTGATCCATGATTGCACCACTGCACTCTAACCTGGGTGACAGAGCGAGACCCTCTCTCAAAAACAAAAAAGAAAAAGAAAATTTGATATTTAGTGTAGTCACCTTCATCAATTATTTTAGCTAGATCTTCTGGATAACTTGCTGCAGCTTCTACATCAGCACTTGCTGCTTCCTCTTGCACTTTTTTTTTTTTTATTTTGAGACGGAGTCTCACAGTGTCGTCTGGGCTAAAGTGCAATGGCGCGATCTCGGCTCACTGCAACCTCTGCCTCCTGGGTTCATGCGATTCTCCTGCCTCAGCCTCCCGAGTAGCTGGGATTATAGGCGCACACCACCACACCTGGCTAATTTTTTGTATTTTTAGTAGAGACAGCGTTTCACTATGTTGGCCAGACTGGTCTTGAACTCCTGACCTCATGATCTGCCCACCTTGGCCTCCCAAAGTGCTGGGATGACAGGCGTGAGCCACCGCGCCCAGCCCCTCTTACACTTTTATGTTTTGGAGATGGCTTCTTTCATTAACCTCATGAGCTCAGCTCTGTTAGCTTCAAACTTTTCTTCTGCAGCTTCCTCACTGCTCTCAGCCTTCATAGAATTGAAGAGAATTAGAGCCTTGCTTTGGATTAGGATTTGACTTAATGGACTGTTGTGGCTACTTTAATCTTCTATCTAGACCATTAAAACTTTGTCTGTATCAGCAATAAAGCTGTTTCACTTTCTTATCATTCATGTGTCCACTGAAGCAGCACTTTGAATTTCCATTATTTTTTTCTTATTTTGAGACAGGATCTTGCTCTATCATACAAGCTGGAGTACAGTAGCACAATCGTAGCTCACTGCAGCCTCAAACTACTGGGCTCAATCCTCCTGCCTCAGCCTCCTGAGAAGTTAGGGACTACATACAGGTGCTCGCCACTGTGCCTGGCTAATTTTTTTTTTTTTTTTTTTTTTTTGTAGAGATGGAGGTCTTGCTATGTTACCAGGACTGGTCTCAAACTCATGGCCTCAGGTGATCCTCCCATCTTAGCCTCCCAAAGTGTTGCAGTTACAGGTAAGAGCCACCACGCACAGCCCAGCACTTTCAATTTCCTTCAAGAACTTTACCTTTGCATTCACAATGTGACTAAGTGTTTAGCACAAGAGACCTAGCCTTCAGCCAGTCTTGCATTTTGACATGCCTTCCTCACTAAGCTCAATCATTTCTAGCTTTTGATTTAAAGTGAGACATGCGACTCCTCCTTACTCTTGAACACTCAGAGGCCACTGGAGGGTTATTATTGGTGTAACTTGAATATTTTTGTGTCTTAGGAGATGGGGGGGCCGAACAGAGGGAGAGAGACTGGAAAACAGCCAGTTGGTGGAGCAGTCAGAACACACGTAACACTTATCAATTAAGTCTGTTGTCTTATATGGGCGCAGTTTGTGGTGCCCTAAAATAATTACAATAGTAACATCAAAGATCACTGATCACAGATCACCATAACAGATATAACAATAATTTACAAAGCTTGAAATATTGCAAGAACTACCAAAGTGTGATATAGAGGCAAGAAGTGAGCACATGCTGTTAAAAAAAAATGGCACCAACAGACTTGCTCAACAGAGTTGCCATAAACTGTCAGTTTGTAAAAAAAAAAGTTATCTGAAAAGTGCAATAAAAGTGCAACAAAATGAGGTGTGCCTTACATACACACCTATGATCAATAATGTATAAATTAGGCACAATAAGAGATTAACAACAATAACTAATAATGGAACATTTATAACAACGTGCCGGCATCACTACTCCTGCACTTTGAGGTCATTATTAAGTAAAATAACACAAACACTGCAATAGTTTTGACAGTCAATAACAACAGTTAATCTGATGACTTAGGCCATTACATGGGTGGGCAGCATATACTGTGAGGATCTACAGGACCAAGGGATGATTCACGTCCTGGGCAGGACAGAGAGGGAAGGTGTAGGATCTCATCACGCTACCCAGAATGGCACACAACTTAAATCTTATGAATTATTTATTACTGAAGTTTTCAATTTAATATTTTCAGACCAAGAGTAACTAAAACTGGAAAGTGAAACTGCAGATAAGGGGGGATTACTATAATTTAACCTCACAGTAATTCAGAGTCATAATAATCATGAACATTAATATTGCATACCATTTAATTAAAATGATAGCTTGTAGAGTTTTAAGTTGTGGTGACCAGTTTTCACCTACACTAAATAGACGTTTTTATGCTTTCTGCAGCAATTTTATCAATTAGTTATAGCTTTCCTGCTTATATTTTCATTGTTATCGTCTCAGCTCTCACTGGTAGACCCTACTACTGTACTTACCTCTATTACATGTGTTGCCTCCTTCTCATCCACTTCAAAACTAGAAAAATATCTATTATATAAAGGTATAAGTCTGAGCCAGGGCAGACTATCCAGAGATAAAATATATAAGCTTTAGGGAGGCTGAGGTGGGCGGATCGCTTGAGGCCAGGAGTTCAAGACCAGCCTGGCTAACATGATGAAACCCCATCTGTACTAAAAATACAAAAATTGGCTGGGCATGGTGGCACACACCTGTAATCCCAGCACTAGGGAGGCTGAGGCACAAGAATCACTTGAACCCAGAGGTGGAGGTTGTAGTGAGCTGAGATCACGCCACTGCATGCCAGCCTGGGTGACAGAGCAAGACTCTGTCTCGAAAAAATATATATATATACGTGTGTGTGTGTGTGTGTGTGTGTGTGTGTGTGTGTGTGTATATATAATAGATATATAAGCTTTAACTTATATATGTAAGTTTAACATATATATAAGCTTTATATATATGTATAATAAATTATATATATAATATGTATATAAAGCTTATATATATATATAAGCTTTAACTATACCAAGTATTTCCTTTGGGGTCTTAGCTCTATTCCATATAGCTGAACTTGCCATATCTATTAATTTACAGATATATGACATTGGTGCAAAAGGAATTGTGGTTTTGGCCATTACTTTCAAAATAAATTAATAAATGTTAATAAAGGTACAACCAACTTACAATTATTATACTATATTAAATCTCATTTTAATAAAATATTTTTTCATCAACCTATTTTTGTACTATTGATACTGCCGACAGTTTTAAATTATATTTTTATAAAACCTTTAACAATATCTTACTAAAATGTAAAATAAAAATTACTAACCAACACCACACTAAACATCATAAATAACACTACATAATTCTCGTACTTAACAATTTTGTTATAGCTGGGTTTATGGGCCCCATATTAACACATCACTTCAACTTAACTCATTTAAAAAACTTCTAATTCAATTATACATAATGTATAATACTAACTTTAGAGTCTGCATAGCCATGCTTAGGGAATTATAAAGAGATGGCTCTCCATGGCAGGTCATATCCACAGCTTCCTTCAAAGACGTTATATGTTTTCTTGGGTTTCCTAAAATAGAAATAAGATCTTTAAATAAAATCCTATATATTAAAAAAGTTTATGTTTCTCTCAAAATTTACATATCTATGATGTTAAAGAACAGAATCCTTTCAATGTATATTTCTGTTGGAATTTTATCTGCAATATTTTGTAAACACTCTCACTTCATACTGAAAAACAGAATACAAATAATCTCCTTATAGACTAGCATACATATTTTAAAATAATGCTAACCTAGAGTGCATTTTTTTACTCTTAATATTTCCATATTTCATCATTTTTAAGACCAATACATTTTCACATTTAACATCTCTGAAATCAGCATGTGTTTAATAATTACTGGTAGCCAGCAGCACTTGTAACATAGTCTTTGCCTGTTCATATGTGAACCTACAAATAGGTCTTCATATGTTGTTGCTTCAATTGCATTATGTACATTGTCCTCTTCATGGTGAGTTTAACTGCCATTTAAAATGTTTTTAAGGCCAGGCGCGGTGGCTCACGCCTGTAATCCCAGCACTCTGGGAGACCACGGCAGGCAGATAACCTGAGGTCAGGAGTTTAAGACACACCTGGTCAACATGGTGTAAATCCCATCTGTAGTAAAAATGCAAAAATTAGCTGGGTATGGTGGCATACACCTGTAATCCCAGCCACTAGGGAGGCTGAGGCACAAGAATCACTTAAACCCAGAAGGTGGAGGTTGCAGTGAGCTGAGATTGCACCACCGCACTCCAGCCTGGGCAACAACAGCGAAACTCCATCTCAAAAAACAAACAATAAAATGTTTTTAGAAATGTTGTTAATACAAAAGGCTATATTTTTATGTAGAAAGGTGTGGAACACAGCAGTGAGGCATAAATTTATTATAATGAATCAAATATTGATGGAAGAATGCATGCAATTCCGTATTTTTCTTGAGGGAAGAAATCAAGAACTTTACAAGACCTAAGAAACGAATATTCCCACAAACAGACGAAGCTGTGTTATCTTACCAAATAGCATCTGAAAAGATTGTCTATCTTATGCTAAGCAATTCAAATGAAGGGGGGAGAAGCTGCCAAATCCTTTTTTTTCTTTTTAATATAATATTTTTTTATATTATTTATATTTAGATTATATATATATCTGTTGCCAGGCTGGAGTGCAATGGGGCAATTTTGGCTCAATGCAACTTCCACCTCCCAGGCTCAAACCATCCTCCCACCTCAACCTCCCAAGTAGCTGGGACTACAAGTGCCCAGCACCACACTTGGCTAAATTTTTTTGTATATTTTTGGTAGAGACAGGGTTTCACCATGTTGTCCAGGCTAGTCCTGAACTCCTGGATTCAAGCAATCCTCCCGCCTCAGCCTCTCAAAGTGCTGGGAGTACAGGTGTAAGTCACCACACCTGGCCCCCAAATTTGAGATGTCTGTACATGTCAAATTACCAAGAAGCTAGTATAGCCAACTCATATATCATTTGATACTGTGTCAAAGTTTAACTACTAGGACTTTTCCTTCTTAATGGCTTATAAAAGTATCTTGTAATTGATGGAATCTGAGTTTCAATGAAATATAGTATTCCGTAAACATTTTCCATTTCAGCACTGTCTTCGTATCAATCAATAACCTAAGTATCATTAAATTGATTTTGTCATAAAATATAATCCATCAAAGCATACTATTAAACATTTAATTTTTAATCTGTCACTATTATACATAATGTTACAAAGAGTATCTTTGTAGAGTGATCATTCTCCTTCCATAACATTCCCTAAATATAATTTCAGGAACAATTTTTATGCTTTTCTAAAAAATATTGAACTAATTTGTAAGACTATCAGCACTATAAATAACAGTTTCTCTGTGGTTCCACAAGCAACATATTGCTTTGGAAACTTAATTTTGCTCATTTAAAATATATTAAAAAATAAAATGTTATGTAATTGGGTAGAGTGTTTTTGGATTACTAGTTTCCCTGATTTAATTTCTGGGTTTTTTCTGTGTGAATCATGTCTTCTTTGTCTATTCATCAACTTGGAGCTCCCTTGAGTTTTTACTCATCTGAGTAAGTTTTAAAATATTAACCATTTGTAATATTTAATATTTACTGCAAGTATTTTAGATTCATAAATTTTAGAGATGAAAAGTACCTCGCTAAGCAGTCCAAATCCCTCACTTCATAAGTGAGAAAATTAATCTAAACAAGTGAAATGACTTGCCCAAAGACATATGCCTGCTTAACTGCAGGACCAGCAGCACCCAAACCTAGATCTCCTGGCTCTCTATCCACTTCTCTTCCTACCCTACAAAATTATTTTTAATCTCCCACTGTGTTATGGGTATAGGAAAAAAGCATACTACAATAGTGTCAGTGTGGTTTACAGCAGTGGTCTGATTGGAGGGAAAAAAAGGTGGCTTCAAGAGGCCTGTCAGAATCTCCAGAATATTTTTCATCTTTATACATGACTTCACTAACATCCATAGAAAACTGCTGGGGCCGGGCATGGTGGCTGATGCCTGTAATCCCAACACTTTGGGAGGCTGAGGTGGGTAGATCACCTGAGGTCAGGAGTTCGAGATCAGCCTGGCCAGCATGGTGAAATCCTGTCTCTACTAAAAATAAAATTAGCCAGGTGTGGCAGCGCACACCTGTAATCCCAGCTACTCGGGAGGGGGAGGCAGGAGAATCTCTTGAACCCGGGAGGCGGAGGTTGCAGTGAGCCAAGACAGCACCGCCTGGGCGACAGAGTGAGAGACTCCTTCTCAAAAAAAAAAAAAAAGAAGCAATAGAAAACTGCTGGTAACTCGGGGTGGGTAAAGTGAGAGGAAAATATTGACCTTATATTCCTACCTTGGAGGAACCATCCTTCTTCCACTATATAATAATCCTGCTTAGTTCATGTGGTGCTGACCCTACTTCTATCCTGCTCTGGGCATCAGCAGGCAATCGAAGCGTACAAACAAAATACTTCATTTCCTGGCCACTTTGTTCATGGATGGGCAGATCGTAACTCAGGCCAATCAGAGTTCTCCCTAGACGTGTGCTGAAGCTATAGGCTACGGGTACAATGTAGAACTGGGACAATTAAGAGACATCTTTTCAACTTCCAGAAAATCTATCAGAGAATGAAGCCAGACAAAGCCAGGACCCCAACATATGCAGCAACTATATATGGAATTGGCCCACCTTTGAACATAGCCCAAAATTTTCCTTCTGCACTTAAGCTAGTGTGACATTCTTTTGGTTACTCACAACTGAGTTTCTTGAATCACTCCAGGCCAATGTACATTTCACTCCTCACTGCATTTAATGAAAAACTACTAATGAAGAAAGTATGTCATTTCCCTTATGTGTGCCGGCAAGGATAAAAGGTTGAAAACCAGATTTAAGGGAGAGTGTATTTCACAGAAAATAAAATAGAATCAGTGATGCAAATTTGTAACAGCATATATACCAAAGCAAATAAAAAATGCCATTACTACGTTTTGAAACTAAAATTCAGTTAGGTATGTCATGGAAGCAGAAAAATTGATTCATTAGCAATAGCTACAGTTTAATTTTTATACTTTTTCCCTTTTAAATTAGATGCTTAACTTTTTAAGAATTTAATTTTAAGATTAACTGGATTTTATAAATGATTACAATAACTGTATTTTAATATTTTCAGGATAAGGCCGGATGCGGTGGCTCAAGCCTGTAATCCCAGCACTTTGAGAGGCTGAGGCGGGCTGATCACAAGGTCAAGAGATTGAGACCATACTGGCCAACATGGTGAAACCCCGTATCTACTAAAATACAAAAAATTAGCAGGGCGTGGTGGCGGGCATCTGTAGTTCCAGCTACTCAGGAGGCTGAGGCAGGGAATCGCTTGAACCCGTGAGGCGGACTTTGCAGTGATCCGAAATTGTGCCACTGCACTCTAGCCTGGCGACAGAGCAAGACTCCATCTCCAAAAAAAAAAAAAAAAAAAAAAAAAGGAAAGAAAAAAAAATTTCAGGATAAGCACATATAGAATTTAAATAAAAACATTTATATTCAATGTAGTATTATTTACCACTATGATGCAGAACTCAATTTAGAATAGTTAACCTTGTATCCTAAGAATATAATGGTGGGGGAGATGTTATTAAATTGTTTCACCTAGAGAAGACAGAGGAACCACCCTTCACGTTACTTATTAAGCAGCCATATAAACAGGGCTACGAGGTTGGGTAAATAAAGCAAAGTCCTTGAGTCATGTAAAGGTAATTTTATGCATACCTGAAAGTTCAGTCAATTTTTCAGCTCTTTTACTCTTAGTTACAATTATTCCAATCTTGAAATAAAAACAAAAATTATTATTAATATAACAAGTTATTTCCTCCCATTAAGAATATATATAACTATTCCTGTAGATGATATTGGAGCAGAAAAAAAAATAATTTATATAGCTAAAATAAACTAGTAATTACAAAAGAAAGAAGCAACAGGTGAGAAACTTTTTCTCATGCTGTTTTTGGCAAATAAATTTAGCTATGAGTTCACATTACGTTTAACTTTTAGAGTTATTACGCTTTTCATTTTTAAGTATACCAGAAACTGGTTAAACAATTTGGGTAAT
This sequence comes from Homo sapiens, assembly GCF_000001405.40. Taxonomy (NCBI): domain Eukaryota; kingdom Metazoa; phylum Chordata; class Mammalia; order Primates; family Hominidae; genus Homo; species Homo sapiens. The sequence continues at coordinate 234,577 of NW_025791777.1, read as the reverse complement.
TCACAAAATACATGTCCAATTTTTAAAAATAAATTACATTTGGAAGCAAAATAGGAATCTAATTCTGAATTCTATCACTTAGATACGTACCTGACTAATAGGATTTTGATCAAAATATTCCTCTACAAAGTATTCCAACAACTGTTTAAACAAAAAAAGACATACTAGATAAAGGCAAAATAACAATCATAAAGAACATGTCCAACTGATGTTTGTGAAACCTGTTAATCAAGCGTCACTTCTCATGACTTTTAAACTTACAGATTTTCAAAAACTGTTAAGTAATAAAAATATTAAACAGTAAAAACGTTAATTTGAAATGGTGGGTGATGAGATAGGTTTGAGCTAGGTTTTAAAAGATGGAACCATTTGGATGTGTCAGAAGAAATTTCAATGAGGAAAAGATCCAATGAAGAGAGATGGGAGAACGAGCAGAATTGAGAATAGGTTTTGATAAATTAGGAATACGAACATATTTGTAATCTGAGGAGACAGAGTTAAGTAAGGCAAAGGAGAATGAAGATTCAAGAAAGAAAAGGGATAACTGATAAACCAAGATCCTGATGTGGGGTGGGAGGATAGAAATTAAAAACACAAATAATTAGCTATGTTGGTTTAAAATTTCCCTAAATAACCTGGCAGTACTTCTACTTAGCTATCATTAGCATTAACTAAAAATACAAGGCAAAAAATAAAAAATATTGCATTCTTTAAAAATATCCTTTAGAATCCAGTGTTCTTCCCCACTTTTTTAGTAAAAGTTTAAGTGATTTTGGTACAAATTTAAATGATTTAGTATAAACTTAAATTTTACCTTTAAAGTACACGTCAGTCTATTAGGCTTTAAATCTTGGTCTTCCATTGTTCTTGATCCATCTACTACCACATAAAGGTGGCGCATCTATCGGAAAAAAGAAAGGGCCAATTTCAAGTACTTGTTTTGTTTTGTAGAAACTGGGTCTCGTTCTGTTGCCCAGGTTGGTCTCAAACTCCTGGGCTCAAGCAATCCTCCTGCCTTGGCCTCCCAAAGTGCTGGGATTATAGGCATGAGCCACTGTGCCCAGCCTCAAGTGCCATTTTGACTAGTAAAAATGGCATTTAATAATTACATATTCTATGCACGTATTTTTAACATATTCTTTTAAAAACTTTGTTGTTTTGCTATTGTTTTTTCTAGCAAGACAGAATGTTTCTCTAACCTAAACTAGTTCTGTACTAGTAAAAGAAAAAATAATGACATACCATTCCAAGTCGAACTTGTCCATGGTGCTCAAATACTCTGTTAAAATTATACAAACATTTTAATGTAATTCCATATACTATCCCCCCACAAAAAAAAAATACAACTTTCCAATTGACCTCCTTTGTTTTTCTTTTTTTCTAATTCTGATTAAGAATGTCATAACGTGCATTTTTAGTGGAGTAAATAATTAACTTATGGAATACAATACACATAATTATAGGTATTGTAGACAGTCTCTAAAGACCATTTCCTGCTGGGGCAAGGGTAGGTGGCTAGTTCTTTCCCCATAGTCAGAAGGCAATAGGTCAGTTTCCCTGAAACACAGCTAAAATGAAGTACTGAGGAGTATTTATAGATAGAAAGGCTTAAAATGAATATATTTTACCTTTTTAAGATACGTAGGAAGGTTACATACCTTTTTCTCTTTGCCTTGAATAGAATGTCTTCTATTGTAGCTTTAAGTGATCCAGATTCATCTTCTTTAAGAATCTCCCTATAAGTCATAATTATTTGTTTGAAAAGACAAGCTAAAATGATTACTAGCCCAAATGAAATGAAAATATATGTCCACACAAAGATTTGCATGTAAGTGTTCATGGCTGCATTTTCCTAACAGTCAAAAACTGTAAAGAACCTAAATATCCACAGACTAGTGAATGGATAAACAATAATGTGGCATAACCATAGATGGGAATACTATTCAGCAATAAAAAAGGAATGAAGTATTAATACACACTGCAACATGGATGAGTCTTAAAAATAAGTGAAAGCCAGCCACAACAGACCAACTATTATAGTCATGCATCGCTTACTGACAGGGATACATTCTGAGAAATGCATTGTTAGGCAATTTCATTATTGTGTGAATATCACAGGGTATACTTACACAAACCTAGATGGTATAGCCTATCCCACGCCTAGGTTACAAACCTGTACAGCACGTTACTATACTGAATATCTTAAGACAACTGTAACACAATGTTCAGTATTTGTATATCTAAACATACATAGAAAAGGTAGAGTAAAAATACAGTATTATAATATTATGGGACCATTGTCATATATGCAGTCTGTCTTTGACCAAAACATCATTATGTGGCACATGATTGTATATGATCACATTTTTGTGAAATGTCCAGAAAAGGTTAAAATTTGGAGACAAAAAGTAGACTAATGATTGCCCACAGGTGGAATTAAATTAAGATTTAAATTAATTGTAAATGAATGTGAAGGATCTTACTGGAGTGGTTACAATATTCTAAAACTGGTTTATGATAATGGCTGCACAGCTCAGTAAATTATTAATAAAACATCACTGAATTGTACATTGGAAATGGGTGAATTTTAACATATGTAAAATATACTTTAATAAAGTTGTAAAGAAAAAAAAAGACATTGTCTAAAAGAAAAGACAGGGCAATAAAGCTCTCCTTACCATGTTCTTTCATAGCCTCCTTCCCATCGCTTAGTTCTTTCAGGTTCTTCATCCATTTTTTTCAAAACTGTATTTTATTATTCAATAATCTGTAAAAACCATTAGAATGTAAGTTATCTAAAGATGTTTGTTACAAAATTCATCCAATTAAATTTGAAAATTAGACACATATATAAAGTAAAAAAAATGGAATGCCAGGTCATCTTATTCTTTGTATTTTACTCAATAATTGTCTTAAAAATCTTCATAGAACTCCATTTCTCATTTCCAAGAAATAATATGAACTTATACACAAACTTGGTACCAATAAAAATAAGTGTCTTTTTACAATTTGTAAAAGAACAAAAATGCTTTATAGATGTGTCACATGACAAACTGTAGACTTGTGAGGAGTCAGTATGGGCGTAGTTGAACTATTATAGCTGAGTGACATGTGATTCATTGTACTATCTCTCTGTGTATGTCTCAATTTTCTCATAATCAAAAGTTTTTAAATCACATTTATTATTTATAAATGGGTAAATGCTATAGCTCATAATTCAAAAAAAAAGGACACAAAATTAAACATAGTTCTTTGAGACATCTCCAAACTGCTTTCCATAGTGGCTGAACTAATTTACATTCCTACCAACAGTGGATAAGCATTCCCTTTTCTTCACAACCTTGCCAACATCTGTTATTTTTTGACTTTTTAATAATATCCATTCTAACTGGTGGTGAGATGGGTTTGTGGTTTTGATTTACATTGTGGTTTTGGTTTGCATTTCTCTAATGATCAGTGATGTTGAACATTTTTTCATACATTTATTGGACACATGTATGTCGATCCAACAATCCCAATACTGGGTATAAACCCAAAGGAAAATAAAACCATTCTACCAAAAGTACAAGAGCACTCATATTAATCACAGCACTATCCAAAATAGCAAAGACATCAAATCAACTTAGATGCTCATAAATGGTGGACTGGATAAAGAAAATGTGGTACGTAATATATCATGGAATACTAGCAGCCAAAAAAACAACGAAAAAAAAACACAATGAAATCCTGTCTTTTGCAGCAACATGGATACAGCTGGAGGCCATTATCCTCATCGAATTAACACGAACAGAGGCCCAACGCAATGGCTCACGCCTGTAATCCTAGCACTTGGGAGGCCAAGGCAAGTGGATCACCTGAGGTCAGGAGTTTGAAACCAGCCTGGCCAACATGGTGAAACCCTGTCTCTACTAAAAATAGAAAAAAATTAGCCAGATGTGGTGGCGAGCACCTGTAATCCCATCTACTCAGGAGGCTGAGGCAGGAGAATTGCTTGAACCCGGAAGGCAGAGAGGTTGCAGTGAGCCGAGATCGTGCCACTGCACTCTGGCCTAAAAAAAACAGCAACAGAAAACCAAAGACGGCATGTTCTCATTTACGAGTGGAAACTAAACACTGAGTACACGTGGACATAACGATGAGAACAACAGACATTGGAGACTATTAGACAGGGAAGGATGGGAAAGAGTGAGGGTTGAAAAACTGCCTATCAGGTACTATGTTCACTACCAGGGTGACGGGATCATTTGTATACCAAACCTCAACAACAAGCAATTTATCCATGTAACCAACATGCACACGTACTCTGTGAAAATAAAAGTTGAAAACAAAACAAAACAAACAAACACAGGCCAGGGCCAGGTGCAGTGGCTCCATCCCTGTAATCCCTGCACTTTTGAGAGGACAAGGTGCGGATCACCTGAGGTCAGGAGTTCGAGACCAGTCAGGCCAACATGGCAACACCCGTCTCTACTAAAAATACATAAATTAGTTGGGCATGGTGGCAGGTGCCTGTAATCCCAGCTACTAGGGAGGCTGAGGCAGGAGAATTCCTTGAACCTGGAGGGCAGAAGCTGCAATGAGCCAAGGTCACACCACTTCACTCCAGCCTGGGTGACAGAGCAAGACTCCGTCTCAAAAAAAAAAACAAAAAAAAAAACCAGGCCGGGTATGATGGCTGACATCTGTAATTCTAGCACTTTGGGAGACTAAAGCAGGTGATCACTTGAGGTCAGGAGTTTGAAAATTAGCTAGGAGGTTGGTGGGAGCGGGCCCCTGTAATCCCAGCTACTGGGGAGGCTGAGACAAGAGGACTGCTTGAACCCAGGAGGCACGGAGGCTGCAGTGAGCCGAGATCAGGTCACTGCACTCCAGCCTGGGCAACAGAATGAGACCCTGCCTCAAAAAAGAAAGAAAAGAAAGGAAAGAAAGAGAGAGAGAGAAACGGGCACGGTGGCTCATCCTGTAATCCCAGCACTTTGGGAGGCCGAGGCCAGCAGATCATTTCAGGTCAGGAGTTCAAGACCAGGCTGGCCAACATAGTGAAATGCCGTCTCCACTAGAAATACAAAAATCAGCAGGGCCTAGTGGTGCACACCTGTAATCCCAGCTACTCGGGAGGCTGAGGCAGGAGAATCACTTGAACCTGGGAGGTAGACACTGGAGCGAGCCAAGGTTGTGCCACTGCACTCCAGCCTGGGTGAGAGAGCGAGACTCTGTCATTCATTCATTCATGCACAAATAAATGTCCTCATCACACCTCCATCCTCCCCAATGCAATCTCCCTCCCAACTCCACCACCTCGTGGCTCACTGCAACCTCCACCTCCCGGGTTCAAGTGATTCTCCTGTCTCAGCCTCCCAAGGAGCTGGGATTGCAGGCGCGTGCCACCATGCCCAGCTAATTTTTGTATTTTTAGTACAGTCAGGGTTTTGCCATGTTTTATATTTTTGTAGAGCCAGGGTTTCGCCTGACTTGCCAGGCTGATCTCAAACTCCTGACCTCAAGTGATCTGCCTGTAAACAGAATATTTTTGTTTCTTTTTTTGTTTTAAGGCGGAGTTTCACTCACCACCCAGGCTGGAGTGCAATGGCGCGATCTCGGCTCACTGCAACCTCCGCCTCCGAGTTCAAGTGATCCTCCTGCCTCAGCCTCCCGAGTAGCTGGGATTACAAGAGCCCACCACCACACCTGGCTAACTTTTGTGTTTTTAGTAGAAATGGGGTTTTGCCATGGTGGCCAGGCTGGTCTCGAACTCCTGACCTCAGGTGACCCACTCACCTCGGCCTCCCAAAGTGCTGGGATTACAGGCGTGAGTCACCACACCCAGCCTCAACTGAACATTTTGCTCCTCCCTGTTTTCTGTTACGTATTGTGAACTTTAAAAATGAAAAACTCGCATAACGTTCTCAACGTTTTTAAACTCAAATTCTTCGCAGGGCACAGTGGCTCAAACCTGTAATCCCAGCACTTTGAGAGGCCAAGGCAAAAGGATTGCTTGAGTTCAGGCGCTCAGATCAGCCTGGGCAATAACCTTGTCTCTACAAAACATCAAAAAATTAGCTGGGCGAGGTGGCGAGTACTTGAGTCCCAGCTACTTGGGAAGCAAAAGTGGGAGGATGGCTTGAGCCCAGGAGAGTCGAGGCTACTATGTTCACTACTGCACTCCAGACTGGGTGACAGAGTGAGACCCTATCTCAAAATAAATAAAATAATTACAAATATATAATAAATATTATAAATATAAAAGTAAATAGCAACTGAGAGACTTTTGGCTGACCATATCAAAGGAATTCTTTTTTTTTTTTTTTTGAGACAAGAGTCTTGCTCTGTCGCCCAAGCTTGGAGTGCAGTGACGCAATCTCGGCTCACTGCAACCTCCGCCTCCAGGGTTCAAGCGATTCTACTGTCTCTTCTGTCTCCCGAATAGCTGAGATTAAGGCACACGCCACCACAGCTAACCTTTTTATTTTTAGTAGAGACGGGGTTTCACCAGCCTGTTGGCCAGGCCTGGTCTCGAATTCCTGACCACAACTGGTCCGCCCACCTCGGTCCTCCAAAGTGTTGGGATTACAGGCATGAGTCACCACGCCCGGCTAAAAGGACTTCTTAATTAGAGCTGCCTGCAATGGGAAATCCGACTGGACAGGAGGTATTAAGGTCCCTAAAACTGCAGACGTTCAATGGGAAGTCTGATTGTAAACATGCATGCTGTTTAAAGGATTCATGCATCCTGAAGATGGACTTTGTAAAGATCTCCAATGGCCTGTCACTTCCCAACAGTCCATTTTCTTCTTAAAAATATCACCGAGGCCAGGTGGGTGGCTCACACCTGTAATCCCAGCACTGTGGGAGGCCGAGGCGGGAGGATCACGAGGTCAAGAAATCAAGACCATCCTAGCCAACATGGTGAAACCCCGTCTCTACTGAAAATACAAAAATTAGCTGGGCGTGGTGGCACGCGCCTGTAGTTCCAGCTACTCGGGAGGCTGAGGAAGGAGAATCGCTTGAACTCGGGAGGTGGAGGTTGCAGTGAGCCGAGATCGCGCCGCTGCACTCCAGCCTGGCGACAGGGCGAGACTCCGTCTCGAAGAAAAAAAAATTTTTTTAAGTGATCTGTTTCCTGGAATCCAACCCCAAACAATCCACGTTCCTCAGCATAAGCCTACTGGTGTGATTCCCGTTACATGAGCTCGGAATGCTATCTGCCAACAAATGAGAGCACCAAACATCCCAATTTAAGAAGCTTTTCTTCACACCTTACCAAGCTATGTGAAACTGGCAAGGGTGATTACTGTCCTTGTTTTTCAGGTATGGGATTCAGGCTCAGAGGTTGGTCACTTTCTCAAGCGGGTCACAAACTCGAACCCTGAACCATCATTTCTAAAAGTCGCGCTTTTACTTAGGGAGAGACGGCCTGCAGCTTCCCTCCCTACTCTGCGGCTCCCCAGACGAAAGTTACCTTCCTCTGCCTTCACAAGCTCCTTCACATCCTCCTTCCCTATGAGCCCAGGCAGGGCAATTCAACCTCCGTTCCCCGCCACGAAAACGCTCCCAGCCGCCTAGCTAGTCAGACGGCCTGCCCCACCTCTGCGCCTCACAGACTTCCACACGCGGACTCACCGGCGCCGCTAGAAGGACTCTCAGCCGGAAACTCAGCCCGACACTCCTCTCCGCCGCTTTAGGGGCGCCCCGGAAGTCATTCCGCCGCGCCCTGCGGCCACGCCGAAACGTTCCGGATGCTGCAGAGTGCAGCTGCCGGAGCGGGGCGCTCAGGTGCAGGGCATGGCCTCCGCTGAGTTGGGGCGCGGAAAGGGACGGTGTTCCAGCTGGAATTCGCAGAGAACCGGAAAGAGTGATCGCCATTCGCTCTCGGAAGGTCGAAGGCTCTGCAGCCATCGACCTGGGTTCTGAGGAGCTCGATCTTGTCTTTCTACTTCTAAAAGGTTGGGATGAAGGACCCTGGCCACAGAAGTAAAGCCAGAATTATCCTTGCTTCTTGCTGTGTATTTCAGGACTCCTCCATTGCTCTTGCTGTTCATTCAACAAACATTGAGCATCTACTTTGAGCCTGATGCATGTCTAAGCACTGAGGAAATAACAATGAAAAACTGACAAAAATCCTTGCTCTCGTGGAGTTTTCCTTCTCCAAGGGGAGTCAGTATGAAGAAAAACATATACTATATGAAATGGTGATAATGCTGTGGAGAAAAACTAAGCACTGAAGGGGAGAAGTTTGCAGTTTAAAATAGGGTGGCCAGGCCGGGTGCGATGGTTCACGCCTGTAATCCCAGGCATGGTGATTTGGGAGGCCGAGCGGGGGTGGATCATCGGAGGGCAGGACTTCGAGACCAGCCTGGCCAACATAGTGAATTCCGTCTCTACTAAAAATACAAAAACATTAGCCGGGCGTGCTGGCAGGCGCCTGTAATCCCAGCTACTCGGGAGGCTGAGGCAGGAGAATCGCTTGAATCCAGGAGGCACAGGTTGCAGTGAGCCAACCTTGCACTCCAGCCTGGGTGACAGAGACTTCATCTCAAAAAATAAAATAGGGTGGCCAGAGGAGTCCTCGCTGGGAAGACAGTTAAGCCATGACCTGAATGAGGAAGGGTGTTAACCCTGCTGATACCTAGGGGAAAAGCTCTTCAGACAAAGAGAGCTGCAAGTGCAAAGGCCCTGAGGTAGAAGTGCATTGGGGTCTTTGACGACTGCAGGAGTGAGCAGGGGATGAGTGGTGGAAGCTGCAATCAGAAGGGTAAGGTGGGGAGGAGAGGCTGTGAGCACTGTTAAGAACTTTGGGGGAATTGTGATGGCTTGGACCAGCAGCTGGTGAGAAGTGACTGAATTCTAAATCTTACCAATACACTGGATGTGTGTTATGAGAAAAGAATCAAGGATACCTCCATAGTCTTTAGCTGAGCAACTGAAAGGTTGGGGTTGCAATTATTAAAATGTTGGCGGGGTGGGTAAGATCAATTCAGTTTTGGACAAGTTGTATGACTGCCAATTAACACAAGTGGAATTACTGGCATTTCCCATACTTGAGAAATGGAGAGGCAGTGCACCCCCAGATGAGAAAAGGGTTAGGAATAACACAAAGGAACTGCAGAAGCTAGGGCCTCTTTCCTTCCCCATCAGCATACTCATCCCCTCCATTGCCTTTATTTTATTGTTAAAAATTTTTCCCATCTCTGTTGTCTCCCTCAAAAATATAAACAGAAGGTATCTTGCATAGCAGTGGAAAGAACAGCCCTGGATTTAAAATCAGGCTCTGACACACTGGCTGGGTGACCTCAAGCAAGTCACAACCCAAGTCTATGAACTAATGTGTAAAATGGGGTTGTCTCCACCAACCCTGCAGGGCTTAGTGGGAACTCCATAATCAGTCTCATTTCCTCCCAGAAGACAGGATTTTAAAAGGGAGAGGAGGGGAAATTAGTATCGCAGTGCCAGGAAGCTTCCATGCTTGCCTCCCTCCCACCTTTGACCTCATTAGAGGACTCACACACAAATTCCACACTTTTCCTTTTGTGCCCTTCCTTCCTATCCACACTTTTGCTTCCTTCCATCTTAATTGACCATCCTATTTGCAAGACGGGATGCATTCCTCTAGGACAAACAGCCTAGAGGAATCCCAAGCCCCAAGTTTCTTTCATATGTTTGTTATCCATCAGCCTGGGAAGGCTTTAAGGAAAACCAGGAAAAAGATAGAGGACTCCCCAATAAATATAAAGCATATTTGCGAAGAGAGGAGACTGAAACAGTTTTCCCAACTGTAATATTTGTTCTGTATAGATTTTAGACATGGATGTTAAGATTCAACTAGGAATGGTACTACAGCAAAACAAAATATGCATAAATCCATAATCTCTTGGCATGATTATGACTGACATATTCTAATCATTTACAAAGTGGTAGAATAAATTATCTAACCTACTCAGATGTTTTTTCAACTTGTAAAACTAAAAGACAACTATAAAGAATGGATAATCTGTTCTTTGCCCATGAGTGGCCAGACACTATCAACAGGGTTAGGACATTCACAATCAGCTCAGCCAGTGGAATCAGATATAAAAAGCATGCAACTTGAAAGACTGGGAGAAGTGAACCTGTCTATTCCAATAGACAGGCTCCCTTACAGGGAAACTAAATCATTCCAGAAAGCCTCATCTAAAACCTCTGTAATTGACAACAGTATCTAACAATCGTGATCTTGATAAGTAAACTATTTGCTGTAACCTAAAGAAGCATTTGTTTATCATGTACAAATATTTAGAATGCCAATCCTGCATTCTCTGCCTAGAATTCAAAAGAATTTACATTCTAAGGCTGCACCCAGCACAGATCAATCATATGGGATTGGATGACACATGCACTTTTAAAAAACACAATTTGCTTTTAGAAAACTTGTTAAAGTTTCACCTTCTGGCTTTGGAAGATGGGGGTAGCTAGGCATATTTACTTTTAGACAAGGACTGAGTCACACATTAACTACCTTCTTAACTATGAGATTATTACAAATATATTTTTACAAATACAAAAAACTGAAGTACAGAGAGGCTAAGTTAATTTCTCCAAGGTCCCACAGCAAGTAACTGCAGAAGGGCAAAGCAAAAATAGGACAACACATGTAGGCAATACCAAGCAGTTCTTGTGGCAGCAACTGGAAACCTTTTGGAGACACCATTCTGCATTTCGTTGTAGTCATACACAAAACCCTAGTTATGTATCCATGCTTCTTTCTCATAATGCCAAAGTGGCACTATTCTAATTTACTAACAAGGTTTTCTAAAAACTACCCAAATTATTGAGGTGTTTTTGCTCACTTCTTCCCATTAGAATAAATGTAGACAATAAGAAACGCATGAGGGATGACATAGTCCTCCATCAAATCTGTCCTTTCACACAAGAGATGGCATGGTGTAGTGTAGCAGAATCATGAGCTGCCAGGAAATTATGAATTCTGATTCCTCCAGCTGAGTCTTTGAAAAAGTCCAGATGAGAAACACTTCCATCCTGATGCTGAAGCAAGGAGAATGTCCTTGTGTGAGGAATTCTCACAACACCAACTGAAGCTAAGGTCCCCGGAGCCATGATAAAAGCACTTTTCTGCCCTGATTCTTCTTTACACACATGTACCCATTCAGGTCTTTACAGATGTTTCACAGGAAGCATTTATGTTACAAGTACTTAAAATGCACTCGAAATTAATATAGGATACTTTATTTACATCAGAGTGATCTCACATTATCCAATCCATTAACAAAGTCAACACAGGATGGAAGTATAGAATCTAACAGTTGAAGAGACTAAGATCCTAATCCCTTGTTTTGCCACTTGCTAGTGTGACAACAGCCAGTTAATCTATCATATCATTAGTTCCTTGTCTATAAAAGAAGAATAAGAAATGGTCACATGTCAAAAGATCGTTGTGAGGATTAAATATCATATATGTACTTATGTGTATGTAACTTATTTACTATAAATACTAGTTGACTTCACTTTATTTCAAAAAATATAAAGCACATATGACAAAACATTAACACATGTTATTTCTGGGCGGATGGTACTTATATTTTATACTTTTCTGTATTTAAATTTTTCAAAATAAAATAATGATCCTATATACTTTTAATACAAAATCACATATGTAGGGCATCACTTTATACGCAGGGAATCTTTACAAAATGAACTATGTGCTATCACAACAAACTCCTTAGAACAATAGTTTATAACAAAGCAGAATTCCAGACAAGAACTACAGGTCAGAAATGGAAGGGATGTCGGAAATCTAATCTAAACCTCTGACTTTCTAGACTAGGAAGCTGCTTGAGTGGCTTTTCAAATTTACATCCAGCTAGTTAATGCCAACGCCAACAGAAACACCCTGATCCTAGTTTCCTAAAACGGTATTTAGTATAAATACACATGAAAATTTTTCTTATTTTTGAAATTTCAAAGTCCAATTTTATAACACAATTTTACAATGCAAATTCTTGCTGTTTCACTTTCTGGATTCAGCTGAATAGTTTTGTGAAAATACTGACAAACTTGCCTTCACGAACTGACTTCCAAGAACAAATTGTTAAAACTTTAACAGAAAAATCAGTTAAAGGTGCTCATCAAGAGAATCCTTTTCATTTGGTATAAATCCAAAACTATGAAAATACCTTTTGTATTATGTGCATGCAGAAAATTAAGAATTTATTCAATTTGCAGAAATAAATCAGTGATATAATGGAAACATTTAAAATTTTATCTCTGGAAAATAATTCAAAATCATCTATCAAAAATTATAGGCCGGGCACAGTGGCTCACGCCTCTAATCCCAGCACTTTGGGAGGCCGAGGTGGATGGATCACCTGAGGTCAGGAGTTCGAGACCAGCCTGACCAACATGGAGAAACCCCATCTCTACTAAAAATACAAAAAAAAAATTAGCCAGGTGTGGTGGCGCATGCCTGTAATCCCAGCTACTCGGGAGGCCGAGGCAGGAGAATTGTTTGAACCTGGGAGGCGGAGGTTGTGGTGAGCTGAGATCGCGACATTGCACTCCAGCCTGTTCAACAAGAGCAAAACTCCATCTCAAAAAAAAAAAAAAAAAAATACACACACACACACACACACACTTAGGCCAGGCATGGTGGCTCACGCCTGTAATCCCAGCACTTTGGGAGGCCGAGGCAGGCAGACCACAAGGTCAGGAGTTCAAGACCAACCTGGCCAATATGGTAAAACCCCGTCTCTATTAAAAATACAAAAATTAGCCAGGCATGGTGATGGGCACCTGTAGTCTCAACTACTCGAGAGGCTGAGGCAGGAGAATTGCTTGAACCCGGGAGGTGGAGGTTGCAGTGAGCCAAGATAGCACCACTGCATTCCAGCCTGGGTGAGAGTGAGACTCTGTCTCAAAAAAAAAAAAAAAATTATATACCTAAATATCTGAAATGCATACTAAAGTTCAGTTTATAGATTATTCTAAAAAAAAGTTTTTAGAAAAGTCTAAGCTGGGATGATCACAATCAACTTGGTCAGCACAGTGCTATCAACTAATTTTACTAATAAGAATCTGAATTTTTAAAAAAGTGATACAATTTAAGGGCACCATTTGAAATTATTTGGTATTTCGTGGTATAGCATTCTATTCCCAGACATATCAGCATTCTTACAGCCAAAGGAATGGGAAACGACTAACCAGCACAGCATCCAAAGGAGTATAAACAACAACAGATACAACTCCTGAGTGTGGTTTTCCATTGCTGTATGTTAACAGCACTAATAACATCAAACAGGTTATTATGGAAAGAAAACACCAGGTTTAATACCTTATAAAATATGTATAGAAATTGAACATTCCTGTAAGATACAGTTCAAGTCACAATTGAATTATAAATGTAATCAGATATTCTGATATAATGAAAAGTTCTAGTTGGTTTTTTAAAAAAGGCATGCAAAAAGATAAAAAGTATTTAAAAACACACAAAATTCTAACCACGGGGTTTAAACTTTGATCTTAAAAAAGTAAATATATATTTACAATCTTTAAATTTCACACATTTGTTACTTTTACATGATCTTTATTATTTAAGAAAAACCTCTTTTAACCATTTATATAACAGAAAAAAAATAGGGAGGCTGGTAGATCATCACATATATAGTAGCTAAAATATGAAAGGCCAGGGAATTTATTATTAATGAAGTCATAAAACAGACTTAACCAAAAGTGTGTGCTAGGAAACAAGCAGTTTCACTTCAGAGACTTCATTGCAGGAACCCAGTTTCCTTATGTGGAAAAAAGTGATTATAAATAACAGTTATCTGAAAGGTGGTTGAGAGGATTAAATGAGATCACCTATGCAAACAAATACATGTAGGTATGAAGACATCGTCTGGGGTGTGAAAGTTTAGTTCACACCAGAACCTTCCTTTAAGGCTTAAAAACCTCAAACAGTATTTCATTCTTAATACAAGAACCAATGTTTAAAGCATAAAATCCTTAATTGGAGTGTTCAGCCCAGTTGATTATCAAAAGCGATTTATAAAATGCTTCAATACTGATGATGTTAAAGCAACCAAAACTTTGTGATGCTCACAGAGGTTTGGCTTCCGGGGTTATGGTCCAAAGTCATTTGCCTTCTGAGAAGATTGCAGAGATGTCAGATACTTAATTTCTCAAACAACTTGGCATCAGCCTTCTATGTTTTCTGTCTATCATAGTCTCCAACCATCTTCTTGATGTGTGACAATTTGCTCTTTAACTGCTTGCAATGATTCTTCTTACTTTTGTAATCTGCAGACTAAAAAGGGAGAAAATGAATCACATAAATTCAACAAAATGAAAACAGGTCTGCTGGGAAGGCAGAATTGAACACAGAAATGGAATATTTAGTCAAGAGAATTGCTGGGAGTGTTAATTGAAGTAAAATACGCAAGGTGCCTGGCAGTATCACTAACCACACAGGCAGCTGATTCTATTTGCTCAGTTCTGTCTTCTAACCTGGGTTTTTCCAAAGGATACCCTCATTTCTAAAAATCTGTAAAATGACCAAGAAAACTTACCAGCCTTTTTGCTAACACATCATCTAAAACTGTAAGTAAAACAAGAGACTGGTGATCTCATTTGACTGGGGAAAGGGAAGCTGAATAGGGGATAAGAGAGATGGGAAATTTTACTGTATACCCTTTAAACTCTTATTTCAAATCATGATGCCTGTAATTTATAATTTTTTTTTCTTATTTTAGAAAGGGTCTCATCCTATTGCCCAGGCTGGAGTGAAGTGGTACAATTATAGCTCCCTGCAGCTTTGAACTCCTGGGTTCAAGGGATCCTTTTGCCTCAGTCTCCCTAGTAGCTAGGACTACAGGCATGTAACCACAGCACCTGGATAAGTAATTTACAAAAATTTTAATATAATTTTTTTTTAATGTTTTAAGTCAATAATGACTGTCATGCCAAGTGTTAGCAAGGATATAGGGCAACAGGAGTCTGTAGTGGTTGGTGGGAATGTAAACTGGTACAAGTACTTTGGAAGGCCATTTGACAGTATCTACTAAGGCTGGATAGACAAATGCCCATCACTTCTACGCTCAAACATTTACAAATATGTATGAAGCTGCAATATTTTTAAATGCCAAAAATTGGGAACAACCCAAACGTTCATTGACAATAGAATGGATGAATAAAGTTGCATTTTATATACAACACTACAAAGCAATAAAAATTAATCAACCGGCCAGGCGTGGTGGCTCACGCCTGTAATCCCAGCACTTTCGGAGGCCGAGGCAGGTGGATCACTTGAGGCCAGGAATTTGAGACCTGCCTGGCCAACATGGTAAAACCCCATCTCTACTAAAAATAGGAAAATTAGCCAGGTGTGGTGGTGCTTGCCTGTAATCCCAGTGGCTCGGGAGGCTGAGGCAGGAGAATTGCTTGAACCCAGGAGGCAGAGGTTGCAGTGAGCCGAGATTGTGCCACTGCACTCCAGCCTGGGCGACAGAGCGAGACACTGTCTCAGGAAAAAAAAAAAAATTAATGAACCATGGCCGGGCATGGTGGCTCATGCATGTAATCCCAGCACTTTGTGAGGCCAAGGCAGGGGGATCACCTGAGGTTGGGAGTTCAAGACCAGCCTGGCCAATGTGGTGAAACCATGTCTTTACTAAAAATACAAAAATTAGCCAGGCATGGTGGTGCGTGCTTGCAATCCCAGCTAGGCTGAGGCAGGAGAATTGCTTGAACCTGGGAGGCGGAAGTTGCAGTGAGCTGAGACTGCGCCACTGCACTCCATCCTGGGCAACAGAGCAAGACTCCGTCTAAAAAAAATAATAGTAATGAACTACAAATGGACCCTTACAAACACTATACTGAGCAAAAGAAATCACACACAAAATACATACTGTGTGGTTCCATTTATGTAATGTGCAAGATAGACAAAACTCTATGATGTTAGAAGTGAGCATGATGGACCCCTCTGGAGAGAGTGTAAACACTGGAAAGTAGTACAAGTGAGGGTGGGGGTGCTGGGGGTGGGGAGGTACTGGGAAATATATTTCTTGATCTGCATACGCAGGTATGTGGTCACATTGTGAAAATTCACCATGTTATACACTTTGATTTATACACTTTTCTGTATGTATACTTCAACTTTTAAAAAATATATAAAATAAAAAATGAAAAACATGTAATAGAAAAGCTCTTCCTCCAGATGAGTAGGTATGGGAATTAAAATAAAAAGAAGAAGAAAGAAAGTTCTTCCTAAAAGAACAATCTCGGATACTTACTCCCTTCACTTGCTTCAGTCTATTGTATTCATCAGCAGCAGCCTATTAACGACAGACACAAAGGAATATGTTTACTGGGGCATTTTCTCTTTTAAAAGTAACATTCCTGATGTTATACTTTGGAGCTAAAAATGACAGCTTATGACAAAAATATAAGCAATTAAAAGAATGAAGTCGTAAAGCTCTTAAAACTCATGATCAGCAGGAAGGTCTGAAGGAATTCAGTGAAGAGACATTTATGATACTGTATCTTTCACATTTCACTCACATAGGCAGGTAACTATCTGTTCTGCTACTTCTCATCTCTCCTCATGCCAGTCCCCATGCTACATTGACACCAGGAAGATCTTTTATAACACAGAGCGCTCGCTGATCAGGTAATATCCCACTACACAACTGGTCTGAGCTTCCCATTAACTTCTCCCCTCATCCAGTTTCCTACCTTTCCAGTCTCAGTACCCATCATCAGCAACTCCTTTAAAAACTGAGACATGTTAAATGCTTCAGGATTTCAATCATGTTTTCCTTATGGCTGTAATCATGCACCTCCCCGCACCCTTCTGTCTGGAAAGCTCTTAACGATTCCCTCACTGTGAAGCCTCCAAAGACTTTATTTCTTCTATGAGCAGTTAGTTATAGTGCTTTCTACACATGATGCAAATACAGCATTAATCATACTGTCTAAATTGTTTAGATGTCAGGTTTTTTTTCTTAAAATATAAGCTCTTTTAGGGTGGGGACAAGATTTTATGTCTCTAGCTCCAGCATTTCCACATCATCAAAGAAAAATAAGTGATCAATAAATGTTCACTAAATTAAGAAAGATCTATAACACCCTATAGAAACCATAAAAGAAATACATAAATCTAACTATATAAAGATGTGAATACGTCAAAACTAAAAAGTAGATCACCTCAACTGAAAAATGGCAGAATATTTAATGAGATGTGCATCAAATGAGTCCTGTATTGTATCAAGAGGGAGACACAGTTGGTGCAGTCTCTCTGGAGGGCAATTTTGCAACTTTGCAAAGGTACGTACCCTCTGACTCTCAGCAATTTCACATTCTGGAATTAGTTTTAGTTAGATAAGCAGGCTGGGCACTGTGGCTCACACACGTAATTCCAGCACTTTGGGAGGCCAAGGCAGGCAGATCACCTGAGGTCAGGAGTTCGAGGCTAGCCTGACCAACATGGCAAAACCCCGTCTCTACTAAAAATACAAAAATTAGTCAGGTGTGGTGCCACATGCCTGTAATCCCAGCTACTCGGGAGGCTGAGGCGGGAGAATCACTTGAACCTAGGAGGCGAAGGTTGCAGTGAGCCAAGATAGCGCCACTGCACTCCAGCCTGGGCGACAGAGCAAGACTCCGTCTCAAAAAAAAAAAAAAAAAAAAATTAGATAAGTAGACAAGAGTGCAAAAACAGAGAGGTTCACCAGTATATACTGGTACTACTGGAGTAGGGGGAGACATACTTAAATGTCTATCCATAGAAAATGACTCTTAAATTATGATACAACCATAAATTTGAAAGTTGTTTACCTAATTTTACACATAAAAAACTTAAAAGTAAGTAGGTCTTTATTATTGATATAAAAAAAAAAACTTGCTGTTAAGAAAAGCCAGAAATAAGCAGTGCAAGGAAGTTTTTTTGTTTGTTTTTTTTTTAAAGATAAAACCCCACAATAAGAGTATGTCAAAGGGACACGGGAAGCAACTGAAAGTTCCCAACCGTCAAAGCGAGAACAATTAGAGCTACAAAATAAAGCAGCCTTGGATTATAATTCACAGTATAAAACAGGTATCTGTAAAGTCCATACTTACGTAAGTGATTGACTGATCAATAAAGGAACAAATAAACAAGAAGAGATTAATCTCCCTCTAAAAGGTGGTGTAACTACATTAATTTCAGTATGTATACAAAATACAGTATGAAAAGGATGGATTGAAAAAAAAATCCAGTAACTTTACATGGACAAATTCTATCTCAGCCAGGTGATCAAGGGAGGGAAAAAAAAAAACCCATAAACTGTTGATTTAAAAGACAGGAAGAAAATAAGTGAAACATGGAAGATGATGTTTCCTTAAAGAAAGGTGTATGTGCCTTGGTGACTCCTGCTTGGAGAGATTGTTTTAACTAATATTTTGGTGATAAGGATTTCTTGATGGTAGGATTTAAGATGATTTCTTTTTCTGTATACAGTTCTGTGTTACTTAAGTTCTTTTTTTTTTTTTTTTTTTTTTTGAGATGGAGTCTCACTCTGTCACTCAGGCTGGAGTGCAGTGGCGCGATCTTGGCTCACTGCAAGCTCCGCCTCCTGGGTTCACACCATTCTCCTGCCTCAGCCTCCCAAGTAGCTGGGACTACAAGTACCCGCCACCATACCTGGCTAATTTTTTGTATTTTTTTTTTTTTTTTAGTAGAGACGGGGTTTCACTGTGTTAGCCAGGATGGTCTCGATCTCCTGACCTCATGATCCGCCCACCTCGGCCTCCCAAAGTGCTGGGATTACAGGCATTAGCCACCGTGCCCGGCCGCTTAAGTTCTTTTCTACAGAAAGAATGAATGGCTTTATAAATAGGAAAGATAATAAGGCTATTTTATTATTATTATTATTAATTTTTGAGATGGAGTCTCACTCTGTCGCCCAGGCTGGAGTGCAATGGCGCAATCTTGGCTCACTGCAACCTCCCCCATCCCAGGTTCAAGCAATTCTCCTGTCTCAGCCTCCCCGAGTAGCTGGGATTACAGGTGTCTGCCACCATGCCCTGCTATTTTTTGTATTTTTAGTAGAGATGGGGTTTCACCATGTTAGGCACGCTATTCTCTAACTCCTGACCTCAGGTGATCCACTTGCCTTGGCCTCCCAAAGTGTGGGGATTATAGCCATGAGCCACCATGCCCAGCCTGGCTATTTTATTTTAAATAGGAAAGGATAGATGTACATAGAATAGTGCTTTGTAGGGGCTGGGCGCGGTGGCTCACGCCTGTAATCCCAGCACTTTGGGAGGCTAAGACGGGCAGATCACGAGGTCAGGAGATCGAGGCCATCCTGGCTAACATGGTGAAACCCCGTCTCTACTAAAAAAAAAAAATACAAAAAATTAGCCGGGCGTGGTGGCGGGCACCTGTAATCCCAGCTACTTGGGAGGCTGAGTCAGGAGAATGGCGTGAACCCGGGAGGCAGAGCTTGCAGTGAGCTGAGATCACGCCACTGCACTCCAGCCTGGGCAACAGAACGAGACTCCACCTCAAAAAAAAAAAAAAAAACAGAATAGTGCTTTGTAATTATTAACTATTATACATTAGTACAATCTTCTATTAGGAAAGAATTTCATCCAAAACCCAATCTCAACTATTCTTCAATGAAACTGCAGTTTGATAACTACTAGCACATTTTTATCAACATTAATATAAAGGATGCTGTACCTCCACAGATTAGATTCAAATTCTGTTTAATATATAAATATCAGGTTGAATTTACCATGTACTCTTCACTTTCTTCTCTATAGTCATCCAATTCTTTATCCAAACGGGAGAGTTCTTTATTGATCTCATCAAGTTCTGATTGTAAGCTCTTGTATTCCTGTAGGCCAGTGTCAAAATTCCTCTTGTACAGTTGTCTTTGTTGATCTGAAGTGATAGGTGGATATTCCCTAAAAGGTGAGAGAGAAAATGACTACATATGTATCCTTAGCAGACATAAAATTCAATGCTCCTTCCTCAAAGATAATAAAGCTGGTTGGGTATGGAGAATGACATTTTCTTGTTTCGTTTTTGTTTCTTATGGGGAAAGAGAGAGAGAATACAAATAAGTTCTATTAAGAGTGACTATATATTACTGCTCATTTTTTAAAAAATAAAAACTATGCCTACGTAATTTGCAGAAATAATTTTGAAAATCATTTACAAAATTGAAGGTACAAGTCATAGGAACTCACTTATTTCCCATACACAATATCAATAATGGACTACTTATGTTTATAAAGTTTTTCTTTTCTTTTTTTTTTTTTTTTTGAGACAAAGCCTGCTCTGTCACCCAGGATGGAGTGCAGTGGCACAATCTCGGCTCACTGCAACCTCCACCTCCCGGGTTCAAGCGATTTTCGTGCCTCAGTCTCCACAGTAGCTGGGATTACAGGTGCCTGCCACCACGCCCGGCTAATTTTTGTATTTTAGTAGAGACAGGGTTTCACCATGTTGGCCAGGCTAGTCTCAAACTCCTGACCTCAGGTGATCCACCTGCCTCAGCCTCCCAAAGTGCTGGGATTACAGGAGTGAGCCACCATGCCTGGCCTGTTTAAAGTCTTAAAACTGGAATTCTGGAACACAAAGTCCGCTTTGATCACCACAGTGGCAGCACAGCTGACTGGAAGTGGCTGTTTCCTGCTACCACCCATAGTTTTCAGACTGGTTTATTTATTTTTTTGCTCTTGTTTTTCCGAAGTGGAAATAGCTTATCTACTTCTTTCACAATAAAAATAGACATTAAAAATGTACATGTATAAAAACATGTGCTCACTGTTAAAATAATCTGGCAATTCATTAAAGTATAAAGAAGAAAAACTGAAATTTTGTATCACATCTATTTCTCAATATACCAGCCACTCCTTACATAGGAAGACGATGCCATTAACCCATAATCCATAGAGAAAATACTCTGAATCCTTTCACAGGACTGGAGTTTCACAATGATGTGGAATTTCAAATTTTAGATCTAACAATCTAACATCTTCATTTTACAGAGGGGAGAAATTTAAATGATTTGATCAAAAGGGAAACAAGAATTTCAGATTTTGAAAATTTTCAGGCTGGGCATGGTAGCTCACCCCTGTAATCCCAGCACTTTGGGAGGCCGAGGTGGGTGGATCACCTGAGGTCAGGAGTTTGAGACCAGCCCAGCCAACATGGTGAAACCCTGTCTCTATTAAAACTACAAAAATTAGCCGGGTGTGGTGGCGCATGCCTGTAATCCCAGCTCTTCGGGAGGCTGAGGCAGGAGGATTGCTTGAACCTGGGAGGCGGAGGTTGCAGTGAGCCAAGATCGTGCCACTGCACTCCAGCCTGGGCAACAGAGTGAGACTCTATCTCAAAAAAATATATAAAGTTTTCAGTTAAATCTTCCGTGATACAAGTTAGGTGAATATTTTACAGATAGATGGCTAAGCCAGGCCAAAAACTCTTGAGGGGAGAGGGGAAGATAAAGTATCAGAATCATCAGTGAATAGGGGATCTCAAGCTACCCATGCCCCGCCTATCATTCCTCACTCTCTGAGAAGCGATGTTTTGATTACCATTCACATTGCAAATGTTTCTGATGTGCGTCTTAGTCCTCAGAATACTTGGGCATAGGAAGGCTACACATCATACACAAATACATTTGGTGATGGTGGATGGATTGTAACAAAACCACCAAAACACAAAGAAACTTAACCACAACTGTGGCTGAACACTAAATTGTTACCTCAATTGTTTACGGAACTCTTTGGATTAAACTTTAAAAGAAACTCTCGTCTTATCATTTTAAGCTTAATTTAAAAAATAATTGCCGGCCAGGCGCGGTGGCTCACTCCTGTAATCCCAGCACTTTGGGAGGCCGAGGCAGGGAGATCATCTGAGGTCAGGATTTTCAAGATCAGCCTGGCCAACATGGTGAAACCCGTCTCTACTAAAAATACAATAATTAGCCGGGCATGGTGGTGGGCGCCTGTAATCCCAGCTACTTGGTAGGCTGAGGCAGGAATTGCTTGAACCCGGAAGGCAGAGGTTGCACCGAGCCGAGATCGTGCCATTGCACTCCAGCCTGGGCGACAGAGCAAGACTCCGTCTCAAAAAAAAAAAGTAATGCCAAAGGAAAACCATAGCACTGGTTTGGGAATTTTATAATTAGTAAAACAAAGTTCTTCTATACCTGGATTTTATTTATTTGAAAGGCCTTTGGTTGTTTTTTGAGATAGGGTCTAGCTCTATCACCCAGCCTGGGGTGCAATGATGCAATTATAGCTCACTGCAGCCTTGAACTCCTGGGCTTAAGCAATCCTCCTGCCTCAGCCTCAGCCTCCCGAGTAGCTGGAACTACAGGCCCACATCACTATGCCTGGCTGGTCTTGAACTCTTAGCCTTAGCCTCCCAAAGTGCTAGGACATCTTTCTTCCGTGACTATTGGTATAAGAAAGAGCACTGGTGAAGTTCACCAGCCACACTGTGGAAAGTTCAAAGTGGTTACTGCCAAAGTTCAAAGACATGGTTACTGCCAAACATTCTCTCCACTTCAAACTTTGTCACAAAAGGGTGCTAAGGAAAAAACCAGCCAACACCACACAAAAAACTGTCTCCAGTCCTGGTTGGCAAAGAATGAAATTACACCAGTGACCTCAATTTGGGAGGCAATAACTCCAACACCTGGTTGGTCTCCTTTAATTATCAGAAGGAGCACGTGGGCCAGGAAAGGAGAGCTGAGTCGGTACCTGATCCAGTCCTCCTCCAGCTCATCACAGGACTCGCCGCCAGTTGTGTAGTCTGTCTCATAGTGATCTTGCTCTGTTCTCTTTGACCTTCCTGCTCTTCCCTTTGCAGGTGCTCTTTTTGAAGGTGTCTCAAAGTTACCACCGCTGCTGTAACGAGGCTGCCTGAAGTCATCCACAGGCGAAGTTAATGGAAGCTCCTGAACCACTTCAGGAACCCTAATAAAAACAGGCATCATTGTTCAGTACACTACAGCCCTTTGCCAGTGCACTGTAATCACAGAGCACAGCCATAATAAACACCAGCAGACATCTGCACGCAGGTGCACTCACGCGAGGACTTCAGATGTTCAACACTGAGCAGATGCCTCGTTTTCTGCATTCAATTTGACAGCAGTTCAGAGTCCTCTAATACACACAAGTAGTAGGTTCCAATTTAAAGGGGAGTAGCCATTTTTATACCTTCTAAGTACAATGGATCTCAGATTTCATTTTAAAAAGTTCAGGCTGATCTATAAGAGGTGTTTACTTGACCTGTGCCAGGGACTTACTCTACAAAGGCTGTCAGGAAAACAGTGATCATTCTTTTCTACAGGCTCTTCTAGTTCCCTGGAATGCTGCATGGGGAAGAATGCACACATGCTCTTTGTAATATTGATCTTATACTACCATATATCAATTATCATATTAAGATAAAATCTTGCAAAATAAACTAAATATCTAAACTAAAAAAGTAAAAAGCTTTACATTGCAATAAATTAAAGAGTTCCTTTAGGATTCTTTTTAAAATTGCTGTTAATCCTGAAGCCACGTAGAATGAATAGAAGGGTTACCATTACACACTTACTATTTTCTTCTAATACAATTATTTAAAGTTGCATCACAATTGCATGTTTCGGACACAAACATGAAAATAACCCTAACTGAGGAATAAAATACCAAAGTTGAAAGTGGGAACTACTTCTGAGTAAAAGAAATACGAAGTTTCATTTTCTTGTAGAAAAGGGCAAGAACAGAAATGAAAACACCAAAGAATGGGCCTAAGACTTTCCAAGCATCAGCCTTGCCATTCCAATCAACTATTTAAAATGTCTGAAGCGTTTCTTTTTGCTGCCAATTTACATAAACTATCATACTGAGCTCTTCCAGGTTTAGTCCCTTTTCTAGGTGATCCACATGTGCTTTGCTGTAACTGTTGTCAGAGTCTTAGATTTCTAAGCACACAATTTCTTGCAGACTCTAAACTTTGGGGTATGTGTGTGTAGATGCAGGTGGGGGTAGTATTTATTTCTTCTTTCAAGATTTATGGCCGGAGGCGGTGGCTCACACCTGTAATCTCAGCACTTTGGGAGGCCGAGGTGGGCGAATCACTTGAGGCCAGGAGTTCAAGATCGGCCTGGCCAACATGGTGAAACCCCATCTCTACAAAAAATACAAAAATTAGTGCACTGTGGCAGGCATCTGTAATCCCAGCTACTCGGGAGGCTGAGGCAGAAGAATTGCTTGAACCCAGGAGGCAGAGAATGCAGTGAGCTGAGATCGCACCACTGCACTCCACCCTGGGTAACAGAATGAGATTCTGTCTAAAAAAAAAAAAAATTATTCAGGTAATATGGCTTTGTGTGCTATGCTAATGTTACTTCTAATGGAGAGAAAATGTGACTTTCTCCATGAGTCAATGATTAACAAGTTCCTAGACACTCTGCCAAAACTGCCAGGTACTATGCCTCTTCTTTGAGGTAGAAAAACAAAACCTTTAGAATGCAGTGGATTCATTTTAGGGGTGGGGCCAAAGAGGGAGGGAACTAAAGGGCAAAAGAAATTAGAAAAAAACATAAAAACAAAAAGTAAAACATCAAAGTAGGCCTCCTGCCAGAATTTTTATGATATTAGATATTGATATATCTTTAACTTCGAAGTTTTCCTCCCCTCCTCCTACACCCCTTTAAAATATTAACATACTTGATCTAGCATGAAAGCTAAAAGCAAAATGTTTCACAAGAAAAGTATTCACTACAGGTGTGAGCAACACCACACTGGGCTAATTTTTAATTTTTTTGTAGAGACAGGGTCTCACTCTGTTGCCCAGGCTGAGCCTTCCACATTTCCCAAGCTGCGTTGATCTTTCCAGCCCAGCATGAAGTTTTCTTTCCCAAAGCTTACATAGCAAAAAGATTCTGATTGGCCCTTTTTGGGTCACTGTCATCCTTGAAGCCAGGAGAATGTTCTCTGATTAGCAAGACTTAGATATGCCTCCCAATAATGGTAGCAGCTCTAAAATACAGTGTGTACAACAAACGTCATTCTAATAGTCATGGCATTGTTGATCATGGGTTGTTTCTCTGCCTTCACTGATGCTGTGTGTAATCAGAAAAGAAGGATTCTTATGCATGTGTTTTCAATTCAGTAATTGTCCTGAACACCTGACATGCATAGAGTACTGAGCCAGGTGACCCTGGGAAGACCAGGTCCATGTTCTCACGGAGGCTGCAAAACAGGGGTGGAGGAAAGTGCACAACAATTCTGCTGAGAGTCAGGGCAAGGTAGGAGCAATAAAGGCAGCGTGAAGGAGTGTGAGAGAGAATAAAACAAATGACTGAAGAATAAAAAGAACAAGCCGGCCAGGTGCGGTAGCTCACACTTGTATAATCCCAGCACTTTGGGAGGCTGAGGCAGGGGGATCACTTGAGGTTAGGAGTTTGAGACCGATCTGGCCAACATGTTGAAACCCCTGTCTCTACTAAAAATACAAAAATTAGCTGAGCATGGTGGTGCAAGCCTGTGATCCCAGCTACTCAGGAGGCTGAGGTGGGAGGATCGCTTGAACCTGGGAGGTAGAGGTTGCAATGAGCCAAGATTGCACCAACACATTCCAGCCTGGATGACAGAGCAAGACTCCATTTCAAAAAAACCAAAAACAACAAAAAAAACCCAGGCATGGTTGCATGCACCTGTAGTACTAGCTACTCAGGAGGCTGAGGCAGAAGGATCACTTGAGTGCAGGAATTTGAGGATTCAGTGAGCTATGATCACACCACTGGACTCCAGCCTGTGTGAAACAGTGAGACCCTATCTCTAAAAAGTAAAAATAAATAAATAAATAAATGTAGATGGCTATCCTGTCACAACAGAAGCTGAACTGAGAAGAAAGCCAACATACCGACAGATGAAAGAGAGCACATAACAGCCCTGCTATCTTCTGAATCCTTCGATTATGCCATGACTGAAGCTACAGACGTCCTTGGGCCTCACGTGACTCAGATAATTCCTCCTTTCACTTAAGCTATTTTTTTTCATGATTTTTTTTTTTTTAATTGAGACAGGGTCTCCCTATGTTGCCCAGGCAGGTCTCAAACTCCTGGCCTCAAGCAATCTTCCCACCTCATTGGCCTCCCAAAGTGCTGGGATTATCAGCCTGAACCACCATGCCCCATCTTAAACTAGTTTAAACTGGGCTTCTATAACTCCTCTAACTTGCATAAAAGTCCTAACATCATCCTACCAGCCTATTACTACCAAACAATGGTCTCATTTAGCAATGCAAGGAGTCAGCCTTCTTTGAAAGCTTTGCATTGCAGCAACATTCAACTTCCTTGATTTATGAAGGGTAATTCAACCTGGGTGTGGACAGGATAGTGGAGAGTGTACCTAATAGGGCTCTCCCAAGTTCGTTTAGTAGGTTTGGAGAGGCAACCATCTTCAGCTAAATTCTGGTGTCCCCTGATGCAGGATTAATTCTCAGAGCTGACTGCCTTAAAATTCTAAGGTATGGGACATTATAAGCAAAAGGAACCAGATATGAGAGTAAACTGCATTATTCCATTTTATTTAAAGTCCAATAATAACACGTTCACTAACAGATGGTGACAGACATCAAAATAGCTGTTACCTTGGGGTGGGTGTGGGTGGGTATTGATGGAGAAAGGGCACATGGGGACCTTATGTAGGGCTCAAAATGTATCTTGGTGGTGGGAGTTAAGTGGTCATAGATGGGAAAACTCATCAAGCTGTATACTCAAGATTAGTGCTCTTTTTATGGAATGTACATTACGCGTTGGGAGAAAAAAACATCTTAATACTGATTTACCTCATCCTTGGCACGGATGGGTGGATGGACACAATGTTCTCCATCTAATTCCTTCTCTATCCACTAGCATGGTGAGGAAGAGAGGTGCTCATGGGTTACTAAGCACTTGCAAGAATGCCTTAGGAAAGACAGGCTATGACTTATGTGTTCTTATTCCCATTCAAGTGGGTGTCCTCTGAATCCTCTATAGCACTCAGTACTCTACTATGAACAACACTTTACAATTTCTATTGCCCCCCAGAGGCTGTAAAATCCTTCCATCATTACCATGCTCTGGGGGAGATATTGTGCATTAGTATCTCTTAGTACCACTCCCATTCACCCATTCATCTGGGTTCTAAAATGAAGCATCGTGTTTGCACTTTCCAGACCTTCAAAAAAAATTCTGGGGCATAAGTTTGGAGTAGAAACTAGTACAATCCTTAAGAAATAAAACTTTTACTACATCTATCAAAATGAAAAAATGCACATTTATTTTAGCTCAGCAATTCTGCCTCCAGATACATTCACATATGTATAAAGTGATAAATGTATAAGGTTATTCCTTATACATTTGTGGTCTGTAATAACAAAACATTGGGGGAAAGTGTGCATCATATAGGATTAATACATTAAGTATACCAGCCAGGTGCGGTGGCTTATGCCTGTAATCCCAACACTTTGGGAGGCTAAAGCAGGCAGATCAGTTGAGGTCAGGAGTTCAAGACCAGCCTGGCCAACATGACAAAACCCCATCTCTACTAAAAATTAGCCAGGCGTGGTGGTGGGTGCCTGTAATCCCAGCTACTCAGGAGGCTAAGGCAGGCTACTCGGGAGGCACTTGAACCTGGGAGGCAGAGGTTGCAGTGAGCCGAGATCGCGCCACTGTACTCCAGCCTGGGCAATGGAGCGAGACTCTGCCTCAAAAAATAATAATAATAAAATAAATAAAGTATACCTATTTGGTAGAATATTATACAGCTATAAAACACAATAGTGCTTCTTCTTGATTATAATTAAAAAAATAAAACAGAATCAGGCAACTCATTGCATAGTGATATGGACAATATCCAAGATAAAATATATTGCTAATGATACATTTGGTATGCTAATATTTTCTTTTTCTTTTTTTTGAAACAGGGTCTCACTCTGTCACCCAGACTGAAGTGGAGTGGCACGGTCTTGGCTCACTGCAGGCTTGACCTCCTGGGCTCAATCAATCCTCCCACCTCAGCCTCCCAAGTAGCTAGGACTAGAGGCATGTGCCACCATACCTGGCAAATCTTTATATTTTTTGTAGAGAGGGGGTTTAGCAATAATGCCCAGGGTGTTCTCGAACTCCTAGGCTCAAGCAATCCACCCACCTCAGCCTCCCGAAGTGCTGGAATTACAGGCATGAGCCACTGTGCCCAGCTCTGGTATGCTAGTATTTTAAGGGGGGGTGGGGGAATCAATGTACTTTGGCCAGTATCTTTATGTTTTAAAATCTGTGGAGAAATAGAAAGTGATGACATTAGTTGCCTCTGGGGAGAGGAACTAGCTAGCTGGTACCTTTTGTCCCTTTTAAATTTTCCACTACATAAAGTATTCAAGAATAAGAAAGATTAATACTTAAGGAATAAGACTTTCAAATTAATTTCAAATGAATTTGTGAAACTATCCTGGTTTTTGTGAAAAGGGACAACACCAGGGAATGCTGTGTAACCACGCAGGCCTTACAATTTAGAGGAACAGCTGGTGCCAAGATGCAGTATAGATATACATTTTGTATGTATGAAAGTTCTGCAAATTGGTCCTTTTATAGTTGATGAGCATGATGATTGGGTGTTCACACGCATGTGTGAAATGTCCCACCCTCAAATCTTGTTACAATATTGGCACATTACCCATCTGACATGAAAAAGGAGAAAAAAAAAGTTCTGCAAATCATAGCTTAAAAATTTTAGAGGCTGAGGCAGGAGGATCACTTAAGGCCAGGAGTTCAAGACTATCCTGGGCAACAAAGCAAGACCCCTTCTCTACAAAAATAAAAATAAAAAATTAGCCAGCCATAGTGGCACATACCTGTGGTCCTGGCTAAAGTGAGCTATGAAGCAAGAGGACTGCTTGAGCCCAGGAGTTCAAGGTCACAGTGAGCTATGATAACACCACTGCACTATAGGTCTGGGCGACAGAGTGAAACAGCATCTCAAACAAATGATGAAAAAAAAAAACTTAGAAGGATTGCATCTCTCTTGCGTACCCTTGTCCCTAACACTCTCAAGTGCTTTAGTTTTTGTCAAAATCCAAAGAGAAGAACAGAGAAAATGTGCTTTCTCCAAATCATTCACAATTGAAATCAACAGCAAGATCAAGTCTGAATACCAAAACAACTATGCACTCAGAGTAAATCTCATATATCATGGCCCACTAATCAGGAGTCGGGCATTGGGGATAAAACTTCAAAGCAGGCCAGGCGCGGTGGCTCACGCCTGTAATGCCCGCACTTTGGGAGGCCAAGACAGGTAGATCACCTGAGGTCAGGAGTTCGAGACCAACCTGGCCAACATCATGAAACCCCGTCTCTACTAAAAATACAAAAATTAGCCAGGCATGGTGGCGCGCACCTGTAATCCCAGCTACTAGGAGGAGGCTGAGGCAGGAGAATCACTTGAACCCAGGAGACGGAGGTTGCAGTGAACTGAGATCGCACTACTGCACTCCAGCCTGGGTAACGGAGTGAGACTCCGTCTCAAAAACAAAACAAACAAAAAAACACTTCGAAGTAACAAAAAAGTTATTTCCAGTAGATACACCTTTAACATAGACATTCAAACTAGCTGAAAGGAAATTTTTTGGGCTTTTTCAGTCTCCAAAGGAACTTAGAGTTCTAGAATTACAGTCACAAAGTCATAAAGACATTTCAGTCAATAAGGGACTAATAAAAGTATACGGCAAATGCAATTATGTACAGTATATAATACTTGACAATAAACGACTATGCTACTGGTTTATGTATTTACACTATATTTTTTATTAGATTCCTTCAACTTATTAAAAAAAAAAAGAGTTGAAACAGGAAAAAAAAGTTAAAAGAGCCTCAGGCAGGTGCTTCAGGAGGTATTCCAGAAGAAGGCACTGTCACCATGGAAGATGACAGCTCTGGGTGTGTTATTGGCCCTGATGACCTTCCAGTGCAACGAGATGTGGAAATGGAAGACAGTGATATTGATGTAGGCCTAGGCAAATGTGTATGTTTGTATCTTAGTTTTGGGTTTGTGTGTGTGTGTGTGTGTGTTTATTTTTATTTTTTTTGAGATAGGGTCTCTGTTGCCCAGGCTGGAGGGCAGTGGTGCAATCGCAGCTCACTGCAGCCTCCCAAAGTGGTGGGATTACAGGCATAAGCCACTGCACCCAGTCTGTATCTTAGTTTTTAACAATAAAGTGTAGAAACTAAAATAAAATTTACATGGTAAAAATAGAAAACAGCACTTTGGGAGGCCAAAGTGGGAGGATCACTTGAGGTCAGGAGTCTAAGAACAGCCTGGTGGCAGGGCATGGTGGCTCATGCCTGTAATCCCAGTACTTTGTGAAGCCGAGGCAGGCAGATCGCTTGAGCCCAGGAGTTTGAGACCAGCCTGGACAACATAGCAAGACCCTGTCTCTACAAAAAAAAATAGAAAAAAATAGCTGGGCATGGTGGAGCACATGTGTAGTCCCAGCTACTGAGGTGACTAAGTAGTCTCAGCTACTTAGGTGACTAAAGTGGGAAGATCGCTTGAGCCTGGGAGGTCAAGGCTACAGTGAGCTGTGACCACACCACTGCACCCCAGGCTGGGTGACAGATTGAGACCATGTCTCTACCAAAAAAAAAAAAAAAAAAAAAAAGCTTATAGAATAAGGAAAATACTTCTCTATATCTATATATCTATACAATGTAGGTATGGGATTTTTGGCTTTTCTTTTATTTTTGGCTGGATTTGAGCTCCCGGGCTCAAGTATGATCCCTCCCACCTCAGCCTCCCAATTAGCTGGGACTGCTGGTGTGCACCACTGTGCCAGGGTTTGTGATTGTGTTTTTTGTTGTTGTTCTTTTGTTTGTTTGTTTTTGAGACGGAGTCTCACTTTGTCGCCCAGGCTAGAGTGCAGTGGCGCGATCTCGGCTCACTGGGAGCTCCACCTCCCGGGTTCACGCCATTCTCCTGCCTCAGCCTCCCGAGTAGCTGGGACTACAGGCACCCGCCACCATGCCCGGCTAATTTTTCGTACTTTTAGTAGACACGGGGTTTCACCCTGTTAGCCAGGATGGTCTCAATTTCCTGACCTCGTGATCCACCTGCCTCAGCCTCCCAAAGTGCTGGGATTACAGGGGTGAGCCACCGCGTCCGGCCTTTTGTTTTTTTTTTTGAGACAGAGTTTCACTTTGTCACGCAGGCTGGAGTGCACTGGTGTGATCTCAGCTCACTGTAACCGCCGCCTCCCAGGTTCAAGTGATTCTCCTGCCTCAGCTTTCCGAGTAGCTGAGATTACAGGTGTGAGCCACCATGCCTGGCTAATTTTTGTATTTTTAGTAGAGACAGGGTTTTGCCATTTTGGCCAGGCTGGTCTCGAACTCCTGACCTCAGGTGATCCGTCCACCTGGGCCTCCCAAAGTGTGGGGATTACAGGCGTGAGCCACTGCACCCAGCCATGTGATTGTGTTTTAAGTGTTATTACAAAAGAGTCAAAAAAATTAAAGTTATAGAAAGCTAAGATTTATTATAGAAGAAAGAAAAATGTTTAGTAAATTTAGTGTAGCCTAAGTATAGTGTTTATAAAGTGTACAGTAATGTCCTAGGCCTTCACATTCACTCACCACTTACTCCCTGACTCACCCAGAGCAACTTCCAGTCCTACAAGCTTCATTCATGGTAAGTGCCTTACAAGATGTACCATTTATTTATTTATTTATTTATTTATTTAGATGGAGCTTCGCTCTTGTTGCCCAGGCTGGAGTGCAATGGCACAATCTCCACTTACAACAACCTCCGCCTCCCGGGTTAAACCGACTCTCCTGCCTCAGCCTTCCCAAGTAGCTGGGATTACAGGCATGCGCCACCACGCCTGGCTATTTTTAGTAGAGATGGGGTTTCTCCATGTTGGTCAGGCCGGTCTTGAACTCCTGACCTCAGGTGATCCACCTGCCTCGGCCTCCCAAAGTGCTGGGATTATAGGCGTGAGCCACCGCCCCCGCCAAGATGTACCATTTTTTATCTTTTATATTTACTGTACCTTTTTTGTGTTTAGATATACAAATACCACTGTATTACCGCTGCCTAGAGTATTTGGTATATTAACATGCTGTCTGCATTTGTAGCGTAAAAGCAAGAAGCTATACCACATAGCCTAGGCTCGTAGCAGGCTATCCATCTAGGTTTGTGTTAAGTACACTGTGATGTTCACTCAAGGATGAAATTGCCTAAAGACA
The DNA here is from genome assembly GCF_000001405.40 of Homo sapiens. Classification (NCBI taxonomy): domain Eukaryota; kingdom Metazoa; phylum Chordata; class Mammalia; order Primates; family Hominidae; genus Homo; species Homo sapiens. The sequence continues at coordinate 202,322 of NW_025791777.1, read as the reverse complement.
CACTTCTCAGTATTCCCATCGTTAAACAATGCATGACTATATATGTAAAAATAACGACTTCATCATCCTTAGGCAAAAATTACATCCCCGTCCATACCAATTATCTCCAATAGTCTTCTCTCACTAGTCATTAGGTGGAATTAGAATTGAGCTTTAGGGTAAGTGTTTCCACCACAGAGATACCATTTCAATTATCATATGACACCTACCCTAGGCCAGACGTTCACTGAGGTTTCACATCTCCCAGCAATACTGAGGACCTAGCACAGCAAATGAAATACCACAATTCCTGGATTCAAATGAAGTCTTCTAGTTTAACAGAAATGTATGTGGGCAGGGTTGATTAATGTGAAATGTCCTCCCTTCTGTTTATGAGATCCAACAATTATAGGCAAAAGGAGAGGCTGAGCACAGCACTGACCTCTGCTCAGTAACTTCCTCTCACCCTCACCTAAACTTCAAAACCAGAAATAGCAGAACCACATTCCTAGAGTGAAAGAACCCAACCCAACCTTTCAATTAAACAAGTAAGTGAAAAGAAGCATTTTCAACTTAGAAGGGAAATAGAACCCCACCCTCCTCATCCTGGTCTTCCAAGTAGCCGTAGGCCTCTGTACCAACAAAGCAAAGATTGTTGTAATACCAAGATCCAGATCCAGCTTTTGTGTGCACTGCTGGATATTTTTTTTAAGCAGAAAGGCACAAAAACCAATTATATGCAAATACTCATTTTTACACTCAGTCTATCAAACTAAGAGAGATGCTACTTACGGCGTGGATTTATAGGAAGACTCTGGATAAAACCGCTTGTCATTCACTTTGCCATTGGAAGAGTATGCCATGGGACTGTCAACTCTTTCCACATAGTCAGATGGGGGTGAAGGCACGTCCTGTGTGCCTGCAGACACATTTTTAACCTTAAAAAACCCCAAGAGATAGTTATTATTTATCTTGTAATGAAAAGGGGGAAGACACTGAAGAAAATTATCTTATATACATTATCTAATATTTATGTGGCCCATTAAATACTATTAACACTAATAATAAAAAGGCAATCATTACAGGTTAATAGTTAAATCCACATTGTAATAGACATATAAACAGTGCTACTGCTAGTTTAAACAAGTATATTACCAAGAAGAAAAATCTGATCACCTAGTTCTCATCCTAATGTGATTAGGTTTCATAATTATCTATGGCAATTTTCCACCTCCATATTAGGAAGACTGGTCTCATTATCTCACGCCCACATTAGAAAGACCACTCTCATTTAACCTAAGCCAGGTCTCGGTTAGGAGAATTTTCATTTCTAACAAGCTCTCAGGTAATGCTATGTTGCTGTCTGTGCACCACACTTGGAAAAGCACTAATCTAGAACAAAGCACACTGGTAGTTCTTAAACCATTCACCTCTCAACGTGGAATGTTAAAACCACAGAAGAAATTAAGAAGTTCAAGCTGACTTCTACTCTTTTAATAAGAGATTTGTTTATTCTCCCTTAATGTACGTTCTCTATGGCTCTATTACTAATAACCTACACAATATATCACACAACATCAGTGCCTTCCCTTTTCACTTTCCTTATTTCATTCTGATGTGTAAGTGAATTCATCCTACAAAAGTAACATGCATTAGAAATTATGCCTTAATAGGCCGGGCGCGGTGGCTCACGCCTGTAATCCCAGCACTTGGGGAGGCTGAGGCGGGTGGATCATGAGGTCAGGAGATCGAGACCATCCTGGCTGACACAGCGAAACCCCGTTTCTACTAAAAATACACACACAAAAAAAATTAGCTGGGCGTGGTGGCATGCACCTGTAGTCCCAGCTACTCGGGAGGCTGAGGCAAGAGAATCACTTGAACCAGAGAGGCGGAGGTTGCAGTGAGCAGAGATAGTGCCATTGCACTCTAGCCTGGCCAACAGCGAGACTGTGTCAAAAAAAAAGAAATTATGCCTTAATGTGAAATACATATACAGGTTCTTCTTATCTGAGGAATGTAAGCCCTTTCTTAAAAGTTATCAGGCCCGGAGAGGCATTAAAATGAAACAGCAATCAAGTCCTACTTCCCCCTTGAGCTATGTAGTTATCTCCAGAAACCGCGTAATCTAACAATGCTACACACTGGGCACCATAACCCTGCTATAGCTCGACGATGTAACAACGTTATTTCTGTAAACCAGTGAGAATTCCTGATGAACAACTTTGTTTCTATCCACTCCTTGTGCCCCGTTTTTGCCTTTAAAAACTTGCTTATAAAAAAGGTTGCATGGCGCACTCCCCAAGGCAGCTTGGAAGCATGTCCCAGGCAGCTGTTCTCAACCTTGGCCCAAATAAATTTTCTATATTAATTTTGCCTCAGCTTCTTCCCCTAGGTCAATATTAACATGGAAGGCTTACCACAGAACCTTTGGGATAAAAAATTTAAACATAAAAAGCACAGCCAACTAGACTCCCAACACTGTATGTATATATATGTGTGTGTGTGTGTGTATATATATATATGTGTGTGTGTGTGTGTGTATATATATATATGTGTGTGTATATATATATGTATATATGTGTATATATATATGTGTGTGTGTATACACACACACACACACACACACACACACACATACATGCATACATATATATATATTTTTTTTTTGAGACAGAGTCTCACCCTGTCACCCAGGCTGGAGTGCAGTGGTGCGATCTCGGCTCACTGTAACCTCCGCCTCCTGGGTTCAAGTGATTCTCCTGCCTCAGCCTCCCGAGTAGCTGGGATTACGGGCACCCACCAACATGCCCGGCTAATTTTTGTATTTTTAGTAGAGATGGGGTCTAACCATGTTGGCCAAGCTGGTCTCGAACTCCTGACCTTAAATGATCCACCCACCTCGGCCTCCCAAAGTGCTGGGATTACAGGCGTGAGCCACCACGCCCGGCCACTGTTAGATTTTATGTTTTATGTAACAGCTCCAACACTCTTGACATTTTACCTAATAGCCTTTAAATTATTACATATCACTCTGTAATTGAGAAAAAAAATTGGAAAAAAACCAAAGACCTCAAACAAGTGCTAATCCTAGATGAATCATTTAGTTGTTTTAAGGCAAAGGAATAGAAATAAAGTGTGGGAAAAAAATCAAAATAAATCTACAGATATTTCTGTGAAAAAGAGCTGCTATTCAAAAGGGTAGAACCGCTCTAGCTTTGTGATAGGATCAATGGCATTTTAGGGTTTGGTACGTGTGCTTGTAGTGCCAGCTACTCGGGAGGCTGAGATGGGAAGACCTCTTGAGACTGAGAGGTGGAGGCTGCAGTGAGCTCTGATTGTGCCACTGCACTCCAGCCTGGGTGTCAGAATGAGACCCTGTCTCAAATACATACAAACACAACCAATAGCATCAGATTATCTGGGCTCACCCCAGGTCTGCCAACCACAAATTCTATAAAGCCTTAGTTTTCATCTGAAAAAGAAAAAAAGAAAAAAAAAAGGAGAAAACTACCTAGTACATAAAGTTATTTTGATGATTAAATGAGGTGACAAGGTATCACATTTACTACAGTGCCTTTAAACACAGTAAAAATTCAAAAGATGCTGGATTTTGGAATTAAGGCCACTTGATCTGATCAAATAATTTTTACAAGAATTTGGAGGTGGCAGAAGACCTTTATTTGGATTATTTTGCTATTATAAAGCCTTACAATTAGGTTCAGCTTCAATGCAGTGTATCTTCTGCAATACATATTCCTTACATCTTAAGTTTCCCATTCTTAGTAGCATTACATTAAAACATGAGATGCACTCTCCTGACGTATCCAGGCAGTATCACATACAGAAAGATATTTACCTACCCCTCAAAGTACATAGGGGTATTCTTGATTGTTTAACATTCAGAGACAGAAAGGAATAGAATCATTTCCCTCTGAAAGTGGAATTTGGCAGCAACTGCGAAACCAGTGGGTGGGTTGCCACGGAGTGTGCTCAGACCCCACCACAGGAGGGAAGGGAGGGAAGCACTCTTGGTTCCCACAGAATTCCTTACAACAAAAGTTTACAACAGAAGTTGCCAAGCTTCACAGGCAAATGCTTCACCAAACCAAAGCCTATTCTTAATCCAATACCTTATCAGAATTTAAAAATCCTTCCTTTGCTTAAAAACCCATTTTATACTTCTCTAGGTCCCACCTCCTCCTCACAGCGTGAGCTTTAGCAGAGTCTGTGTATCTTTTCAGAGATTTCTTACTGGCTAAAATGCCCTTCCCCTTTTGCCAGCTATTCCTTAATTGGGTTTCAATTCTTGGCTCATGTGCCACCACCTCCTCCTCATACAAGCCCCTCCTGGATGAGGCACCAACCTGTGCTATCTCCCTACACCTGTGCATACAAACCTCCCACCAAATCGCTTATGCACTGCCGAACAATGGCTTGCTCACCTATCTCACTTCAGTAGGCAGCGGACTGGGCTTAAGCCACCACTATCTGACTGCTTACAATTAGCCAAATATTGAAGTGACAGATCATTTTGTAGGCATGGATTTACAGGCAAATATCGTTCCTTTTCCAGAAATGAGGAAGCTGTGGCTCAGGCAGTTAGACAACTTTCCCAAGAACCTAGATGTAGAAAATGCAAGGGCGGGCAGTTTCCTGCTTTCCTCTTCGAGTCTCCAAAGGACCACACAGTGTCTGGCACAAATCGGGAGCCCCAAGTTTGCTGCATAAAGTTTACCTCATTGATAACTGTTCTATTTCTACACTGTATACCCAAGTATTTTATCAATGAGGCACACTGAGCTGACCTTTCTCTCTTAGCATCAGCAGAACTGGACTAGCTTGACCACTGACTCCACCCTTCAGCAAAGATCTCTGATTAAACCTTTTCTATACACATGCATAATAAATTCCAAGGCAGTGCTCCCTTCAGCAGCACATATATAAAGTTGAACAATACAGGAAAGATTAGCATGGCCTTTGGGCAAGAACAGCACCCAAATTCATGAAACATTCCATTTTTTTTTTTAAATCCTGAGCCAGCTGATGCCAGACTCCAACAGTCTAGAGGCAAAGGCAAAATATATTTGAAAAACAAGGAGTACGATCATTTTTTTTCCTCTTTACACTGCAATTTTCCTGAAAAAAGGCTAAAATATTTTTTCCTCTAACCCACTTAATGGTACCAATGCCAAGTAAGTATAAACCCAGTATCTGCGGCTTTTGAAGGACAGTAGGAAAGTAGAAGGGGGTTGGAGGGGGCAATACAAAGTGAACAGGTGCTCATTTCTACAAGGAGTCCCCAACCTGTATTTCCTATTATGAGAGAAATGACTTCTGAATTTCACTGTTATTACTGACAGAATGCCCCAGTCAGCTCATAAAACTCAATGATGTAGTTAAAGTTCTCTTAAAAAGGAAAAGAAAAATATTTTAATTTTCACAGTAAGATTTTTTTTTCTTAAGAGATGAGGCCTTGCTATGTTGCCCAAGCTGGACTTGAACTCCTGGACTCATGCAATCCTCCTACCCTAGCCTCCCGAGTAGCTGGGACTACAGGGTCACACCACTACATCTCACTTTTAAAGAATGAGTACTTGAGAAAACCAGCTAGGCATAATTCTAAACAGCAAAGTGTCTTTGTAACAATTTTCCCTTAAGTAACTTGAGGATATCTCTAAGAAATTAAGGACAGAAGAAAGCAGGATGAAAACACAAATCAAAGATTTCTCTAGGCCAGGTGCGGTAGCTCATGCCTGTAATCCCAGCACTTTGGGAGGCTGAGGCAGGAGGGATCACCTGAAGTCGGGAGTTCGAGACCAGCCTGGCAAACAAGGTGAAACCCCATCTCTACTAAAAATACAAAAATTAGCCAGGCATGGTGACGCACGCCCGTAATCCCAGCTACTTGGTGGCTGAGGCAGAAGAATCACTTGAACCCGGGAGATGGAGGTTGCAGTGTGCCGAGATTGCACCACTGTACTCCAGCCTGGGTGACAGATTCCATCTCAAAAAAAAGAAAAAAACAACAAAGTAACTCAGACTTACTCTTGAAATTACATTCAAAAAGGACAAGCACTCACACTGAACATGCTTAAGGAGTATGAATTATTAATTTAGGGAATATGCAGGGAAATTTTATTAAGATTCTTATTCCAATCAAGAAAGAATTTATTTCCGAAATAGCAAAATGAAATATTATTTTAAAAGATCTTCACAAGAGGTAATTATGAGGATAAATTTTTATTCAAAGCTTAATTGTACTCATTAGAAGTGTTCTGATTATGTCACTTGTGAAAAAATTCTTTGTGACAAACAACATCTAACACTCCTTGGAGAGTTAATGAAAACATCCTAAACCCCTGTGGGATGCCAACAGGAAAACAAACAGGGCAGCTCTCCTTTAGAGCAGCTCAGGTGCTCTTCTCCAAATACCTACCGTGATTCTTCCTCACCTGAGAGTAAGATGGGTCTACACCATCATGTTGGTCCCACCTTCCCCACCCTGACTCCCTGAAGTCAGAGAAGGAATAAAAAGGTCAAGAAGGAATGTTCTAGGTCACTTTGAAAGAAAATCTTCTCTCCTCCAAAACAAAGATCGGGGAAAACACTTATCCCCACTTAGATCAATTTCATATTTCATTTGGAGTTAGTAAAAGCAAAATATATGCAAATTATATGCAATTATAGCTAATCCTCATTTTTCTCCTCGCCCTAATTTCATCCCTAGTTCACACATGGGAGAGAGTCAGGCTAGACCTGCACCCATGTGGTCTAGCAATGTGCAAAAGCCATCTACCTCTAAGAAGGAAAGGGAAGTTCACCTGTTGAGTATTCAGCATGTGCCAGGCAAACCCGACTTCGTTTATTCTCACCGCCACCCAAGGAGATACAATTATCTCTATTTTCAGATGAGGAAATTGAGTTTCTACAGTTAAATTAACTTGCTCAAAGTCACAGAGAAGGTAAAGTAGCAGAGGGGAGATTTGAACCCTGGTCCATCTAGCTCCAAAGCTCAGCTCTTTCTGGCATAAAAAACTGCCACCTCAAGAATTCAAACATGGCTTGAAGTACCCATCTTGGATGGGTATTTTGACTGGTCTTTGTAACAAAGGAGACCATTCTCATTGTCTTAAACTCCTCCCCATTTTGAAGAGCTTTATTTGCCTATTAGTTTAACTTTGTAAGAGCAGCTATTGATGCAAAATTATTATGAGTATGTTTCAGTCACCATGTGCCTTTGTTTAGGTCAGCGTTTAGGAACACCTCTCTCAAAAAGGAAAGAGTAGGATTTTCCCAGCTTGGTGATTAAAGTGGAGATATACCTCAGGCATCAGAGGGAGGAGCATCTTAATCTTAAGGATCATCTCCAGGTTTACAACCTGCCCATTCCACCCTCCTCAGCCCTATGCCCTTGTACTACAGGTTCTCAACAGTAAGTGGTCTAACTCGTTTTTCCTGTTTTTTGATATTTTACACCCTCAGATACTCCCCCAAATAAAAGCTTCAAAATCGACTGGAAAGTTCTCTTAGACTTTTCTCCACCTTTGGTCACTTGAAGGCAGACGGTCCCACATCTACTAATCCCACAAATAATGAGATCGTGGACCAGGTTTGAACATGTCTGGTTATTTTACCTTGCTCAGATGGCATTTAGGATTTAGAAAACAAATTGCCCCTACCCAACTGCACGCTGTCCAAAGAAACAGTAATAATATAGACCAATGAGAACTATAAATAAAATCCTAAGCCCCCAACCGAGAAGACCCCCTTTTGGCCAAGAGTGCCCCAGAGAAATCTTAACTGAGTTCCTGGCCATGACAGAATGGGAGGTCAGACACAACTCATTTACTCCCTCCCTTCTGCGGTTCAGACACAGCTGACCAGCATTCATGTTAACATAGAGATCATCAAGACTGATAGAAATAGACTCTTTGTGGCAATAAAACACCAAATTATAAATAAGACCTAAGGCCATGCCAGACAAGGGTTAAATCCCACACCCCTACATTTGTCCTAACCATACACTATGTTCTAACCACCATAAGGTTGCTCTTTTTCTCCAGCAGCCAAACAAGCACTGGCCTCAAGATAAGCAAGATTAAAGCAATTGCGTAAGCCTACTATGTACCCACAAAAATTAAAAATAAAAACTTACAAAAAAATACAAAAAGAAAACAACTGCAGCTCATCCACCAACAGATACTGACTGACCCCTGTTCCACAAGCCATACAGCTTTGACTGGACAAGAAACTGATTTCAGTAACTTTCTCCTGATCAGAGACTAGCAGCCGTGGAATGGTTCTGGCCAGCTTGCAGAGGCTGCACGTGAGTGCCTTGTGTTCCTGCTTCACCTTTTTTTTTTTTTTGAGACGAAGTCTCACTCTGTTACCCAGGCTGGAGTGCAGTGGCACTGTGTCGGCTCACTGCAACCACCGTCTCCTGGGTTCAAGCAATTCCCCTGCCTCAGCCTCCTGAGTAGCTGGGATTGCAGGCGCCCACCACCACACCCAGCTAATTTTTATATTTTTAGAAGAGAAGGAGTTTCACCATGTTGGCCAGCTTGTCTCGAACTCCTGACCTCAGGTGATCCGCCCGCCTCGGCCTCCCAAAGTGCTAGGATTACAGGTGTGAGCCACCGCGCCTGGCCCCTGCTTCACCTTTTGATGTACAGGGCCTAATTGTAATACATTTAAATGTTAAGTCTCCACCCCAAAGTGAACATGGGATGTATGTAACACGAATGTTTGTTCATTACGCATGCATCAGGACCCCATTCACGGATATTCATAGCTCCTCCTATAACCTGTTGAATAGGAATGTATGGCCAACCTGTTCAGCATTAAGCTCTTGTCCCAACTCCATCTCCTTCTAAGTGCCTTTCAGTGTCTGCCAGAAGCTACGCTTCCAAGACTGTCAAGGATGGCCACCTTACAGGTTGTAACCCTTTATAATAAATAGTCTCCTTTCTACTTTTTTCTTTCACAGCTGGAGATCCTTTCTAAATTTATAATTGTGTCAATCTTTAGGTTGACACCACCAAAGGTAAATTCTGAAATTCCCTGAGAGTCAATAAGTTATTAGAGCTCTGAATAAGTTATTAGAGCTCTGGAAGGGGATGAGGTAGAAAAACCTTGTACTCAGTGAGGCTTACCAATGATCTCATTCAAGGCCCCTTACTTAAACAAAAATCCCTGTGAAGACTGTTAAATATACCTGTACCTCATGCCAGAGTTTTTCAACAGGTGTGCCAGGATGTCTTTGGTCGCCCAGCCTGTGAGCCAATCATCTGCAGTTCCAGATCCCCCTCAGTTTACTCCAGTATTTTGTACTAAGTCACCATTTTCCAAGTATGCCATGATGTAATGATAACTTGCTTACAGTTTAATGGTTGCAGCTTGAATCTATAAAATAGTGGTTCTCGAAATATGGTCTCCAGACCAGCTACATTAATATTACCGACCTAGGCCCCAGCCAGGCCTAGCGCACACATCATAAACTCCAGGGTGGGAGTGAGTGGGCTGTTTCAATGAGCCCTCCAGGTGATTCTGTTGCCTGCAAAAGTTTGAGAACTACTGACGTAGACACAATTCTCTTCTATGTTGCAGACCACTGTACCTCGTAAAGACCTACAAGTTAAGGGTCTCTTTTGCCTACAGTGATGCTCAAACCTGACAGTGCCTGGTTTTCTGGTCCAGGTGTCATAAAATAACCTAGAAAAACGGTGAGAAGGTTCACTCGGCATGAGAACAGCTGAGGGTACCTACTTTTATCACAGTGGAAACATTAGTTGATTCTCAGCCCTGAGAAGGACCTCTATCATACCATCAACACAATGGAAAAGGGAAGGAACACATCTTTCCCTAAAGGAGAGAAGGCACTTTGGCTTGTCATATCTATAAAGGGTTAGTCATTTGTGAAAAGGACACTAATGATCACGCAATAGACTATACTTCCTCAGGACTATGCCTCATAAAAAGTTGACCTTTACCCCATAAAAACTCTTATAAAAATCAAGAGTATCAGAGAAACTGGTTGAGTTTTGCCACCTCAGCAATTGCCAAAAGGTAAAAAGTAGAAGAGAAAACACATTAGGCCAATAAACATGACATGTTCAGAAGAAATATAAACCAAGACAACACTGATACACTTTTACACGTTTGACTGGAAAATATTATAAAGTCTAACACCACCAAGAGTTGCTGGTTTAGATTATATATGAAAAATAATTTGACATTGTCTTATAGAAATGTACACTCACAGGCCAGGCACGGTGGCTCACGCCTGTAATCCCAGCACTTTGGGAGGCTGAGGCGGGCGGATCATGAGGTCAGGAGATCGAGACCATCCTGGCTAACATGGCGAAACCCCGTCTAGACTAAAAATACAAAAAATTAGCTGGGTGTGGTGGCGGGCACCTGTAGTCCCAGCTACTCAGGAGGCTGAGGCAGGAGAATGGCGTCAACCCGGGAGGTGGAGCTCGCAGTGAGCCGAGATCGCACCACTGCACTCCAGCCTGGGTGACAGAGCGAGACCCTGTCTCAAAAAAAAAAAGAAAAGAAAAGAAAGAAATGTACACTCACAAACGCTGCATCCCAGAAGTTCCACTCTTAGGTACATAGCCAAGAGAAATGTTCACAAGTATAGGTGATTTAAAAATGTTCATGGGGCCAGGCGGGATTCACGGGATTACACTCACACCTGTAATCCCAGAACTTTGGGAGGCCAAGGCAGGTGGATCACTTGAGGTCAGGAGTTTGAGACCAGCCTGGCCAACATGGCAAAACCCTGTCTCTACTAAAAATACAAAAATTAGCCAGGTGTGGTGGCATACGCCTATAATCCCAGCTACTTGGGAGGCTGAAGTGGGAAAATTGCTTGAACCCGGGAGGCGGAGGTTACAGTGAGCCAAGATCATGCCACTACATTCCAGCCCAGGCAACAGAGCAAGACACTATCTTAAAAATAAATAAATAAAAAATAAAAATGTTCATGGCAGTTGTAATGGTCTTAATAATCCAAAACCCCATTAAAAGGAAACTGGATAAACTGCTGTGAAATGTGATAAAATAGAGGACCAGACAATGGCGACATCAGATGGACTTCAACTCCATCAACATGTATTAATCTATAACCTAACTCTGAGTAAAAAGGCAAATGCCAAGACACTACATGCAGGTACACCTTCTACAAAGTTAAAAAACACCCAAAACAAAATCATGTTGCTAAGTTATACATGTATGCAGGTAAAAACTTAAAAAGCAAATTATAATAAACTCAAAATTCTAGATAGGCTACCTCTGGGGGCAGGTAGAAGCAAGTAGATGAGAGAGTAAAAAATGTATAATGTAACTTAGTAATGTATTGTAATTATTAGGTGGGATGGTAGATCTGCAGGTGTTCATTATGAAACAATAAATGTACCAGGAATGCTATGCATGGACTAAAGGTGATAATGTCATAAACTAAGAATTGAATTAATCTATTTCTGTGCACCTGAAGTCCAGTTTTTGTTTTTAGAGACAGAGTCTCACTTTGTCACCCAGCCTGAAGTGCAATGGCACATCTCGGCTCACTGCAACCTCCACCTCCCAGGTTCAGGTGATTTCCCACCTCAGCCTCCAGAGTAGCTGGGACTACAGGCATGCGCCACCAGGCCCAGCTAATTTTTGTATTTTCAGTAGAGACAGGGTTTCACCATGTTGGCCAGGATGGTCTCAAACTCCTGACCTCAACTGATCTACGCACCTTGGTCTCCCAAAGTGCTGGGATTACAAGTGTCAGCCACTGTGCTCAGCCTTAAAGTCCAGTTTTTAAAAAGGTAATCATTGGCCGGGCACGGTGGCTTACACCTGTAACCCCAGCACTTTGGGAGGCTGAGGCGGGTGGATCACCTGAGGTCAGGAGTTTGAGACCAGCCTGGCCAACGTGGCAAAACCCCATGTCTACTAAAAATACAAAAATTAGCTGGGTGTGGTGACACATGCCTGTAATCCCAGCTACTTAGGAGGCTGAGGCAGGAGAATCGCTTGAACCCGGGAGGTGGAGGTTGCAGTGAGCCGAGATCATGCCACTGCACTCTAGCCTGTGTGACAGAGCAAGACTTCATCTCAAAAAATAATTAAAAAAAAAAAAAAAAGGTAATCATTAAGGTTTTTCCTAAGAATCTACTGGCATGGAAATGCTCAGTTAGGGTTCTAATCCTGGCTTTGTCACCCATATGTGACCCCAGGCATGTGGATGAAAATGCTTTCTGTTAATATAAAACCAAATTTAACGTAAACATCAATTTTGTCTATTCTCTAAAAATATTATCATATACTGTTAGAAAATGGCTTAATAGCCCCCTTTTACACAATTATGCTGGCCAAAATGTGTTCAAAAAAGGAAGAATAATCAAAAGACTCAACTTTCACCAAAAATTGTAAAATTTCAGAAAACACAATTTCAGTATTATTCAAGTTGACCATTTGGGAACAAAATTAAGTTAGTGTTTATCTCATACTATAATAAAAAACAAGCATCTCAATATGGATAAAGTTATGACATTTGGTAAATAGTAAATATCAATATTGGTCCATTAGTGGTGACAAATGCACCACACTAATGTAGGATGTTAACAATAGGGACAACTAGCTGCACTGTGGGTAGTGGCTCACACCTGTAATCCCAGCAGTTTGGGAGGCCAAGGCAGGAGAACTGCATGAGTTCAGGAGTTCAAGAATAGCCTGGGCGACATAGCGAACTCTGTCTCTACTTTAAAAAAAAAAAAAAAAAAAAAAAAAAGTCAGCCAGGCATAGCGGCACATGTCTGTAGTCCCAGCTACTTGGGAGGCTGAGGTGGGAGGACTGCTTGAGCCCAGCAGTCAAGGCTGTAGTAAGCTATGATTGCGCCATTGCACTCCAGCCTGGGCAACAGAGTGAGACCTTGCCTCAAGAAAAAAAAAAATAAAAGGGAAAACTGAGTGCCGTGGTATACAGAAATCCATCATACTATAATTGCAACTTTTCTGTAAATCTATTAATAAAACTATTCTAAAATGAAACATTTATCTTAAAAAACAAGGGGGGTGGTCCAGTGTATATCCTGGATGTTAAAAACAAAAACAAAAACACAAAAACTGGATTGGGTGCACGACACTTCTAAGTTTGCTAAAAATCACTGTAAATTTTTAATGGGTGATGACAATGTATGGTATATAAATTGTACCTCAATAAAGCTGTTTAAAAAAATATGTTTCTGGTGGTCTAAAGCTTCTGGTGATCTTAAAGGTCTAGGTTGGGCGAAAATAAAAACAAGAAATATGAGAGAGGAACATTACACCAATCAAGGATGTTAAAATGTACCAAGGACTGACATATGTTTAACTCAACCCTCTGCACACATTTAGTACACATGGGGTAAAAAAAATAAAACTTTAAAATACCAACGAAACTACAGGAGGGTATTATTTAAACCTTGAAGGGGGTGTAAAACTCTCTAGGAACAAAGATATGTAGAGGCCATAAAGAGACAGGAAATATAAGTACATAAAAAAATAAGAAGTCTGGGCATGGTGGCAAATGCCTACAATCCCAACACTTTGGGAGGCCAAGGCACAAGGATCACTTGAGGCCAGGAGTTCAAAACGAGCCTGGGTAACATAGTGAGACCCTCTCTCTTAAAACAAACAAAAAAACACTGTAGACAAAGATGAAAGACCACAATAATGTGGGAGAAGTTATCATCAATAAGACAAAATATTAATATCCATAATATAAAAAACTCTAGTCAGGAAAGAACGAACAATCACGGAAAACTAAGCCATGCTATGAAGATGTCAAGTGATGAAGAATAGGAAATAAGCATATGCTTAATCACCAAATTTTGAAAATGAAACTTTATTTTTACTTACTGGATTAACAAAAATTAATGACAGATAATAACCAGAACAGAAAAAAATGTTGGGAACTGAGCAATTTCATATACCATCAGGGTTAGTAGAATCTGCAGAGCTTTCAAAAACAATGCAACTTGGTAATCCCTTGTAAAATGCTTTTTTTCAAGAGATAGGGGTCTTGCTCTATTGCCTAAGCTGGAGTACAGTGACACAACCATAGCTCACTGCAGCCTCAACTCTTGAGCTCAAGAGATCCTTCTGTCTCATCCTCCCGAGTAGCTGGGACTAGAGTCGAGCTACCATGCCCAGCTAACCTAGTAAAATTTTAAGTGTGCACACTCAATGACTAGTTCTAGAAATTTATCTTACACAAACACTAGCAAGAGTGCATAAAGACATGTGAGAGAATGTTCACTGCAGCGTTATCTGTAATAGTAAACAACTGAACACAATTAAAATGTCCATAAATAGGAGAATGAATCATCGTATACTCATACTATGAAATACCACCCAGCTGCCAAGAGCAATTAGGTCTATGTGCTGACAGACTTGGAAAGATGTTCACAAAACAAAGTTTTTAAAAAAGCAAACTGCATACAACGTGTACATTATGATCCTATTTTTGGTTTTAAAATAACACCAATTTTTGGGTTTAAAATAAATTGGCTAGGCACGGTGGCTCATGCCTGTAATCCCAGCACTTTGGGAGGCCGACGCGGGTGGATCGCCTGAGGTCAGGAGTTCGACCAACGTGGTGAAACCCCATCTCTACTAAAAGTACAAAAATTAGCTAGACGTGGTGGCATGTGCCTGTAATCCCAGCTACTCAGGAGGCTGAGGCAGGAGAATCACTTGAATCCAGGAAGTGGAGATTGTAGTGAGCTGAGATTGCGCCATTGCACTCCAGCCTGGGTGACAGAGCGAGACTCCATCTCAAAACAAAAATCCCACCAAATTATTAAAAGTAACAACATTACATTATTTACCATGTGCAAGGTATTATACTAAGTATTTTACAAATATTAACAAGTTTGAGGCTGCAGTGAGCTATGACTGTACCACTGCACTCCAACACGGGTGACAGAGCTACACCCTGTCTCTAAATAAATAATAACAAAAGTAAAAAAAAAAATTTAAGGGAGTATGAGCATACTTCCAATTTAGAATAAGAAATAGGAAAGGAAAAAGATGATTAAAGAAAGTACCCCAGGCCAGGCATGGTGGCTCACGCCTGTAATCCCAGCACTTTGGGAGGCAGAGGATCACGTAGTCAGAAGTTTGAGGCCAGCCTGGCCAAGATGGTGAAACCCCGTCTCTACTAAAAATACAAAAATTAGCCGGGCACAGTGGCAGGCGCCTGTAATCCCAGCTACTTGGGAGGCTGAGGCAGGAGAATCGCTTGAACCCAGGAGACAGAGGTTGCAGTGAGCCGAGATAGTGCCACTGCGCTCCAGCCTGGGCAACAGAGCAAGACTCCATCTCAAAAAAAAAAAAAAAGTACCCCATAGTGGTAACTTAAGTTGACATAATTTTCTTTATACAGGCCAGGCATGGTGGCTGACGCCTATAATCCTAGCACTTTGGGAGGCCGAGGCAGGCAGATCACCTGAGGTCAGAAGTTTGAGACCAGCCTGGCCAACATGACAAAACCCCATCTCTACTAAACATACAAAAAGTAGCTGCACATGGTGGCAGGCACCTGTAATCCCAGATACTCGGAAGGCTGAGGCAGGAGAATCACTTGAACCTGGAAGCGGGAGGCTGCAATGAGCTGAGATCGTGCCATCGCACTCCAGCCTGGCAACAGAGCGAGACTGTCTCAAAAACAAACAAACAAACAAAAATTACTTTATACAGTTGGCCCTTGAACAACCAGGTTTGAACTGCATGGGTCCACATATACGTGGATTTTTTTCAACTAAACATAGATGGAAAACAGTATTGGCGGAATGCAAAACCCAGGTATCCAGAGGGCCAATTTTTCATACACATGGGTTCCACCGACTACAGGACTTGAATATGCATGGATTTGGGTATACATGGGGGTCCCGGAACCAACCACCTGAGTATACCAAGGAATGACTGCACTTCACTGTATTTTCCAAATCATCCATACTTAACCAAATAAAATATTTAATTAAAAAAATCAGATCTGAAATTTGAGGGCAGAACAAAACAAAGACCTGCAAAGTTTAATTAAACAAATCTTAAAACATTTAAAATACAAACTGGTATCCATCTGAGTGACTATAAAAGACCAGGTTAAAAACCAAGCAGCGTGCAAACATGAGCTGTTTATTTTACAAGGAACAAGATATCCAGAAAAAGGAAGGGGGAAAAAAAGCCCTAAGAAGGGCAGAGAAACCACTGTGTTGAGCCAACAGGGACAGGGAATTATAAAACTCTAAATTTTCTCACAGATTATACAAAAGGGATAAAACTTGTTTTAAACACTGAAGGCACAGCTTTTGACTACCCTCTGCTCTGAGAGGTGGGAGGGCAGGAGGCGTGTTATAATCCTGAAGATGCTAAAAATCCAAGAAGGAAGTCAGTAAGATTTAGTAACATAATAAAATTCTAGACCGACCCCAATCTGTAGGGAGGGATTAAACTAATATTGAGTAGCTAATTGTTACTGTAGTACTTTTTTGTTTTGCTTTTTTGAGACAGGGTCTCACTCTGTCACCCAGGCTGGAGTGCAGTGGCGAGATCATGCCTCACTGCAGCCTTGACCTCCCAGGCTCCAGCAATCCTCCCACTTCAGCTTCCCAAGCAGCTGGGACTACAGGCACCTGTGCCCACGTCCGGCTAATTTTTTAAATTTTTTGTAGAGATAGGGTCTTGCCTTGTTGCCCCAGATGGTCTTAAACTCCTGGGCTCAAGTGATCCTCCTTGGCCTCGCAAGTACTGGGATTACAGACATGAGTTTTTCTTTTCCCCCCGAATCAGCCATTATTAGCTATATGGGGAGTAACCTGTCTCAGCTCTTTGCAATCAATCAAACCCAAATTTTAATTCTCCTTTAGTGCAAGTAGTTAATTCTAGATTCTCATCCACTATTTTAAGTAGAGATTGTTTTGATATTAATTTCTCATGACCAAAAGGAAGAAAACTCCCTAATCTACTCCACTGTGAACAGTTTAGATGCAGGATGACACAATTCCACAGCGATGGCCACATTATCAGGGTGAAACTAATCAGGCAGAAATGAGAGTAACAGGCTACATCTGCCTGTTCCATCAATTAAGGAAATAATGAGAACGTGGTATTGAATTCCGCGACATGAACTTGGGCAGGTGAGGGGAGAATAGAAAGAAAGGCAAAATATCTGTGGTTAAACCACCTCCAAATAATTTATTTTAAATAGGCTTTCTGAGGCATTTCAGTTCAAAAAACTGAAGGGCAGAGGAAAAGAAATGAGGAATTTGCCTCTGGTTAAGAATCACATAAAACATTAGTTTGGGCAAAATCATATATCTGCTATTCAACAGACAATTCTTTTACATACAATGAAAATACTTGTTACTAGAGAGAAACAATGAAGTCCACATGCAACAACCCACAGGCTATCAAATTTCCAGAGGTTCAAGGAGGAATTTTATTAAAATAATACCTTCTTAAAAGCTAAGTAGTTCTTTCACCTTAATCATCATCACCTCCATAAGTTACAACAGCTATCTTTTGCCAAATTATCAAAAGCAACTAGAACTGATTAAACCTTCATGACAGTAAAATCAGATGAGAGGCCAAAGTTCACTGGGACTCTAATATTACTGGCATTGGTCTCCCTTGAGTCGGGTTTGTTGTTTTTAAGCCTCTTGAAACCTTAAGTAAACAAATCTAACTGCCAACGAAAACTAACACACCCAGAAACTCTCAGCGAAACATTTACTTCATAGCTCATAATATAGACCTGTCCTATTCCAGCTACAAGTGGCCTTGCCTGGAGGTAAATGTCGAAAGAAAACACTTCCTAACACCTTCACACTTTAAAGTGAGGGGAAAAAAAAACAGGGCTTCAAGTCAAGGGCAGGGACATAAGAACTATCGTCTCAGTGGTGAATACATACCACAGCCTTCCTGGCTTTCCTAAGACTGCTTCATTTTTGCTCCTTAATTAACCAGAAAAAAATTTCATCTATCTTCCTAGATTTCCTTAAAAATCAGACTTACAGAATGTTAGAGCTAAGCCTTCAAGATATTGTCTTGCCTATAATCCCAGCACTTTGGGAGGCCAAGGCAGGCAGATCACTTGAGGTCAGGAGTTCGAGACCAGCCTGGCCAACGTGGTGAAACCCCATCTCTCCTAAAAATACAAAAAAATTAGTCAGGCATGGTGGTATGCACCTATAGTCCTAGCTACTCGGGAGGCCAAGGCAGGAGAATCTCTTGAACCCGGGAGGCGGAGGTTGCAGTGAGCCAATATTGCACCACTGTACTCCAGCCTGAACGACAGAGCCAGAAGCCGTCTCAAAAAAAAAAAATATATATATATATATATATATTAATGTCTTTACCCCAGACCTGACTAGCAGCAGCCAGCATCCATCTTTAGCCACCCCACTCCCAGTGGCCAAAATAAACCTTCCTGGGAACCTGTGGCCATACCTTCATGACAATAAATCAATCTGCTCAAAGAACCCTGTGATGTCAGTTTCTGAGGTAGCTTCTAACAGGACCCTAACAGGATTTCTTAGAAAAAGTTTCACTCCAAACATCTTTTCATTTTTATTTTTTTCCGAGACAGGGTCTCACTCTGCCATCCAGGCAAGAGTGCCAGTGGCAGAATAACAGCTCACTGCAGCTTCAACCTCCCATGCTCCAGTGATTCTATCACCTCAGCCTCCTGAGTAGCTGGGACTACAGGCATACATCATCATGCCCAGCTAATTTTTTTTTTATTTTTTGTAGAGACAGGGTCCCATTATGTTGCCTAGGTTGTTCTCAAACTCCTGGACTCAAGTGATCCTTCCACCTTGGCCTCCCTAAGTGCTGGGATTCCAAGTGTGAGCCACCACACCTGGCCTCTAAAAAGCTCTAAAAACAGTTTACTAACACTCATTTGGGAGGCATCTTTAAAGAGGAACTTTCCAGGCTTTCAGCAAATCACATCATATAGGAAGCTTGGTAAGATTAATAGTATATATTTTTAAAAGGAAATTTTTCTAATCTGTCTTTGCCTCACTGAAGTATTTCATAATGTTAACTCAGAATTAGTCACTGTGGTTTGTCATGCTGTTATCTATGTCAAAAGTTTTGCCCTCTCCCTCTCCCCCCTCTCCCTCTCCCCACGGTCTCCCTCTCCCTCTCTTTCCACGGTCTCCCACTGATGCCGAGCCGAAGCTGGACTGTACTGCTGCCATCTCGGCTCACTGCAGCCTCCCTGCCTGATTCTCCTGCCTCAGCCTGCCGAGTGCCTGCGATTGCAGGCGCGCGCCACCATGCCTGACTGGTTTTCTTATTTTTTTGGTGGAGACGGGGTTTCGCTGTGTTGGCCGGGCTGGTCTCCAGCTCCGAACTGCGACTGATCCGCCAGCCTCGGCCTCCCAAGGTGCCGGGATTGCAGACGGAGTCTGGTTCACTCAGTGCTCAATGGTGCCCAGGCTGGAGTGCAGTGGCGTGATCTCGGCTCGCTACAACCTCCACCTCCCAGCCGCCTGCCTTGGCCTCCCAAAGTGCCAAGATTGCAGCCTCTGCCCGGCCGCCACCCCGTCTGGGAAGTGAGGAGCGTCTCTGCCTGGCCGCCCATCGTCTGGGACGTGAGGAGCCCCTCTGCCTGGCTACCCAGTCTGGAAAGTGAGGAGCGTCTCTGCCCGGCCGCCATCCCATCTAGGAAGTGAGGAGCGCCTCTTCCCGGCCCCCATGCCATCTAGGAAGTGAGGAGCGTCTCTGCCCGGCCGCCCATCGTCTAAGATGTGGGGAGCGCCTCTGCCCCGCCACCCCGTCTGGGATGTGAGGAGCGCCTCTACCCAGCCGCGACCCCGTCTGGGAGGTGAGGAGCGTCTCTGCCCAGCCGCCCCGTCTGAGAAGTGAGGAGACCCTCCGCCTGGCAACCGCCCCATATGAGAAGTGAGGAGCCCCTCCGCCCGGCAGCCACTCTGTCTGGGAAGTGAGGAGCGTCTCTGCCCGGCAGCTACCCCATCCGGGAGGGAGGTGGGGGGGTCAGCCCCCCGCCCGGCCAGCCGCCCCGTCCGGGAGGGAGGTGGGGGGGTCAGCCCCCCGCCCGGCCAGCCGCCCCGTCCGGGAGGGAGGTGGGGGGGGTCAGCCCCCCCCGGCCAGCCGCCCCGTCTGGGAGGGAGGTGGGGGGGTCAGCCCCCCGCCCGGCCAGCCGCCCCGTCCGGGAGGGAGGTGGGGGGGGTCAGCCCCCCGCCCGGCCAGCCGCCCCGTCCGGGAGGTGAGGGGCGCCTCTGCCCGGCCGCCCCTACTGGGAAGTGAGGAGCCCCTCTGCCCGGCCAGCCGCCCCGTCTGGGAGGGAGGTAGGGGGGTCAGCCCCCTGCCCGGCCAGCCGCCCTGTCTGGGAGGTGAGGGGCCCCTCTGCCCGGCCGCCCCTACTGGGAAGTGAGGAGCCCCTCTGCCCGGCCAGCCGCCCCATCCGGGAAGGAGGTGGGGGGGTCAGCCCCCCGCCCGGCCAGCCGCCCCATCCGGGAGGTTAGGGGCGCCTCTGCCCGGCCGCCCCTACTGGGAAGTGAGGAGCCCCTCTGCCCGGCCAGCCGCCCCGTCCGGGAGGGAGGTGGGGGGGTCAGCCCCCCGCCCGGCCAGCCGCCCGGTCCAGGAGGTGAGGGGCGCCTCTGCCCGGCCGCCCCTACTGGGAAGTGAGGAGCCCCTCTGCCCAGCCACCACCCCGTCTGGGAGGTGTACCCAACAGCTCATTGAGAAAGGGCCATGATGACAATGGCGGTTTTGTGGAATAGAAAGGGGGGAAAGGCGGGGAAAGGATTGAGAAATCGGATGGTTGCCATGTCTGTGTAGAAAGTGGTAGACACGGGAGACTTTTCATTTTGTTCTGTACTAAGAAAAATTCTTCTGCCTTGTGATCCTGTTGATCGGTGACCCTACCCCCAACCCTGTGCTCTCTGAAACATGTGCTGTGTCCACTCAGGGTTAAATGGATTAAGAGTGGTGCAAGATGTGCTTTGTTAAACAGATGCTTGAAGGCAGTATGCTCGTTAAGAGTCATCACCACTCCCTAATCTCAAGTACCCAGGGACACAAACACTGCAGAAGGCCGCAGGGTCCTCTGCATAGGAAAACCAGAGACCTTTGTTCACTTGTTTATCTGCTGACCCTCCCTCCACTATTGTCCTATGACCCTGCCAAATCCCCCTCTGTGAGAAACACCCAAGAATGATCAATAAAAAAAAAAAAAAGTTTAAAAGGCCTGCCACCTGCTATTCCAAAAACACTCTTGCCAATCTTGACCCACGAGAGCACCTTTGGCAATGGTTTCTGTTTATCTCCAAAATGATAAGCAGAAAAATAAAAGGGAGTAGAGGGAAGAAGTAGTTTTTGTTTTGCAAAGGCCAAGTTCTTTCTGCATGATTTTTTTAGAAGCCATTTCTTTTCAAAACCAAGATTCACTCCTTGAAAATGGAAATCTGATTTTCACCTTTTAGTAAAACCATTTCCACTTAGCCCATCCTCTTAAAATTCTGAGTAAAAACCAATGCAACAACCTTTGCAACATATACAAACATTAATTCTAAGAATAAAGTTTAACAAAGCACTAAAAATTCAGACACAAATTTGGGGCTTTAATAAAAGATGTAAAGTTATTTTTTAACACTTACCCACTCCTCGACATTGGGGGGCTGCTCATCATAAATGTGTTCCTTGTCCCACAAAATATTGGACTTGTCATACCTGTCCATCTTTCTTCGAGTTTTCACAGCAAAGAAAATTATTAAAGCAAAAGCCACAATAATCATGAACCCCAGTACAATGGCAATGGCCTAAAAAGGAGTGGAAAATATTGGCATAATTAGATTTTAATTGCTTAATCACAATTCACCCTCTACATATTATTAAAACCCTTATCTACCCTAAGGCCCTACTAAATCCATGTGGTTTAATTGATAGAAAACTGAAGCAAATAGTTACATTTCAGACATATCATAAAACCTAACCCACACTAACTGGGCTAAGGCCAGCAAATGTACACACACGTACATACTGCTTGACTCAATCCTCAGAAAATGCCTAATGTTAGGAACTATCAATCATCACCCTCATTTCAGAGCTGTAAAAAACTAGTTCCAAAGCTTGTACACCTACGGGCCAAGCTTTGTGCACCTACGAGAATGGCCAGTAAAGTAACTCAATCATTGGTATACTTCTAAAGGGCCTGAAAAATGCTACTCTCAAAAGTATTCACAGCTTTGAAATAGCCAATCATGCTTGTAATCTTGTTCAAAACATATGCTTGGCAAGCCTTTTTACACTGAATGTAAATTTCTGTCCATAGATCTCTATCTTACCAAAAATGATGAAGACATGGATCTAATCAAGCTATAAATAGCAAATTGACTAATGATTGATTTGGTCTGGCAGGTTTCTCTGTTTCAGGAGTCTTGCATACTACTAGAAAGGGCCCTGTAACAAAGAAACTTCCTACTCTTAACAGTTCTCCCAGTGGTGATAGGATATTAAATGGTATATTGGCCTGGGAGGCACTTGAAGTTGAGGGAAATATCAGGCCTCTACCCTGGATGTCTGCTAATGGGAACAAGAGGCTCTCCTTCCAGCTGTCTTGACAGTGACATCATTTTTCAAAGAGTAAGTAGTAAGAGAACTAAGAGGGATAGGGGTGTGGTAGGATAGGAGTACCAACCCTCAGTCCCTATCTACCATGGACATGTCTAAATGGCAACAACGAGCACTGTGAAAACCTACGTCTGCAGGGAAAACCTTCAGTCTTCTAAATAATGGTAGACAGATACTAGAGGTCTAACTCCAAAGGAGTGACTCATTCAGGAATGGGAACTCCTGAGTTAGTGTAAGAAAAAAGGAAAAACAAGGGAAAAAAGATCAGTAACTCAGAAACATTTCAGATATTAATATAATCAGTATGACTCATGGTTACTAAAGTAGGTTTCTCAACTCCAACCTGCACATTTGAATCACTTGCTTAGCTTTTAAACATACTAACTTACACTCTGAAAACTATAAAACACTATTAAAAGAAGTTTAACAAGACCTACATAAATCAAAAGAATCTTACGTTCACGAATCAGAAGACTTGTAATTGTAAAGATGACAATACATCCAAAATTGACCTACAGATTCAATATAACCCTTCAAAATCCTAGCTGGCATTTTTTTCCAAAATTGACATGCTGATCTTAAAATCCATATGGAAATGCAAGGAATCCAGAATCTAGCCAAAACAGTCTTGAAGAACAAAGTTGGAGAACTCCCACTCCACAATTTCAAAACTTACTATAAAGTTACAGTAATCAAGACAGTATGGTACTGGCATTAGGACATATGATTAATGCAGCTGAACTGAGAGCCCAGAAATAAATGTCCACATTTATGATCAATTCATTTTTGACAAAGGCATGAAGAAAACTTAGTGGAGGAACAGTCCTTTCAACAAGTAACACTGAGACAACTGCATATAAACATGCGAAAGCTTTCAGAACCCTTGCTTCCATCATGCCCAAAATTAACACAACATGAATCACAGACCTAACTGTAAAAGCTAAAATTATGAAACTATAGAAAAATTAAATAATAGAAAACATAGGAGTAAATCCTTGTGACCCTGAATTAGGCAAAGCATTAGATATGACACCAAAAATACAAGCAACAGAAGAAAAATTAAATAAACTGGACATCATCAAAACTAAAAATTTTTTTTTCTTTTTTTTTTTTTTGAGACAGAGTTTTGCTCTTGTTGTCTAGGCTGGAGTGCAGTGGCACAATTTCAGCTCACTGCAACCTCCACCTCCTGGGTTCAAGTGATTCTCCTGCCTCAGCCTACTGAGTAGCTGGGATTACAGGCACGCCACCGTGTCCAGGTAATTTTTCTATTTTTAGTAGAGATGGAGTTTCACCATGTTGGCC
The DNA here is from genome assembly GCF_000001405.40 of Homo sapiens. Lineage (NCBI taxonomy): Eukaryota > Metazoa > Chordata > Mammalia > Primates > Hominidae > Homo > Homo sapiens. The sequence continues at coordinate 178,397 of NW_025791777.1, read as the reverse complement.
AGGCTGGTCTCGAACTCCTGACCTCAGGTGATCCGCCCACCTTGGCCTTCCAAAGTGCTGGGATTACAGGCGTGAGCTACCATGCCCGGCCCAAAACTAAAAGCTTTTATGCAAAGGACACCATCAAGAAAGTGAAAAGATGCCTATAATCCCAGCGGTTTGGAAGGCCAAGGCAGGATCACTTGAGCCCAGGAGTTCCAGCCCAGACCGGGCAACAAAGTGAGACCCTGTCTCTACAAAAAAATTTTTAAAAAATTATCCGGGTGTGGTGGCATGCCCCTGTGGTCCTAGCTACTCAGGAGACTGAGGTAGGAGGGTCACTTGAGCCCAGGAGGTCAAGGATGCAGTGAGCTGTGACTGCACCACTGCACCCCAGCCTGGGTGACAGTGAGACTCTGTCTCAAAAACAAAACAACAACAAAAATAGCCCAATTAAAACATGGGCAAGTCTAGGCCGGGCGCAGTGGCTCACACCTGTAATCCCAGCACTTTGGAGGCCGAGGCGGGCGGATCACGAGGTCAGAAGATAGAGACCATCGTGGCTAACACGGTGAAACCCCATCTCTACTAAAAATACAAAAAAAAAAAAAAAAATTAGCTGGGCGTGGTGGCCGGTGCCTGTAGTCCCAGCTATTCAGGAGGCTGAGGCAGGAGAATGGTGTGAACCCAGGAGGCGTAGCTCACAGTGAGCAAAGATTACACCACTGCACTCCAGCCTGGGCGATAGAGCAAGACTCCGTCTCAAAAAGAAAAAAAAAATGGACAAGTCTAAACAGCCATTTCTCCAAAGATAAGAGAGAAATGGCCAATAAGTACATGACTATATAGCTAATAACATTAGCTATAAAGAAAATACGAATCAAAATCACAATAAAGCACCACTTCACTTCTCACCCATCAGCATGGCTAGAATCAGACAATAACAAGTGTTGGTGAGGATGTGGAGAAATTGGAACTTTCATACATTTCTGATGTGAATGTAAAATGATGCAAACTCTTTGGAAAAACTCTGGTAGCTCCCCAAAAGATTAAAGAGTCACCATATGACCCAGCAATTCCACCCCTAGGTATAACCCAACTCAAGAAATCATTAAAACATAGGTTCACACAAAAACGTATACAAGAATGTCTATAGCATGATTCTTTTTTTTTGAGATGGAGTCTTGCTCTGTCGCTCAGGCTGGAGTGCAGTGGCGCAATCTCAGCTCACTGCAAGCTCCGCCTCCCGGGTTCACGCCATTTCTTCTGCCTGAGCCTCCCGAGTAGCTGGGACTACAGGTGCCTGCCACCATGCCCAGCTAATTTTTTTTGTATTTTTAGTAGAGACGGGGTTTCACCTTATTAGCGAGGATGGTCACAATCTCCTGACCTCATGATCCGCCCGCCTCAGCCTCCCAAAGTGCTGGGATTACAAGCATGAGCCACCGTGCCCAGTCTAGCATGATTCTTAATAGCCAATGTAGACACAAATGTCTATCAACTGATAAATAAAATGTGGTTTATCCACACACTGGAATATTAGCAATAAAAAGGAATGAGAGAATGGCACAAGCTATGACATGGGTAAACCTTAAAAACATTATGCTACGTAAAAGAAGCCCATCACAAAGACCACATTGTGTGATTCCATTTATATGAAATACCTAGAGAATAGACAAATTTATAGATGTAGGATTAGTGGTTGCCTAGGGCTAAGAATGGTTAGGGAAATGAGGAGTGACCGCTAACGGGTACAAGTTTCTTTTTAGGATAGTGAAAATGTTCTAAAATTGATTGTGGTGATGGTGGCACAATTCTGTGAATATATTAAAAACCACTGAACTGTTATTTAAGTAATCAAATTACATGGTATGTTAATCATATCTTAATGAGACTCAGCCCCTCCCCCAGATTTAATTAGAAGTGGAGCCTTGTCATCAATATTTTTTAAGAGTTTCCAGAGTGATTCTATCACATATCTCAAGTTGAAGGCCTCTGCTAAGGAGATGGAGAAAAAACCCAAAACACCACTCATACCTCCTGGGGATCCACAACACAGTAGTGATACAAATACTGATCCACGTAGAGTCCAGTAGCTGCAGGTGTATAAAATTGGTTGCAGAGGGCATATATTTGTGAACCATATAGAGATCCAGAAGACTGAGCAGTTGGGTTCACTCCCATTATATAGACAATTGTGGCAATAAACACCATGATGCCCAGGATAGCACTCACTATTATCACACTTAAGTAGTATCTTCTTGTTCTGGACATTTCAGATCTTATAACACTGGTAACAAAGATCACCAACGCGGCAATGAAACAAAAGGCAGCCATGGCCAACATGAAGCCCTTTGCTGCTCTTGGGTCTGTATAGCCTCCGTAGCCATAGCCATAACCATAGCCATAGCCATAGCCACTTCCGTAGCTACCAAAGCCACTTCCTCCATAAGGGTAGCCTACACTACCTCCTAAAAGGGAAGTTCCATAGCCTCTGTCCCAGGCAAGCGTGGAGGCCACACAGGCAAAGATGGCAATGCACATCACAATAATGAGCATAGACAGGATCCGAATCACTCCTGGAGGAGAGGTCCATTTGTAGAAGTGAAGAATTTCATCTTCTGGGTAAAAAGAGTAGGCTGGCTGAGAGAGCATTGGTCGAACATGCATCTCTCCACCATATATGTCATTGCTTGGTGCATAATGATTCGGTTTGCTGAAATGAACATGAAAATAATTTCAAGTTAGCATTTTTTGGTAGTAAGCAGAAAGAACACAACTTATTTGGAATAATTTAAACCATTGGGTAAATGAAACTAAAGCTTATCTGTGCACAGGAATCACCTGGAGGGCTTGTTAAAACATAAGATTATTGGCCTCTAGCCACAACCCATTCTGCTCAGACATTTGGGTTATCTCTGTTTGGGGGTATTGTAAACAGTTTAACTATAAACATCCTTGAATGTGTATTCTGGTACGGAACAGTACTTATTTTTCTAGGGTATATAACCAGGAGAATTTCTGGATCACATATTTTTATATCTTCAACTTCACTAGACAGTATCAAACTGTTTTCCAAAGTGATTGTACCAATTACCTACAGTGGAATGGGTAACTGTAATATATCCATACAATGGAATACTCCATAGCTATACTGTCCAATGTGGCAGCCACTAGCCACTTGGGTCTATCATACACTTGAAATGTATCTAGTCCGGCTGGGCACGGTGGCTCATGTCTGTAATCCCAGCACTTTGGGAGGCCAAGGCGGGTGGATCACTTGAGGTCAGGGGTTCAAGACCAGCCTGGCCAACATGGTGAAACCCCATCTCTACTAAAAATACAAAAATTAGCCAGACGTGGTGGCATGCGCCTGTAATCCCAGCTACTCAGGAGGCTGAGGCACGAGAATTGCTTGAACCCGGGAGGTGGAGGTTGCAGTGAGCCGAGATCGTGCCATTGCACTCTACCCTGAGTGACAGAGCAAGACTCCGTCTCAAAAAAAAAGAAATGTGGCTAGTCCAAACTGAGATACGCTGTTAAAATGCACAGTGGAGAGTCTGAGGTGGGCAGATCACTTGAGGCCAGGAGTTTGAGACCAGCCTGGAGAACATGGTAAAACCCTATCTCTACTAAAAATACAAAAATTAGCCAGGCATGGTGACACATGCCTGTAATCCCACTTACTTGGGAGGCTGAGGCACGAAAATCAAGAATCCCTTGAACCCAGGAGGCAGAGGTTGCAGTGAGCTGCGATCACACCCACTGCACTCCAGCCTGGGTGACAGGGCAAAAAAATTTAAAAATGCACAATGGATTTCAAAGATATAATATGAAGAAAGAATGTAAAATATTTCCTGAATCATTCATTTTTTACATCAATCACGTGATGAAGTAATGTTTTAGATATACAAGATTAAGTGAAATATATTAAAATTAATTTCTTCTTTTGGCCAGGCACGGTGGCTCACGCCTGTAATCCCAGCACTCTGGGAGGCCGAGGCGGGTGGATCACCTGAGGTCAGGAGTTCGAGACCGGCCTGGCTATCCTGGTGAAACCCCATCTCTACTGAAAATACAAAAACTAGTTGGGCGTGGTGGTGTGTGCTTGTAATCCCAGCTACTTGGGAGGCTGAGGCAGGAGAATCACTTGAACCCAGGAGGTGGAGGTTGCAGTAAGCCGAGACCGTGCCATTGCACTCCAGCCTGGGCAAAAAGAGCAAAACTCTGTCTTAAAAAAAAAAAATTATCTTTTTATTTTTAATGAAAGTATAAAATTACATATATGGCTCATGTTATATTTCTACAGTGCTATGAAGCCAAAACTGATGAACTATGAATACATGCAGTTACAGGTAATGCTGAAAAAAATGAAAAAATACATATCGCATTATTATATTTACATAAAGTTTTAAAACAGGTAAAACTGGCCAGATGTGGTGGCTCACACCTATAATCCCAGCACTTTAGGAGGTGGGCGGGTCACCTGAGGTCAGGAATTTGAGACCAGCCTGGCCAACATGGCGAAACCCCGTCTCTACTAAAAGCATAAAAATTGGTTGTGCATTGTGGTGGTTACCTGTAATCCCATCTACTTGGGAGGCTGAGGCAGGAGAATTGCTTGAATCCAGGAAGTGGAGGTTGCAGTGAGCCAAGATTGTGCCACTGCACTCCAGCCTGGGCAACAAAGTGAGAGTCTGTCTCAAAAATAAATAAATAAAACAGGTAAAACTAAACTGAAATGTTTAGGATATACAAGATGATAAAATGATAAAAGCAGGTAATGATCATACGTCAGGACAGTGGTCTCCAGAGAAAAGGAGAGGACACAGGGAAGGACTTTGAAGTGTTCTGTTTCTTGACCTGGGTGATGAGTATGTATGTTTGCTTGGTCTTTCCTCATGATCTCCTACATATGTTCTGTGTCCTTTTCTTTATGTATGTTGCAGTTCACCATTATTTACAAAAGCAACACAAAATAAGTGTCAGATTAGTGGTGCATTACTCAATTACTATATTCTCTAGTATGTTTTAAAAACTGTATTGTCATAAACAACTTGTGTCCCCACCATGTTTTAGGCACTAGTAAGGAGGTTAAAGAACTGGAACACAACCTTCACGTGATATTGTAAAATATGTATTTAGTCTTCATCTCCATTTTCTGGCATACAACTCCTAAAATCTTTGGACTCTCCAAAGTGATAAGTATCCCTTATATGCTAATGAGATGATAGGTTCCTGGCAGCCCTAGGAAGCTTCAGGATGGGAGCTAGGATTAGAGGGTTGGAACTTTTCAGCCCCAACCCTCTCTGGACAGAAAAGAGGGGCTGAAGCTTAAACTGCTCACCAATGGCCAATGATTTAGTCAATCATGCCTATGTCATAAAGCTTCCATAAAAACCCAAAAGGACCGAATTCACAGAACTTCTGGACAGCTGAACATGTGCAAGTTCCTGGAGGGTGGCACAACCAGGGAGGGCTGCTTCCCACATACCTCGCCCTGTCCACCTCTTCATCTGGTGTTTGTTGGCATCCATTGTAATATCATTTGTTTGTTCATTCATTCATTCATTCTTAAAAGACAGGGTTTCCCTATGTTGCCCAGGCTGGCCTCAAACTCCTGGGCTCAAGCAATCCTCCTGCCTCAGCCTTCTGAGTAGCTGGGATAACAGGCATGCACCACCACACCTGGCTTTTGTAATACCCTTTATAATAAACCAGTAATGGTAAGTACTGTTTCCCTGAGTTCTGCAAGCCACTTTAGCAAATTAATTGCACCCAAGGAGACAACTGTGGGAATCCTGATTTACTGTAGGTGGGTCAGAAACACAGGCCACAACCTGAGCTTGTGGCTGCTACGTGAAGTGGGGGCAGTCTTGTGGGAATGAGCCCTGAACCTGTGATCTGATGCTATCTCTGACAGTGTCAGAATTGAACTGATAATTAGAGGACACACAGCTATTGTCCACTGTAGAACTGATTACTTGGTTGCTGGTGGGGAAATATCCCCACAAATTCTGGTGATCAGAGGTCACAGATGTGTTGTGACAGAACAGCAGGAGAAACTGTTTGTTTTTGCCTATATCACACTCCACTACACTTATCATGGTTAAAGCTGCAAACTACTTAGAGGAGGAAATCCCTATCAATGTTTGATAGCAAATTTGGAATTCAAAAATTCACTGATAAGTCTTCACATGACCAAGGAGCCCAAAACCCCTCAACACTGCTTGTTTTAGATCATGGCAGGAATCACTCTTAAAACTGACAGTATGGAAAGTATTATGCTAAGTGAAAGAAGCCAGTTACAAAAGGCCACATATTACGTGATTTCTCCATTTATACAAAATATGCAGAATAGACAAATCTATAGAGACAGAAAGTAGACCAATAGTTGCTTAGGGCTGATGGAACTGGGAGGTGACTGCCAATGGATAGGTTTCTTTGGAGAGTAATGAAATGTTCTAAAATTAATTGTGGTGATGGTTCTACAACTCTGTGAATATACTAAAAACCATTAAACTATCCATTCTAAATGGGTAAATTGTAAAGTATGTTAATTATATCTCAATAAAGCTGTTATTTTTATTTATTTATTTATTTTTTGAGACGGAGTTTTGCTCTTGTCACCCAGTCTAGAGTGCAATGGCGCCATCTCAGCTCACCTCAACCTCCGCCTCCTGGGTTCAAGCGATTCTCCTGTCTCAGCCTCCCAAATAGCTGCAATTATAGGCATGCATCACCATGCCCGGCTAATTTTGTATTTTCAGTAGAGATGGGGGTTTCTCCACGTTGGTCAGGATGGTCTTAAACTCCCGACCTCAGGTGATCCACCCGCCTCGGCCTCCCAAAGTGCTGGGATTACAGGCATGAGCCACCAGGCCTGGCCTTTTTTCTTTTTTTCAGACGGAGTCTCGCTCTGTCTCTAGGCTGGAGTGCAGTGGCGTGATCTCGGCTCACTGCAACCTCCACCTCCTGGGTTCAAGTGAATCTCCTGCCTCAGCCTCCCAAGTAGCTGGGATTACAGGCAAGTAGCTGGGATTAGAGGTGCGCGCCACCACAGCCAGCTAATTTTTGTATTTTTAGTAGAGACGGGAGTTCACCATGTTGGCCAGGATGGTCTCGATCTCTTGACCTTGTGATCCGCCAGCCTCGGCCTCCCAAGGTGCTGGGATTACAGGCGTGAGCCACCGCACCCGGCCTAAAGCTGTTATTTTTAAAAACTGACAATATGTTCCCAATGGCCACCTAAATGAGGCATTTAAATGGAAGCTTCATTATCATTTGTACAAAACAAAAAGGAACATACAAATATAAACCTTGGCAATCTCTTGAAACAAACATTAGGAATAGGTGACAGCAGTTGTCCTAGCAGAGACAAACTGTCATTCTGAAAGTTGAGAGAAATTCAGTTTTCAGTGCAGACCCTTTGATACAATTTAAATTTACAAGTACACATATCGTTTTATTTTTAAAAGCAAACACTTAAAGTTTCAACCATACTTATTGTTTACATGTGATAGACTTTTTAAAAGAGAATAACTAAAGAATTATTTACTTACAATTCATCAGGCCTGTAAGGAGGTGGACTTTCAAGAGGCCTGGATGACATGGCTGATTGTCAATGGTCAGCTGATCTTCAGGATGAGCAATGCCCTTTAGCTTCCAAGATAAACCAATCTAAGCAACAAAAGTAGAGTTATGGCATTACTACTAAGCTCACAGTTTCTTTCTTTTCTTCATCCCACCCCCACCCCGAGACAGGGTCTCACCCTGTCACCCAGGCTGGAGTGCAGTGGTCCAATCACAGCTCACTGCAGCCTTGATCTACCAGGCTCAAGTACTCCTCCTACCTCAGCCTCCCAAGTAGCTAGGACTACAGACCTGCACCACCATGCCTGGCTAATTCCTGTATTTTTTGTACAAAAATTTGAAATATATATAATTTCATATTACTTTTGAAAGTTCATATTAAATGAGAATGTATAAGAAAGTGCACATATAGCCGCACTAGCACATACTAGCTCCTCAATGCAAAGTAACCATCTAATGGGTTAAATGCCTTTATCATTAAAAATGATAATAAAATGCATCTATAAATGGTGGAATTGTAGATATTTTTCCCTTATCTCCTTTTCCAAGTCTTCGAAACTGAGCACAATTTTTATACAAGGGGAGAAAAAACAATATGCATGGTATTAATTGGTCATTTTCTGAAATTTTGTCCTAAAATTCTTCAGCACAAGTTCCTAAACATCTGAGGAGAAATTTCACTCAACAAGCATTTATTAAGTGCCTACACTAGACCAGGAGAGCCTGTGGGAGTGACGTATGACAGCCAGCGCTGGGGTCCTGGCTCTTCCAGGCTGGTGTGGTGCTGATAACACAGGTGGCTAGCTTATGGAACAGTGAAGTGGGAGCATGGTGGAATGGTGTCATCTTTTAAAATAAGGTTACAGTAAGAATATAGTGGATGGAGGATGAGTAAGAAAAGGGAGGGCTTTGAAAGTCTAGTGGGAGTGTCTCACTTCCTTCAGGTAGGAAACAGGGAGCCAGTTCGTGATTCTCGGCAAGGGAGGTGTAAGTTTGATTTGAACCAGATTTGAAAGACAAAGTCAACAGTAAAAAGGAGCACCTACAGTCAGCAGCAGCAAACCTAGGTGTGAGGCAACAATGAAGGACTAGCTTAGGAGACAGAAGATAGGAAGGAAACTAACATTCATCAGACACCTACCGACGTGCTGGGTGCTTTACATAAAACCTCCTTTCATCCTCAAAACGACCCTCCATGGTTGATTAGTCACTTTACAGATGCAAAGAGGGTCAGAAAGAGATGTGAAGTAATATGCTCAAGGTTATATGGATGTCAGTGAGTCACTCAGATGTAACTTGAACCCAGATGATTTCATGTGCTTTTCACTATGCTAGTTTGAAACAATGAGTTCCATTTGGGAAACACCAGTTTTTGTGGGGAGTGCACATCTGGTGTTAGCATCCATGAGGAAGTGAAGATGGAGGTCATCTGCCTACGTCCGTAGGTGGATCCATGGGCACTGAGAGCTCTCCAGGAAAAAGACAAGTCTCAGCAAGATGTGGTAAACACACAACCCCCTAACCTATAAAGCTTGAGGATTATTCTAGAAAACCCAGTGCTGGAGACACTGGCAAGGTACTTCCCACATCAGCTACAGAACTTCATGCCACTCCTTAGCTATGTTGAACCAACAATAAATTCTTTCCAGGTTATACCAGTGATTAGTAGAGTAGGGAACTTTGAGATCTACTGGAAGGTAAATTCCATGTGAGCAGGAATTTTTGCATGTTTTGTTCACTGATTAAATCAATGCCTGGCACATAGTAGACGTCCAGATAATTTGTTGAATGTTTACAGGAACCAGATTGGACCATGGATATCTCTGCCTGCAAAACCTCTTGTGCTTTCAAGTTGAAGGTAACGGAAAAGTATCAGAGTAACTTTAAAAGGTATGATCCCTGAATGACACTTGAGTAACATCTATAATGAGTACATTAAAGTATCTGATATTTTTTTCCTTTTCTAATACGGTCTGTACAATCATACATTAATATATTAACAACAGTACATCAATTCAGACTCTTAAAACTTTTTTTTAAATTAATGGCAACTCTTTTTTTTTTTTTTGAGCCGAGTCTCGCTCTGTCACCAGGATGGAATGCAATGGCATGATCTCAGCTCACTGCAATCTCCGCCTCCCGGCTTCAAGCGATTCTCCTGCCTCAGCCTCCCGAGTAGCTGGGACTACAGGCGCACGCTGCCACGCCCGGCTAATTGTTTGTATTTTTAGTAAAGATGGGGTTTCACCATGTTGCACAGTCTGGTGTCAAACTCCTGAGCTCAGGCAATCTGCCCTCCTTGGCCTCCCAAAGTGCTGGGATTACAGGCATGAGCCACCACGCCCCACCTGGCAACTCTCTTCTATACCCTTTAGGACAGTGTATTTCAAATCTCTCAGAATTAAACCCTGCCCAACTATGTATTAGATAAATCCTCAAAGATGGAAATATATAGAATGTTAATAACACCAACACAATTAGCATAATTTTCCAAAGACATGAAGGAAGATGACTTTTCTACATTTTTAAAAGCCACTTTTAAAGTATACCATAGAGAAAAGTGCACAAATCATAAGTGTACACAGCCCTGTAACTAGCACTCAAGTCAATTTCTCTATACTTTTTTTTTTTTCTTTTGAGACAAGGTCTCATTCTGTTGCCCAGGATGAAATGCAGTGCCATCATCTCAGCTCACTACAACCTGCCTCCCAGGCTCAAGCAATCCTCCTGCCTCAGCCTCACAAGTAGCTGGACTACAGGCACATGCCACCACGCCTGGCTAATTTTTGTATTTTTAGTAGAGATAAGGTTTCACCATGTTGCCCAGGCTGGTCTCAAACCCCTGAGCTCAAGCTATCCACCTGCCTTGGCCTCCCAAAGTACTGGGATTACAGGCATGAGCCAATACACCTGGCCAATTTCTCTATATTCTAGTAATGGTGAAACACACATACAAATGAGCAATTTAGGCGAAAATGTTATGGTACTATAAAAAGGCAAAAGTCCAGATTGTCTTCAGAAAAAGAACATTAAGGAATACTGAATTTAGGCCAGGTGAGGTGGCTCACACCTGTAATTCCAGCACTTGGGAGGTGGAGACAGGTGGATCACCCTAGGTCAGGAGTTCGAGACCAGCCTGGCCATCATGGCAAAACCCCGTCTCTACTAAAAATACAAAAATTAGCTGGGCATGGTGGCACGTGCCTGTAATCCCAGCTACTTGAGAAACTGAGGCATGAGAATCGCTTGAGCCCGAGGTGGAGGTTGCAGTGAGCCAAGATTGTGCCACTGCACTCCAGCGTGGGTGACAGAGCAAGACTCCTTTAAAAAAAAAAAGTAAAACAGAAAATCTGAAGTTAAGCACTATTAAATGTGGGATCCTAGTTCTGAAGCTGAATGTCAAATATCCCCAAATTCTAGGTTCAGTGGTAGTTTTGGAAACTCTAAATTAATCCAGACTCAGTCTTAAGTTGTCAAAAATTCAAACAAGATCCCTTTTCAAACTGCTATTTCCAGGATTCAGAGTTGTCACGTCTCCCCAAAAGCACGGATTTTAAATTGTGAACCAAATCATGTGGCTCATGCCTGTAATCCCAGCACTTTGGGAGGCCGAGGCAGGTGGATCACATGAGGTCTGGAGTTCAAGACCAGCTGACCAATGTGGTGAAACCCTATCTCTACTAAAAATACAAAAAATTAGAGGGGCGTGGTGGTGCATGCCTGTAAACCCAGCTACTTGGGAGGCTGAGGTAGCAGAATTGCTTGAACCTGGGAGGCGGAGTTCGCAGTGAGCCAGTATTGCGCCATTGCACTCCAGCCTGGGCAAAAAGAGCAAAACTCCGTCTCAAAAAAAAAAAAAAAGAAAAGAAAGCTCGTTAAGAACAAGTCATGCCACACCAACTTCATTTCCTTTTCTGGGAAGGTTACCAAACTGGTGGATTTTATTTTCTCCTTTATTATTTCCTCTTCAGGGAATGCAGAGAGAAAGAATCCTGAAAATCTTGAGCACATCCTTGTGTGGGTGGGCAGATTCCCAAGGGGCTGGATTACGGCACCCAATTAGCACAAAAGAATGAACCATTTATGTCCACCTGGTGGGAGGTCTCCACTGGTAAACACAGACAAAGTGGAGGAGACACGCTTATCCAGATTTGCAGCTGACCAAACACACTGGAAAGGATAACTAACCCATTGGCTAGGGCCATCAACACTAAGCAAGATCTCTGTAATGTCAGAATGATGAGTTTGAAACAACCTAGTGGTTTTAACAGCCCCCATTTACTGGCTCGCAATCTGAGACAAATTCCTTATCTCCTCTAAGTGCACTCAAATGCGGGAATAATCCTGACCTCTGCACTGGGATAAGAAAAAGTCTTAAAGAGCTGGGCGCAGTGGTTCACGCCTGTGATCCCAGCACTTTGGGAGGCCGAGGCGGGTGGATCACGAGGTCAAGAGATCAAGACCATCCTGGTCAACATAGTGAAACCCTGTCTCTACTAAAAAAATACAAAAATTAGCTGGGCTTGGTGGCGCGCGCCTGTAGCCCCAGCTACTCAGGAGGCTGAGGCAGGAGAATCGCTTGAATCCAGGAGGAGGAGGTTGCAGTGAGCTGAGGTCACGCCACTGCACTCCAGCCTGGCGACGGAGCGAGACTCCGGCTCAAAAAAAAAAGAAAGAAAAAAACCACAAGAAAAAGTCTTCAAGAAAATGGGCAACTGCATTCATCATAAGGTGGTTATCCTGAAAGTAAGAAATTTCAGTGCTTAGGCACTTAGGTATATTGTATCCATTTTCAAATACAGCTGACCCTCCACATCCATGGGTTTTAAATTCTGATTCAACCAACCTCAGACAGAAAATATTCAGGGGAAAAAAAAATTAAAAATTACAGGGCAGGTACAGTGGCTCACACCTGTAATCCCAACACTCTAGGAAGCTGAAGCAGGAAGATCACTTGAACCCAGGAGTCCAAGACTGACCACAGCAACATAGTAAGACCCCATCTCCACAAAAAATTTTTCTTAAAATTAGCCAGGCATGGTGGCACATCCCTGTAAGTTCCAGCTACTCAAGAGACTGAGATGGGAGGATCTCTTGAGCAGAGGAAGTTGAGGCTGGAGTGATCATGCCACTATACTCCAGCCTGAGTAACAGTAATACCCTGTCTAAAAAAATAATAAACAATAAAACAAAAAATAGATTTTTAAAACTACAATATCACAATTCTACATAGTATTTACATTGTATACGGTATTATAACTAGAGATTATTTAAAGTCTACAAGAGGTCTGGGTGCAGTGGCTCACACCTGTAATTCCAGCTCTTTGGGAGCCCAAGACGGGCGGATCACTTGAGGTCAGGAGTTCGAGACCAGCCTGGCCAACATGGTGAAACCCTGTCTCTACTAAAAATACAAAAATTAACTGGGATTGTGCCGGGTGCCTGTAATCCCAGCTACTCAGGAGGCTGAGGCAGGAGAATCGCTTGAGCCCAGGAGGCAGAGTTTGCAGTGGGCCAAAATTGCATCACTGCACTCCAGCCTAGATGATGGAGTGAGATTCTGTCTCAAAAAAACAATTAAAAAAAAAAGTATACAAGAGCATTTAGGCCATATGCAAATACAAAGCTATTTTATAACAAGGACTTCAGCATCCTCAGATTTTAGTATCATGGGGGTCCTGGAAGCAACCTCTCACAGATACTGAAGGGTGACTATATTGGTGGCATAAATGAGTCATTTTTAAAATGTAAACTGATTTTTTTTTTTTTTGAGACAGGAGTCTTGCTCTGTCATCCAGCCTGGAATGCAATGGCGTGATCTCGGCTCAATGCAACCTCCACCTCCCAGGTTCAAGCAATTCTCCCACCTCAGCCTCCTGAGTAGCTGAGATTACTGGCACATGCCACCAGGCCAGGCTAATTTTTGCATTTTTAGTAGAAACGGGGTTTCACCATGTTAACCAAGCTGGTGTCAAACTCCTGACCTCAGGTGATCCACCCACCTCAGCCTCCCAAAGTGCTGGGATTACAGGCATGAGCCACCATGCCCAGCCATAAACTGAATTTTTAAAAAGTCAATTCCATAGTACAGTATAGAGGAGAACTAATTTAATAATCGTTCATTTTTTTTTTTTGAGACGGAGTCTCGCTCTGTCGCCTAGGCTGGAGTGCAGTGGCGGGATCTCGGCTCACTGCAAGCTCCGCCTCCCGGGTTCACGCCATTCTCCTGCCTCAGCCTCCCAAGTAGCTGGGACTACAGGCGCCCGCCACTACGCCCGGCTAATTTTTTGTATTTTTAGTAGAGACGGGGTTTCACCGTTTTAGCCGGGATGGTCTCGATCTCCTGACCTCGTGATCCGCCCGCCTCGGCCTCCCAAAGTGGTTCATTTTTAAAGGTGCATTTCTTTGGTAAGAATTTCAACAAAAGCTAACAACCTATCCCAAACTTTATTCACAGAAATAGTGCTCATATCTAGGAATAATATGCTATTAAAAAGAACAAACAAAACCTGATTTGTACATCACATTCTAAACTATGTGCCTCTCCAGGAGGGTGACTAAGATCATTAAAGATCTAGAAAAGCTGGCCAGGCACCGTGGCTCACGCCTGTAATCCCAGCACTTTGGGAGGACGAGGCGGGTGGATCACAAGGAGATCGAGACCATCTTGGCCAACACGGTGAAACCTCGTCTCTACTAAAAATACAAAAATTAGTTGGGCATGGTGGTGTGTGCTTGTAATCCCAGCTACTTGGGAGGCTGAGGCAGGAGAATTGCTTGAACCCAGGAGGCAGAGGTTGCAGTGAGCCAAGATTGTGCCACCGCACTCCAGCCTGGCGACACAGTGAGACTCTGGCTCAAAAAAAAAAAAAAAAAAAAAAATCTAGAAAAACCATGTCTTAAGACAAATGATTGGAAAAACAGGAAATGTTTGGCCTGGAGAACTTAACGTCAGAAAAATCGCTTTAGCAGCCCTGAAATATATGAAGAGCTGTCTTTGTTATCCTAGAAATGGTTAAAAAAAAAAATTCCAAAAACCACAGGCTGATTTCATCTCAATGTTAGGAAGCCTCTCCCTCACCCTGACCCCACACCCTCTCCGAAAATAACTAACAACAATTTGAGCTCATGCAATTTATGCAAAGCTTAAGTTATTTGATATTTTTTTGGAGACCAGACTGGAAGACTTCTAAGGTCTCTTTCAAAGTGAATCTGTGACTGTGCTTTAAGGCCAGCAGCCAAAGGTGAAAGAGGACCAATGCCCAGCACAGCAACATTAACAATCTGTACATGTGTTGAGTGAAGGAAAAAATGAGAATGAAGAGGCCACTTATCACCTACAGGAACTTATGTCAGGAGAGTGACAAGGACAGAAGTCAGACAGCTAAATTAGAGTCGGGGGCAAAAGGGAAGCAGCAGATAGATCCTTGTCAAATATGTTAATCTGAAAACCAGCATCTTGGGCTAATGATAAAATATAAAGTGTTCTCCCCTTGACAATGTTTACTGACCAAAAGCTGTCTTAATGGAAAACTAAGCTAAGATGAAAAAAACAGGCTGAGGCTGGGCAAGGTGGCTCACACTTGTAATCCCAGTACTTTGGGAAGCCAAGGCAGAGGGATTGTTTGAGCCCAGAACTTCAAGATCAGGCTGGGCAACAGAGTAAGACTCCGTTCTCTATCTTAAAAAAAAAAAAAAAAAAAAAAGTATAAAAAAAGAAAAAATAGTCTGAAAATGCTTTGGCCTCAAATTATTCTTTAAAGAAAACTGTCAATAAGTGAAAAATAAACTTTATTGTATTTAAGAGAAGTCTGTTCCTTTTAGAGCACATGCAGTAACTGTCAATTTGCCTTTAAAAAGTTTAAGTTGTGGCCGGGCGCGGTGGCTCACGCCTGTAATCCCAGCACTTTGGGGGGCCGAGACGGGAGGATCACGAGGTCAGGAGATCGAGACCATCCCCGCTAACACAGTGAAACCCCGCCTCTATTAAAAATACAAAAAATTAGCTGGGCATGGTGGCAGGCGCCTGTAGTCCCAACTACTCGGGAGGCCGAGGCAGGAGAATGGTGTGAACCCGGGAGGCGGAGCTTGCAGTAAGCCAAGATCGTGCCACTGCACTCCAGCCTGGGAGACAGCGAGACTCTGTCTCAAAAAAAAAAAAAAAAGTTTAAGTTGTGCCTTATATTAAATGATTTAGACTACAGGCACATCATTAGTAAATTGTCTAAAAATTTGAAGTTAGGCAGATTTTGTAATAGACTCTGTGTCAGAAATTGTATTTTTAATAAATCTTCCAGGTGATTTTTAAACACATCACATATTTTGAGAATTGCTGTCTACAATAAAGGTGTCAATCCAAAAAGGACATTGATCTTGCAATTTCCTGTCTAGAAAGCCCAGATCTTTTACACAACAGACACCTGCTGTTCAGGTCTCAGCTCAGACGTCACCTTCTGGGAGATGCCCTCCCTGTCCCTCACTCCATCACACAAAACTTGTTTTTTTTTTCAGAGCAAACTCCCCTCTGCCCTCATACCTAAAATATAGGTATCATCTCCACCGCATCTGGAATGCCCATATCCCAGACATCAAATGTCTATTTTGACCATCATTTATATCCCTGGTCGCTGGAACTAGCCCTGGCACAAAGTGATTGTCAATGAGTACTCAATTAATAAAACCAACAGTCAATTATTAGAGTTGGGATTTCAATCCAGCAGTGAATGCCTTGAAGTTCTTCACACAACACTCAATAAACGTTATTTTTTCCAACTTCAGTTTGTCAAATGTAATTAAGTGCGTAGAGTCTAAGAGAAAGGGAGAAAAAGAAGACAGAACAGTCTGAGAATCACCTGTGAGCCTGTTAGAAAGGCAGAATCCCAGGCCCCACTCCTGACCTCCCAATCAGAATCTGTGTTTTAATAGGATCCCTAAGTGATTCATACCACAGCCAAGACTGGAATCACTGGGTTACGGAACAGCGGCAAGCCTAGGGGTTAAAACAAAAAGCCTAACATAAATCTGCATGGTCTGTTTACTCTCTTATTTCCATAAATAGTAATTTGATGAAAAAGATCCATTAATATTCCAATCAAATAAGCCTTAAAATGCAACTGAAGAAAACTTCCTTCTGGGAGGTTCCTAGGAAGATGAAAGATATTACATCAGATCATTTATGTGGTTAAAAGTAATATACTATTTTGAAAAGGTAGTAATTCCAACACTACCTTTAGAAGAAAACAAGAATTTTACCTTGATATCAAGCAAAATGCGGGAAATCTTGTATCAGGCTACAGTTACTAGTCAATGGTAGAAAAGTCCAGAAAAATTCCCCAAATCTGGTTCTGGAATATCAAGGACCGCTGCTTCTGATACTCCTTCCCATATTAGCTGAAGCAGTTTGCAAGCAAGCCCACCTGCAACGTTTCCCCCACGGCATTTGCCCACTTTTAAAATGGAGTTCTACTAAGGCCTGCCTTTTAGAGTTGTTGGGATAATTAAATGAGAAAATACAGAATGCTTTTACCACAGTGCCTCACGTGCAGGAGGCACTGCTGCCCACTATTTCCCGAAATGGCCTGGAAACTGCCAAAAGGTGGAGAATCATGTCTTACCGATCTCCCTATCCTCTGCTCCGTCACCTAACAAAGGAGGCCCCTAATAACTAAATAAATTGCAAAACGACCAAAAAAAAAGTGTTGCTTTGTTTGAGGAAATATCTCTGCCTCCCACACACACTTAAGATGTCTATTTTAAAGCACCACTAAGAAAATATTCATAAAGGCTGGGTGTGGTGGCTTACGCCTGTAATCCCAGCACTTTGGGAGGCCAAGGCGGGCGAATCACCTGAGGTCAGGAGTTCGAGACCAGCCTGACCAAATGGCAAAACCCTGTCTCTACTAAAAATACAAAAATTAGCTGTGCATACTAGTGGGTGCCTGTAATCCCAGCTATTCGGGAGGCTGAGCAGGAGAATCGCTTGAACCCGGGAGGCAGAGGTTGCAGTGAGCCCAGATGATGCCACTGCACTGGGGGACAGAGCCAGACTCCGTCTCGGAAAAACACACACACACACACAGAAGCACCTCATATGTACAGTGCAAAAGAACTACTGTTACTATTGTTACACTTGGGAACGCCTAGTTTTCTATCACACCAAGAATCACCAAAAAACACCATAAGTGCCTTCATGGGAAACGTTTCTCTTTTCCAGGTATCCCAATAATACACCTGTTGCCTAAGGGCCACACACTGACTGGCCTGGAAAGCCGCCGCCTCCTCCTCGAGCAGGGTAATTCCCCAAGCGGGCAGTGTGGCCAGCGAGCCCCGGGTCCGGCCTAAGGATGCCGCGGCTTTTCCCTCGGGCCCGGTGGCTTCCCGAGGAGCGCGAGGGGCTCGGCGCCGCTCCCAACCCCTAGGCGCAGAGGCCATCTTGGCCCTCGACCCCTGCTCCCCGCACGCTTCCTCCGACGCAGGCAACATGGCTGGCGCGCGGGGCCGGCCCAGTCCCGGAGGTCCCCAAACTCCGTGGCCCGGCTGGGCGCGGGTCCCGGCTTCCGTGCGCACCGAGGCGCTCCCAGGCAGCGCGCGCCCACGTTCGCCGGGCAGGCACCGCCCGGAGGCAGTTCCGCCCCCCTGGGGGCAGCCCTTTTGGTCACGGATGAGAATCCGAAGCGTGAGCAGCTTCCCTCGAAGTCCAGCCTCACTCGAAATTAACTCCCCGCCCCCCAGCTTAAATCGACGCGGGTTCACACAACTCGCAACAAGTGGATTCGAAGTAGCCAGTGTGGCCCACACCGTGACTCCTGGAATATTTCACAGATTGAATCCAGCCCCCGTCTCCCCGGGATATCCAAAGGGGTGGGGTGGGAGCGGAAGGAATGAAATTCCCCCCGGGATCTAAGCCGCCCGGGCCGCCGAACAGCCGCCTCGCTGCAGCCTCAGGCTTAGGACCCCCAAGGAGCTGGGCGCAGGATCCCTCTCCATGAAGGCCGCCCCCCCAAACTGCAGCCCCAGAGCGGATGCAGGATCGTCGCTGTTCAGGAATGTCGTGCCCCATAAAAGTGAAAAGTTGCCCGCGCCGCTGAGGCACTGCTAGCTTTCAGCGTTTCCGCGGAATAAAGCTTGATCGGCGGCTCCAAGCCACCCCTCGCCCCAGGAGGCAGCCTCCCAAGTTGGCCGGTGCTGCTCTCTCCGCAGACCCGCGCCTCTCTGGTTCCCACGAGTCCCAGCTCGGGGACGAAACTGCCACCGAAACCAGCGCGGAGCGTCCTCCCCCCAGCACCTCCCCTAACATAGTCGCCGCGGTCCCCCCACGGGGACCCTCGGGCTCCCGTGCGCCCCTGACGCCGCGCCCAACACTCACCCGCTCGCCGCAACTGGGCCCGACCCTCCGGGGGCCAACGGTGCCAGGGAGCGCGCTCACCTGGCGGGCGCACCTGACGCCGCACCGACCGCCAGCGCTCAGCCGGGGACTGGGCTGGGGACGTCTCCTCCCCCTTCTCCCTCTCCTTTCCCTCCTCCCTACAACCGGCCCTGCCCCCGGGCATGCGCACCAACGTGGAAGGGGGTGCGGGAAGCCTGCGGGCCAGCGCCGCGAGTCCCACCTGCTGCGTCCTAGACCGGCTCCTCGGCGCTCTGGACCTGGCTCTCGGTTCCTGCCGCCTCCGCCAGAGGAAGCAGGGAGGGAGAGGTGGACGCGGGAGTGTAGGTGTGGTGTGTCGGCCTCCTCCCTCGGTGACCAATTCACCTGAAACTCGGATGGGAGGGGGCGGGAGGACGCGGTCCTGCTTCCCACACCCTGCCAGCGCGCTGTTAAAGGAACCGCGCGATGTTGCGGCCCGAGAGGCGGGGCGCAGAGGAGAGGCGCGGGCTCCTAGGGGGCAGCACGGATGGGGGTCCCTGACCACCCCGGGGTGCGTTCGGTGCTCCGCCTGCTTCGGATGGAACCTTGGGGTGTCTGATGGAGAGAGGCCGAACGAGGTCCAGAGGGGACTGTTTCCTCCGGAAAGAGGGTCCAGGCACTCAGCACTTTGATAGGAAAGGCACGTCCTCACAGGACACTTTTCTGCTTCCAGAATTTGATTAAACTGTTGCTGGAAAAAGGCATCTAGATGTATTGCTCCAACGAAAGACTCCTGGGAAAATTTCAAAAGTCGTGTGTAAACATTGGCGCTGTTTCTGAATCTCTAGATTCAGAATAAGAGACAATTACTTAGAGGGGTTAAAATGAGGGTGAACTACTGTAGGTGTTAGTTGCCATCCAGCAGGCTAAAGTGCATAATACAGTTTACACATCACCACCCCAGGGTCCTCTCCTGCCCACCCGGTCCGCTCTTGAGGACCGGGAAATTTAAACTATTATGGCTCTTTGGCCTGAGAAAAAGCACCTTATACGTTGTTTACCAACCTGTAGTGCTTTAAGAACAACACTACTTAAAAAGCAAAATAAACTTGGTTTACTTTTTTTTTTTTTAAGAAAACGAAAAAGCACCTTAGTTCCGGGTGCTGTATTCTATTTCTTGATCTGGATTCTGTTTCCAAGGGAAATTTCATAGTCTGCACTTAACACTGTGTATATTTTTATGTATGTTGGTTGTTTTTCAACATATTTTTTAATTGTACTCCAGGATGTGGCAATTATAGTTCTTGGCATTTAACTATCTGCATTGAAAGCGAACTTTTAGGTTTCTTACATCCTGCTTGTCTTTGTGTTCCAATCTGGAATGTCAGCATTGCTAATAAATTTCTATCCAATCCCACCCACTTCTCTACCTTTAATTAAATGGTTAGAGATGTGACTCTCCCATACATTAGATCTTAAGGCACAATTCATACTTGAGGAAGTAAAAGCACTATATAAATATGAGGTATTTCAGATGATGGCAGCTTTAATGGGTAATTAATTTAATTGGTATTTTTTTCGTGGAAGTCATTGCTACAAATGCTTTAATATGACTATGTAGTTTTTGAATGATGCAGTTTAAATTGGTATTGTTAACACTGGGGAAGTCAGGTTAATCCCCTTAATGTTCCCTGTCAGATTACTGAAATCTCCAAACATTCCATTTGGTTTATAATTAAACAAGGGAACATTTCCTAATACTCTCAGATTTGTAAACACATGTCTATTATTTTATAATGTATTTTGACATGTTCTGAAGAGATCTTAGGAGTTTTTTTCCACTTTATAAAAGAGAGTTCACATACCATAAAATTCACCCTTTTAAAGGGCACGTACAATTCAATGGGTTTTAGTATACTCACCAGATTGTACAACCATCACCACCATCTAATTCCATTTTAATCGCCCCCAAAAGAAACCCCATGCCCATTAATAGTCACTCCCCATTTCCCCTCTCCCCTCATCCCTCGGCAACCACTAATGTACTTTCTGTCTCTATTAATTTGCCTATTCTGGACATTTTATATGAATGGATAATACAATATGTGCCCTTTGTGTCTGTCTTCTTTCACTTAGCATAATATTTTAAAGGTTCATCCATGATGTAGTATGTATTGGTACTTCATTCCTTTTTATAACTGAATAATATTCCATTGTATCGATGTATCACATTTCGTTTAATCATTCATCTGTTGATG
Organism: Homo sapiens; assembly: GCF_000001405.40. NCBI lineage: Eukaryota > Metazoa > Chordata > Mammalia > Primates > Hominidae > Homo > Homo sapiens. Next base: position 157,223 of record NW_025791777.1, on the reverse strand, counting down.
AACATTTGGGTTGTTTCTCCTTTGGGGATGTTATGAATAATGTTACTATGAACATTTGTGTACAAGTTTTTGTGTGGACATATGTTTTCGGTTCTCTTGGTAAATTAGGTTTTTAAATTAAACTTTTTATCATTTTAAGATAACTTATGCATATCATGTTATTTTTCTTATTCCCACCCTAAACCTAAACTCAAAGACATGTTGTGTTGGGTAGAAGGCTTTCATATTCTATTTGCTTTCCCAATTCATTCCTTCAACTATTTTCTGAGTGCCTAATCTGTACACACACGAGTGAACAAAACTCAAAAATCTCTGTGAAACTTACTTTCTAGTTAGTTCTGAGTTCATCCATATGGAATAATAGGATTCATTAATTGTATGAATTCTATTTTATTCGCTTGAGATTAATTTTCTAAACAACAACATCAAAAGAACGGTTAACTATTGTCCAATATTGTGTATATTTCATAGTTGAAAGTGTCTAGAAAGAAAATCCAGCCTTAAAACTTAAACACATCATTCTTCAATACCAAAACAAAATTTGTTGGATGTTAAATGATGCCATGCTCGATTTAATCATGTTACATAATCATAAATTATAGCAAAATTTAATTACTATATTTTTTACCAAATATTCCTTCTTGGCAACTCACAGTAGTATTGAGTAGTATCCACTATTGAATATTATTTGATGAAAATCCCCGTGACTCAGAGCAATGTAAATATTATTTTCAGAACCCCATGATTAGAAACTTGTTGACTTTACCTGCAGTCAAATGGATAAGATGAAAAGACAATTTGTTTCTCCTTTTCTATGTGTAAAAGAGAAACTTAAGAGCTCAGATTATGGTGTCAGAAATCTCAGTTCAAATTCCAGTGTTGCTACTTGGTAGCTGGGTAGGACTAAAGGAAATTAAACTATGTAAGGTTCATTTTTTTCCACCGTAAATTTGAGATGATAATAAACAATACTGTCTTTATAAGTCTGTTGGTGGGAATGTGGAGCATTCACCAAGACAGACTATATGCTGAGCCACGAAACAAGTCTCAATAAATTGAGCAAGCCATTGCTGTATCCTATATGCCTGAAATAGTTCCTGTCACATAGGAATTACATAACTATGTGTTGGATGAATGAATGAATGACTATAGCCCTGCTTCCCAAATCCAACATGCCTGTGGAGTCTTGTTCTCCTCTCAGATGGCCTCCTGCTATTGTGAAACCCGCACGTTCCTTAGTAGCATTTCAAGGCTTACATCTCTAGTACTAGGGTTTAGAGGAGAAAAGACGGGAGATTAACATAGTTCCACTGTTTCCACTCTGCCTTGCCTGCTTAGTAAATGAATTCAAAGACTGGTATGTGTCCAAGGCAACTCAGTTTGGAGTTGCTGAGGGCCTGGCCTGAAAGGCCTCTAGTTTCTCTGCCCAGTCATGAGGAGGGGGAGGCTTCTGGTCCACACAGGACAGTTTCCTTGGACAGGTGTATGGAAGAATTTATGGGGAAGCCACTAGGAAGACAATTTCTAAAAGGATGATTACACTAGATGAGTAAACCTTTATCTTCTCTATTCCTATGTGTTAAGCAAGATCCTCCTGGGAGGAATCCATATTTAAACAAAGAGACTCAGCACCTGAACAGGAACTTCAACAGGTGGAAGAATAATAATAGCACCATTTACTCAGGGAAAAACATGTTCTAAGTACTATGCTAAGTGTTTTTTTGGTTTTCTGTTTGTTTGTTTTGAAACAGAGTCTCCTCCGTAGCCCAGGCTGGAGTGCAATGGTGTGATCAGCTCTCTGCAACCTCCGCCTCCTGGGTTCAAATGATTCTCCTATGTCAGCCTCCTGAATAGTTGGGACTACAGGCACCTGCCACCACGCCTGGCTAATTTTTGTATTTTCAGTAGAGATGGGATTTCACCTTGTTGGTCAGGCTGGTCTCGAACTCCTGACCTCAGGTGATACTAACGCCTTGGCCTCTCAAAGCGCTAGGATTACAGAGGTGAGCCACCATGCCCGGCAGTTTTATGTTTTTTTTTATTTTTTTCTGGTTTTTGGGTTTTTTTTTTTTTTTTTTTTTTTTTGAGACGGAGTCTCGCTCCGTTGCCCAAGCTGGAGTGCAATGGCGCAATCTCAGCTCACTGCAACCTCTGCCTCCCAGGTTCAAGCGATTCTCCTGCCTCAGCCTCCTGAGTAGCTAGGATTACAGGTGCCCGCCACCACGCCCAGTTAATTTTTGCATTTTTAGTAGACACGGGGTTTCACTGTGTTGGTCAGGCTGGTCTCAAACTCCTGACCTCAAGCAATTCACCCGCCTCAGCCTCCAAAATGCTGGGATTACAGGCTTGAGCCACCGTGCCCGGCTGGGTTGTTTGTTTGTTTGTTTGTTTTTGAGATGGAGTTTCACTCTTGTTGCCCAGGCTGGAGTGCAATGGCGCGATCTTGGCTCACTGCAACCCCCACCTCCCAGGTTCGAGCGATTCTCCTGCCTCAGCTTCCCGAGTAAGTGGGATTACAAGCATGAGCCACCATGCCCAGCTAATTTTGTATTTTCAGTAGAGACGGGCTTTCTCCATGTTGGTCAGGCTGGTCTCAAACTCCTGACCTCAGGTGATCTGCCTGCCTCAGACTCCCAAAGTGCTGGGATTACAGGCGTGAGCCACCACGCCCGGCCCCGGCTGGGTTTTTATTTTTATTTTTTTGGTCTTTACAAGAACTTTATGATGTACTATTATTTTCCCCATTTTACACATAGGAAAACTAAAGCTCAGAAAGTATTGATCATTTACTCAAGTTGTCTACTAAGTTGTAGAGTCAGGATTCAAATACAGGTCATCTGATTCCTGAACCAATGTTCTGAACAGTTTTACTATATTTTAGGACTACTTTTTGTCTATAGGCAATATAGGCAATATTCTGTTTCTTCCCGAGTCCAAGTTACACGGCTGTTAGCCTTACAACAATTTATCAAGCTGTGCATATGTTTTATATACATTTTTGTAGGAATTTTGTATTTCATAATTTAAAAAAATTATTTTGAGTCACCTCTGTCACCCAGGCTGGAGTGTAGTAGCATGATCATGGCTCACTGCAGCCTCTATCTCCTGGGCTCAAGCGATCTTCCCACCTCAGCCTCCTGGGTAGCTGAGACTACAGGCACGCACCCACAACTGGCTGATTTTTGTTTTGTTTTGTTTTTAAATAAAGATGAGATCAGACCGGGTGCAGTGGCTCACGCCTGTAATCCCAGCACTTTGGGAGGCGGAGGCGGGTGGATCACTTGAGGTCAGGAGTTCCAGACCAGCTTGGCCAACATGGTGAAACCCCGTCTCTACTAAAAATACAAAAAACATTAGCCCAGCGTGGTGGAAGCACCTGTAATCCCAGTTACTTCGGAGGCTAGGGCAGGAGAATCGCTTGAAACCAGGAGGTGGAAACTGCAGTGAGTCGAGATAGCGCCACTGCACTCCAGCCTGGGTGACAGAGCGAGACTCTGTCTTAAAAAATATATAAATATAAATACAAATAAATAAACAGAAATGAGGTCTCTCAATGTTGCCCAGGCTGGTCTCAAATTCTTGGGCTCAAGCAGTCCTCCCATCTCGGCCTCCCAAAGTGCTGGGATTACGGGTGTTAGCCACCACACCCGGCCAAAATTTGCTAAGAATAGGGTTTAGAGACAGTCTTAGAAAATAGTTGGAGATCCACATCTAGGATTTTTGTTTTGTGAATAACATTTTTCAAATACCAGCAGAAAATACATTCATAGGATCAGAGTAAGTTGAGATCAGCATCTAAAGAGAGAGTAAATGGGTTTGGTGTGGGACAGAATATTGGCACAATTATAAGGATAATACAGAGAAAGAGATTTGGGACTGATTTTTTTTAATTGTATCAGTCATCTATTGCAGTGGAAAACTGGCCTTGCAGGCTTTTTCAGGAACTAGCCTTCCTGAATCTTTTAAGCTCAAAAAAGGAAAGAGGAAAAAGTAAACATTAACCAAATATTGTCTTCGCTTACCTACTTTTAACTTCATGGGGCTCTTTACCTCCTGTGTCCCCAAACTGAAAAAGATAATAATAATTATCTCGTAATTTAGCATAAGGAATCCTAACCCTAGAAAAATCTCTTGAACTGGGTCAGTGTGAAACCAATACACTTTAAGCAGATCACAAATTTCTCTTGTTATTCTTTGGTTTTGAGGTACGGGACTCCTTTTATTCGATACAGGGGTTTCCAAATAGCAGCTTTTCTTGTTTTTTTGTTTTTGTTTTGTTTTTGTTTGAGACAGAGTGTCGGAGTCTCACTCTGTCGCCCAGGCTGGAGTGCAGTGGCACAGTTTCGGCTCACTGCAACCTCCACCTGCTGGGTTCAAGCGATTCTCCCACCTCAGCCTCCCAAGTAGCTGGGATTACAGACGCGCACCACCACGCCTGGCTAATTGTTGTATTTTTAGTAGAGATGGGGTTTCACCATGTTACCCAGGTTGGTCTTGAACTCCTGACCTCAAGTGATCTGCCCTCCTCAGCCTCCCAAAGTGCTGGGATTACAGGCGTGAGCCACTGCACCTGGCCCCATATGGCAGCTTTTCTGATTTTACTTGGAGTTTCTTTAGGATAAACTCAAGGAGCCTACAAGCAAAAACTCACTACAGTTCCTGAAATGTTGTTGTTGGCTGACACGGTACAGCGTAAGTGGGACATATGAGAATTGTATGTGAAAAGGAATATTTATTCAGTCAAGAAATATTTACCTCAGTACCTGCTGTATACCAGACCCTGTTCTAAGCCCTGGAAATAACAGTGGCCTCAAGACAGACAAGGTCCTTTATGGAAGTTTAGGGAGGAAATAGTTAGGAGAGGAAATACAACAAAGATGATGAAACTGAAAATAAACAAGATAATGATAAATGACTTGGAGAAACTAAACCAGCTAAGGGGACAGAGAAGGCTAGGAGAGGCAGGTGGAGGAAGAGCTGCCTTGTAGAGTGGTCACAGGTGGCTGCTCTGAAGAGGTGACATTTGAGCCAAGACTTTTAGTGAGAAGGAACCAGCCATGCAAAGATCTGTGACAAGAACATTCTAGGGCTAGAATCTAGGACCACTTTGGACATTCAAAGCAAAGGAAGGAAGAGGAAGGGGAGCATGGGGGAGATGAAACGCAAGGAAGGCAGAGGTCAGATCTTGGATGCTGTGCCATAAAGTGTCTGGGTTTCTTTTTCTTTCTCTTTGTTTTGAGGCAGGGTCTCACTTTCCCCTGGGCTGCGGTACAGTGGCACAGTCATGGCTCACTGCAGCCTCAATCTCCTGGGCTCAAGTGATCCCCTCTGCTCAGCCTCCTGAGTAGCTGGGACTACAGGTGCACGCCACCGCATCCGGCAAACTTTTTATTTTATTTATTTATTTATTTTGTAGAGACGGGTCTCACTTTGTTGCCCAGGCTGGTCTTGAACTCTTGGGCTCGAGCAATTCTCCCACCTCCGCATCCCAAAGTGCTGGGATTATAGGCATGAGCCACCGCACCCAGCCAACTGTCTGTTTTCTTCTAACTGCAACAGGAAGGCTTTGAAGGGTGATGAATTATGTTTGGAATGTTGTGAAATTCTGCATGTTAACCTAAGTATTTTCCTGTTTTTAGAATAATGTTTTGTAATGCTTGAGCATTTTATCTTTAAAGTTTGTGGCTTCTGAATAGAAAGGACTAAACTTGAGAAAGAGAGTCTGGGTGATCTGAAACCCAGTTGATAGGATCTGGAGAAATGCAGACGACTCCTATTCATCTTCCTACATGTATCTTAATTAGAAAGATTGGCCTTTGTGCCTGAGAGGTCTGGTGACAGTGCCAGGGGTGGAATGAGACATGGTAGGAGAAGCTCTACCATAATCGCATGATGTTTTAAAACGCTTTTTCTGTATTTTCTAAAATTTCTCAATGAATAGGCATCTATTATTTCCAACAATTAGGAAAAAAAACATTTTATTTTATTTTATTTATTTATTTTTGAGACAAGGTCTCACTCTGTTGCCCAGACTGGAGTGCAGTGGCACAATCTCGGCTCACTGCAACCTCCACCTCCCAGGTTCAAGCGATTCTCCTGCCTCAGCCTCCCTAGTAGCTGGGATTACAAATGCCAGCCACCACACCTGGCTAATTTTTTGTATTTTTAGTAGAGATGGGGTTTCACCATGTTGGCCAGGCTGGTCTCAAACTCCTGACCTCAAATGACCTACCTGCCTCAGCCTCCCAAAGTGCTGGGATTACAGGCATGAGCCATCATGCCTGGCCATATTTTAATTTTTTCCCTAACTTATACTGTGTTGAAAATTTCAAACCCATAGAAATGTTGACTGGGCATGGTGGCTCACACCTGTAATCCCAACACTTTGGGAGGCCGAGACGGGAAGATTGCTTGAGCCAAGAAATTTGAGATCAGCCTGGGCAATATAGGGAGACCCCGTCTCTACAAGAAGTTTAAAAATTAGCTGGGCCTGGTGTCACATCCCTATAGTCCCAGCTACTCAAAAACTGAGGTGGGAGGATCGCTTGATCGCCCGAGACAGAGGCAGCAGTGAGCTGCAATTGTGCCACTGCACTCCTGCCTGGGCAACAGAGCAAGACAATGTCTCAAAAAGAAACAAACAAACAAACAAAAGTTGAGAAATAGTACAATGAATTATATCCTTCACCTAAATTCACCAATCGTTAACACTGCCCACATTTGTTTTTTCTCTCACACATATACATAAAAAGTATACATAGTATAATGTTTTATTTTTTACATTTTTATTATTTATTTTGAGACCGGGTTATGATATTGGCTAATTTTTGTATTTTTGGTAGAGACAGGGTTTTGCCATGTTGCCCAAGCTGGTCTTGAACTCCTGGGCTCAAGCAATCTACCCACCTCGGCCTCACAAAGTGCTGGGATTACAGGCGTGAGCCACCGCTCCTGGCCCATGGTATACTTTTTTTGCCCAACCATTTATACTCTAACATTTATACTTTTTTGTTCAGCTTTCTAAAATTAACTTTTAGGTATAATAATACCTTACCCTAAATACTTCAGCATGTATCTCCTAAGAATCAAGACATACTTCTGTACAACTACCATATCATGAACACATCTCCAAGCAAACATTAATATAGATTATATTTACATTGTTCTAATTGTTCCAAAAATATCTTCTATATCTTCTATACATATATATATGTGTTCTTTTTTAAAATCCAGGAACCAATCAAGGATCATCCTCACATCTCACCATCATGCCTTTGTTTTTTCTTTTTTTGAGACTGGGTCTTGCTCTGTCGCCCAGGCTGGGATGCAGTGGCACAATCTCAGCTCACTGCAACCTCTGTCTCCCCGGTTCAAGCAATTCTTGCACCTCAGCCCCCTGAGGAGCTGGGACTACAGGCACCTGCCACCAGGTCCGGCTAATTTTTGTATTTTTAGTAGAGACAGGGTTTTACCATGTTGGCCTGACCTCATGGCTAGTCCCAAACTCCTGACGTCAAGTGATCTGCCCACCTCAACCTCCCAAAATGTAAGTCTCCTTAAATCTTGAACAGTTCCATTGCCATTTTTGTCTTTCATGACACTGCCATTTTTAAAGAATCTGGTCCAGTTGTCCTGTTGCATGTCTCACAACCAGGATTTGTATTTTCCTTCCTCATTATTAGATTTAAAGGAAACATTTTGGCAAAAATACTACACAGGTGATGTTGTGGACCTCATAGAGCATTACATCAGGAGGCTATCACTATCAAATTGTCCCAGGATGGGTGATGATAAGTTTGAATGCTTGGTTCAGGGTGTACTCTCCAGATCTCTCTTTTCTCTTTGTAATTTGTAAGTATTCCATGGAGCCGTGCTTTGATTCTGTGTGACTCTCTTATTCCCCAACAACCTTTCATCCAATGAAAGCTTTCAGTGTCCATTGCTGATCCATCATTGCATTGGTTGTTGCATTATGGTTATTTTCCAATACTATCAACTATTAACATCAATACTATTTAATACTATCAGGGGAATTTTTAAAAATTTTTAAGTGTAGGCCGGGCATGGTGGCTCACGCCTGTAATCCCAGCACTTTGGGAGGCCGAGGCAGGTGGATCACGAGGTCAGGAGATTGAGACCATCCTGGCTAACATGGTGAAACCCCGTCTCTACTAAAAATACAAAAATTAGCCAGGCGTGGTGGCGCGTGCCTGTAGTCCCAGCTACTCAGGAGGCTGAGGCAGGAGAATCGCTTGAGCCCAGGAGGCGGAGGCTGCAGTGAGCCGAGATCGCACCCCTGCACTCCAGCCTGGGCAACAGAGTGAGACTGTCTCAAAAAAAAAATTGTAAGTGTGAGTAAAAGAAGTTGGAACAGACTCTAAATCATTAAAATATTGACTTTTCATGACATAATTTTCCTTCTTGTGATATATGTTCTTTCTATTTTGCCTTTAATGAGTCAACCAATGCCCTCCCCTCCATAATAGATGTGTTACTTTTTTATTTACTAAGGACAGTAGATGATACAGGAAGAAATCAAAGCATACTTTTTGTTTTTTTGTTTTTTAAGACAGAGTCTTGCTCAGTTGCCCAGGCTGGAGCGCAGTGCCACAATCATAGCTCACTGCAACCTTGAAATCCTAAGCTCAAGCAATCCTCCCATCTCACCATGTCCAGCTAAGTTTTAAAATGTTTTGTAGAGATGAGGTCTCCCTAAGTTGCCCAGGCTGGTCTCAAACTCCTGGGCTCAAGCAGTCCTCTCTCCTCAGTCTCCCAAAGCACTGGGATTACAGGTGTGAGCCATCACAACGGGCTTAAAGCATATGTTTTTGTACAGCACTCTTCCTTCACATAGTCTAGGACAGGGGTCCCCAACTCCCAGGCCACGGACCATGGCCTCTTAGGAATCGAGCCTCTCACCTCCTGCCATGGACTGGCACAGTGGAAATAGCTAATTCAGGAACCGGGCTATACAGCAGGATGTAAGTGGCTGGCGAGTGTGTTAGAGATCAGCAGCAGCATTAGATTCTCATAGAATCATGAACCCTATGGTGAACTGGGGATGCAAAGGATCTAGGTTGCAGCTTCTTCTGATAATCTAATGCCTGATGATATGTCACTTTCTCCCATCACCCCCATTTGGGACCATCTAGTTGTAGGAAAATAAGCTCAGGGCTCTCACTGATTCTATATTATCGTGAATTAAATAATTATTTCACTAAATATAAAAATGTAATAATAATACGAATAAAGTGCACAATAAATGTAATGCACTGGAATCATCCTGAAACCATCCCCCTCTGCCCTGATCCATGGAAGAATTATCTTCCACGAAACCGATTCCTAGGCCAAAAAGGTTGGGGACCACTCGTCTAGAAGATGAGGCATACACTCATAAAAATTAAAAATAAAATGAAAAGGCCGGGTGTGGTGGCTCACGCCTGGTAATCTCAGCACTTTGGGATGCCAAGGCGGAGAGATCTCGAGGTCATGAGATCAAGACCATCCTGGCTAACACGGTGAAACCCCGTCTCTACTAAAAATACAAAAAAATTAGCCGGGCATGGTGGCAAGCGCCTGTAGTCCCAGCTCCTCGGGACGCTGAGGCAGGAGAATGGCGTGAACCTGGGAGGTGGAGCTTGCAGTGAGCCGAGATCATGCCACTGCCCTCCAGCCTGGGTGACAGAGCGAAACTCCATCTAAAAAAAATAAATAAATAAAATAAAAGGACACATAAGTGGCAGATGAGTGGCAGAGATAAGGCCACTCTCTCTTCTTTTTTTTTTTTTTTTTTTTTTTTGAGATGGAGTCGCTCTGTCACCCAGGCGCGATCTCGGCTCACTGCAACCTCCGCCTCCCGGGTTCAAACAATTCTCCTGCCTCAGCCTCTGGAGTAACTGGAATTACAGGCGCCCACCACTACGCCCAGCTAATTTTTGTACTTTTAGTAGAGACGGGATTTCACCATGTTGGCCAGGCTGGTCCCGAACTCCTGACCTCAGGTGCTCCGCCCGCCTCGGCCTCCCAAAGTGCTGGGATTACAGGCGTGAGCCACCGCACCCGGCACACTCTCTGTTCTAAGTGGAACTGCTCACCTGGCTGCCCATCTGTCCCTCCCACTCTAGTCTCTGTGACTTGCCTTTTGAGCACACTAATTCCTCTACCTGGAACATTCTCTTCCCAACTTTGCATCTGGAGGTTCATATTCTAAAATATTGCCAGTGCTTCAAGACTGAGCTGAGATACTATCTCTTTCATTTATTATTATTTTTTAAAAGCTCCTTTAGGCCGAGAGCGGTGGTTCACACCTGTAATCCCAGCATTTTGGGAGGCCGAGGCAGGCAGATCACCTGAGGTCAGGAGTTTGAGACCAGCCTGGCCAACACAGTAAAACCCCGTCTCTACTAAAAATACAAAAACTAGTCTGGTGTGGTGGCACACGTCTGTTATCCCAGCTACTCAGGAGGCTGAGGCAGGAGAATGGCTCAGACCCAGGAGGCGGATGTTGCAGTGAACCCGATATCACGCCATTGCACTCCAGCCTGGGCAACAGAGCAAGACTCCATCTCAAAAACAAACAAACAAACAAAAAAACTGGGCCAGGCCTGGTGGCTTATGCCTGTAATCCCAGCACTTTGGGAGACCGAGGTGGGCAGATCAGGAGGTCAGGAGATCGAGACCATGCTGGCTAACATGGTGAAACCCCATCTCTACTAAAAATACAAAAAATTAGCTGGGCGTGGTGGCATGCACCTATAGTCCCAGCTACTAGGGAGGCTGAGGCAGGAGAATCACTTGAACCCAGGATGCAGAGGTCACAGTGAGCCGAGATCACGCCACTGCACTCCAGCCTGGGTGACAGAGCAAGACTCCTTCTCAAAACAACAACAACAACAACAAAACACATAAAAAAACAAAAAAAAAACTCCTTTAATTTCTCTTTGGGAGGCCAAAGTGGGCAGACTGCTTGAGTCCAGGAGTTGGAGACCAACCCGGGCAATGTGGCAAAACCCGGTCTCTACAAAAAAATTAGCCAGGCATGGTGGTGGGTGCCTGTGGTCCCAGCTACTCAAGAGGGCTGCTGAGGTGGGAGGATAACCTGAGCCTGGGGAGGTCAAGGCTGTGGTAAGCCATGATGGTGCCACTGCACTCCAGAGCCTGGGCAACAGAGTGAGACCCTGCCTCAAAAAAAAAAAAAAAAAAAAAAAAGCATCACAGCACAGAGTGAGCACCTTCACCTTCTTCCCTTCATCAGTATAGTGGGTAAGGGAGCCAGGGTATCAAAAGATTCTACTTTGATTCCCAAATTCAGTATTTACCAGCTCTATGACACTTTAAATAAATAACTTAAACTTCTGAGGCTTAATTTCCTTATTTATAAAGTGGAGGTGATGCCAGGCCCAGTGGTGCCTATGTGGGGGTACCAGTAGTCCCATCTACTAGGAAGGCTGAGTGAGGCAGGAGGATCGCTTGAGCCTAGGCTGATTGGGTGTCCTCACTAAGTTCTGCATCAATATGGTGATGTTCTGGGAGTGGGGACCACTAGGTTGCCTAAGGAGGGGTGAACTGGCCCAGGTTGGAAACGGACCAGCTGAAAACTCCCATGCTAATCAGTAGTGGTATATCCTGTGCCAGTCATCAGTAGTGGTATGTCCTGTGCCAATCATCAGTAGTGGTATAGTGCCTGTGAATAGCCACTGCACTCCAGCCTGAGCAATATAATGAGACCCCCAATAAAAAAGTTTTTAAATGAAAATTAAATGGAAGTGATGGTAATACCCACCTTGCAAGGGTTGTATGTAAAATGGCCTTATTCCTGGCACAAAATAAATATTATTCGATGGATATTTAGTAGCTGCCTATGCTTCCTATATCAGGATGATTTCAGCTCAATGCTACAAAAAACAAGTTTAAAGTAGTTTAAATAATAAGGCAATGTATTGTCTCACATAAATGGAAGTACAGAGTGAATACAAACATAAAATTTGGTGAGGTAAGATTTAGTGAGGTAGCTGGGCAAGGTGGCTTACGTCTGTAATCCCAGCACTTTGGGAGGCCAAGGCGGGTGGATCACGAGGTCAGGAGTTCAAGACCAGCCTGGCCAAGATGGTGAAGCCTCATCTCTACTAAAACTACAAAATTAGCCAGGCGTGGTGGCAGGCGCCTGTAATCTCAGTTATTTGGAAGGCTGAGGCAGAAGAACTGCTTGAACCCAGGCAGCAGAGGTTGTAGTGAGCCAAGATTGCACCACTGCACTTCAGCCTGGGCGATAAGAGTGAGACTCTGTCTCAAAAAAAAAAAAGGATTTAGTGAGGTAAGATGAAAGGGGTAAGGGAAGCTGGAAGGTATTCAATAGTATTCGATACTCATGCACCAAGCACTAGGGTAAGTGATGTGGACATAAGGACCTCACAGTTCGGCATAGGAGGCAGGTACCTAAATAAATAAGTCTATGATGGCATGGGTGTGGGGGTCAGAAAGACATGGGTTTTTGAATCCTGATTTTTTGCTAGCTGTATACTTTGGGGCACTTTTTTTTTTTTTTCCAGTTTGAGATGGAGTCTTGCTCTGTCGCCCAGGCTGGAGTGCACTGGCGCAGTCTCGGCTTACTGCAACCGCCGCCTCCCAGGTTCAAGTGATTGTCCTGCCTCAGCCTCCTGAGTAGCTGGCATTACAGGCATGTGCCCCTACGCCTGTCTAATTTTTGTATTTTTAGTGGAGACAGGGTTTCACCATGTTGGCCAGGCTGGTCTCGAACTCCTGACCTCATGATCTGCCTGCCTCAGCCTCCCAAAGTGCTGGGATTAAGACATGAGCCACTGCACCGGGCCTGGGGCACGTTTTAAACATCTATGAAACTTAGTTTCCCTGTCTATGAAATGAAGATAATATTTAAGATATTGCAGTGACAACTGTATAAAACATCTGTGTTTGTGACACATAGACGGTACTTAATAAGTGGCATCTTCTATTTATTTTTTTACAGTGTACAATGTCTATGTAAGCACAACAAGAAAGCAACTTAACTGCCTGCAGCATCAGACCAAGTTCCTGGATCATAAGTTTGAAAGCAGCTTCTAGATGACGCTTGTGGATATTTGGAATAATATCTACTAATTTCTGTTAAGCAGCTATGTTTCAACTCCACTTCAATAAAAACAGCCAAATTTCTCTCCTGGAAATTCTTAAAACTCAAAGAAACTCTGATTCTTTCAAGTGTTAGTATGATGACCTAATTTTGTGCCTAACTCCTCTTATATAGAAAGGAACAAATATTTGATATTCATCTTCATTGTTTTCTGTGGGTTGGTTTCCTGTTATTTTTTCCCTTTGTCTAGGGGAAAGGAGTAAAGAAAACTTCCTTGTTAAACTGCTACTATAAGGAACACGTTTGAAGAAATAAACACAGAAAGCAAGTGAGTTTCTCATTAATATCATTAGCAGCATAATTCAACTCTTAAGTACTTAGGGATAGTACTGAAGCATTGAATACTATTCATTTACTTAGCTAAAGTAACAGAAGTGCAAAGTCCCAGAAGGAGGGGCAGAGGAATCAGATGGAGGGGCACCCTCAGAGAGAATAAAACCTAGGTGGAGGGACCCACACACGATTGAAGTAATACAAGTTAGAAAGTGATTTAACTTCAGGGGGTCAAAATATTTAAATTGTTATTATTATTATTATTATTTTTAAAGACAGAAGTCCCGCTCTGTGGCCCAGGCTGGAGTAGAGTGGCGCAATCTTGGTTCATTGCAACCTCCGCCTCCCGGGTTCAAGCAATTCTTCTGCCTCAGCCTCCCGAGTAGCTGGGATTACAGGCCATGCCCGGCTAATTTTTTTGTACTTTTAGTAGAGACGGGGTTTTGCCATGTTGGCCAGGCTGGTCTTGAACTCCTGACCTCAGGTGAACTGCCAGCCTCAGCCTCCTAAAGTGCTGGGACTACAGGCATGAGCCACCACACCTGGCTGATTTAAATTGTTTTTGAAGTATATACAGCATAGGGGGAAGCCACTTCTTAGAGAAGAAGAGAAATTAAAGGAGTTTTTTTTTTTTTTTTTTTTTTGAGATGGAGTCTTGCTCTGTCACCCAGGCTGGAGTGCAGTGGCGTGATCTCGGCTCACTGTGACCTCTGCCTCCTGGGTTCAAGTGAGTCTCCTGCCTCAGCCTCCCTAGTAGCTGGGACTACAGGCACATGCCACCACGCCCAGCTAATTTTTTGTATTTTTAGTAGAGATGGGTTTCACCATGTTAGCCAGGATGGTCTCGATCTCCTGACCTCGTGATCCACCCACCTCGGCCTCCCAAAGTGCTGGGATTACAGGCATAAGCCACCAGGCCTGGCCCAGTTTTTTTGTTTGTTTGTTTGTTTTTGAGATGGAGTCTTGCTCTGTTGCCCAGGCTGGAGTGCAATGGCGTGATATCGGGTTCACTGCAACATCCGCCTCCTGGGTCTGAGCCATTCTCCTGCCTCAGCCTCCTGAGTAGCTGGGATAACAGACGTGTGCCACCACACCAGACTAGTTTTTGTATTTTTAGTAGAGACGGGGTTTTACTGTGTTGGCCAGGCTGGTCTCAAACTCCTGACCTCAGGTGATCTGCCTGCCTCGGCCTCCCAAAATGCTGGGATTACAGGTGTGAGCCACCGCGCCCGGCCTTAAGGAGCTTTTAAAAAATAATAATAAATGAAAGAGATAGTATCTCAGCTCAGTCTTGAAGCACTGGCAATATTTTAGAATATGAACCTCCAGATGCAAAGTTGGGAAGAGAATGTTCCAGGTAGAGGAATTAGTGTGCTCAAAAGGCAAGTCACAGAGACTAGAGTGGGAGGGACAGATGGGCAGCCAGGTGAGCAGTTCCACTTAGAACAGAGAGTGTGCCGGGTGCGGTGGCTCACGCCTGTAATCCCAGCACTTTGGGAGGCCGAGGCGGGCGGAGCACCTGAGGTCAGGAGTTCGGGACCAGCCTGGCCAACATGGTGAAATCCCGTCTCTACTAAAAGTACAAAAATTAGCTGGGCGTAGTGGTGGGCGCCTGTAATTCCAGTTACTCCAGAGGCTGAGGCAGGAGAATTGTTTGAACCCGGGAGGCGGAGGTTGCAGTGAGCCGAGATCACGCCTGGGTGACAGAGCGAGACTCCATCTCAAAAAAAAAAAAAAAGAAGAGAGAGTGGCCTTATCTCTGCCACTCATTTGCCACTTATGTGTCCTTTTATTTTATTTTATTTTTGAGACGGAGTCTTGCTCTGTCGCCCAGGCTGGAGGGCAGTGGCATGATCTCGGCTCACTGCAAGCTCCACCTCCCCGGTTCCCAAAGTGCTGGGATTACAGGTGTAAGCTACTACACCTGACCTATGACATTCTTTTGCTTAAGGAAAAACACGCAGGAAGTCATAAGACTATTACTTGCCAAGATTATCTTCTTATGTCTCTTTTACTAAACAGACATTTCCATATACCTTCACTGACATAGACCAAAACATCCATGTCCAAAATGGCCAAGCTAATCACAGTGGTTTCATTAGGATAGGCTAGGTTATGCTGAGGGAACAAATCTTGATGTCTTAGAACAACAAATCTTGACGTCTTAGAACAACAAATCTTGATGTCTTAGAACAACAAAACTTTCTTTCTTTCTCATGGCCATGTCCAGAGAGAGTTGGCTAGGGTATCTGCTTCATAATTTTGTCACTCTTGGACCCAGGTTGTTAGAGAAAACATTTCAAATATTACCAGGCATACACACACACACACACACACACACACACACACACACACACACACACATCTAATATACATATATACATAAACATATATACACATATATACATATACATATATACACATATATACACACACACACACATATATATATACACACACACACATATATCTATATCTGAAAGGAGAAGAAAGCTCTGGAGGGTCTCACACTGGAAACTCAGTGCTTTGACTCAGATGTGATGCAAATCACTTCCATTCACAAAAAATTGCCAGAACTAGACAGATGGCCCACCCAGCCACAGTCTTCCATGTGAAGGGAAGGGAAGGAAAACCGGCTATCTCATCTGTGAACAGCAGTAAAAACCACATAATTGGTCATACATAGTAGAATATGCCTGAATTAATACTCATTCTTGAAATAAATCATAGTGACTGAGCATGATAGCTCACGCCTGTAATGCCAGAATTTTGAGAGGCATAGGCCAGAGGATCTCTTGAGCCCAAAAGTTTGAGACCAGCCTAGGCAACATAGCAAGAACCAGTCTCTATGAAAAATAAAAATAAAAAATTTAGCCAAGTGTAGTGGTGCATGCCTGTAGTCCTAGCTACTCAAAAGGCTGAGGTAGGAGGATCCCCTGAGCCCAGGAGTTTGGGGTTACAGGTAGCTATGATCATGACACTGCACTACAGCCTGGGTGACAGAGTGAGACCCTGTCTTAAAATGAAAAAAAAAAAATCTCATAGTTATTTAAAACTTATAGTTTGCAAATTTCATGGAGCCCTTCGAAACACTTTACAAATGTATTTTTACAAACATTATGAAGGAAACCAAGATGTTTCACCCCAAAACATATTTATTTCCTTGACATAGTTCAACATGTCTATTCAAAAGGGCTAGAAATAGAATAGCTGAAAGGTTGTTTGTTGTGGAGGAGATTTACATCTATAAAAATAAAGTCTACATCAGTACAGTTAGGTTTTCTCTGACGGCCTTCCCTTCTCTGACCTAAAACAAGTTAACTGAGAGTCCGACAGTTTTAAAGATCTGAAAAAAACCTTCACCATCTATTCTCCGTGAAGGTTGCTACCTGTGAGGTTTCGCCAGGCCTCCTCTTCTCCCTCTCCCATAACCTGTTTTGCCACTATCCAAACCCCATTCTTTACGGAACCTCAAGATGATACATAAACTTCCACACCCTATTGGGAGCTTGGAAGTAATCAATCTATGTGCACATTAATACATGTATATGCCTTTTCTCCAATTAATCTCCTTTTATGAGTTTTCTTTTTTTCCTTTTCTTTCTGTCACCTAGGCAGAGGCGCCATCTCAGCTCACTGCAACCTCCACCTCCTGGGTTCAATAAATCCTCCCGCTTCAGCCTCCCAAGTGGCTGGGACTACAGGTGTGTGCCACCACACTTGGCTAATTTTTGTAGGAGTTTAACTATGTTGGCCAGGCTGGTCTCAAACTCCTGACCTCAGGTGATCCTCCCACCTTGGCCTCCCAAAGTGCTGGGATTACAAGTGTGAGCCACCACGCCTGGCTATGAGTTATTGTTCAACAAATCTTCAGAGGGCCAACGGAAAGCTTTCCCTACAATTACCTCATTTTATATTCACCACAATCCTGTGAAGTATGTATAGTAGCTAGATGGTGATATCACCCTTTTTTTAATAGGACACAGAGGCTCATGGAGCTTACCTGACTTACCCAAGGATACAAGTAATTGACCTGAGATTCAAACACAGTTTGACTGTATATCTTACATTATGTCCAATATACCACACTGCCTTTAAGAAACTATCTTCAGGCCGGGCATGGTGGCTTACACCTGTAATCTCAGCACTTTGGGAGTCTGAGGTGGGCAGATCACCTGAGGTCGGGAGTTCAAGATCAGCCCGACCAACATGGAGAAACCCCGTCTCTACTAAAAATACAAAATTAGCTGGGCGTGGTGGCGCATGTCTGTAATTTCAGCTACTCGGGAGGCTGAGGCAGGAGAATGGCTTGGACCCGGGAGGCGGAGGTTGCGGTGAGCCGAGATCGCACCATTGCACTCCAGCCTGGGCAACAAAAGCAAAACTCTGTCTCAAAAAAAAAAAAAAAAAAAAAACTATTTTCACTGCAGAGTCTTAGCACATCAATGTATTGTCAAACATAAGGGAAAATATTAGCCTTAGAAACAAAAACATAGGTGCGGTTTCCTTCAGCAAACTCCACAACTCAATAAATCAATCGGACAAATAGACTGGGTACAATGGCTCATGCCTGTAATCTCCACACTGGGGGAGGCCGAGGTGGGAGGATCACTGGAACCCAGGAATCCAGGATCAAGCTGGGCAGCACAAGACCTTATCTCCACGAAAAAAGTTTTAAAATTAGCCGGGTGTGGTGGCAAGCACCTGTAGTCCCAACTACTTGGTAGGCTGAGGTGGGAAGATTGCTTGAGCTCAAGAGGTTGAGGCTGCAGTGAGCCATGATCACACCACAGCACCCCAGCCTGGGTGACAAAGTGAGAACCTATTAAAAAAAAAAAGTTTGGGTGTGGTGGCTCACACCTGTAATCCCAGCACTTTGGGAAGCCAAGGCGGGAGGATCACTTGAGCCATGGAGTTCGAGACCAGCCTGGGCAACATAGTGAGAACCTGTCTCTATTTTTTAAAATAGTCCAAATAACCACCCATTATCTGTACCTATAATTAGCCTGAAAGTTAGAGACAACATATCATTATCATGGCCTTCTAGGGACAACATATCAAACTATCAAAGAAGTAGTGAAATTGAATATTTCTCTTGTATTCCTTCCCTTTGATATCAGTTCTGGCAACACAAGAGAAGAAAAGAGGGAAACATCCAAAGGAAATCCAGTTATGAACTCAGCTCTGTCAGAAATCAGCTGCGTAGTTTTTTAAAATTATACTTTAAGTTCTGGGATACATGTGCAGAGCATGCAGGTTTGTTACATAGGTATACATGTGCCATGGTGGTTTGCTGCACCCATCAACCCGTCATCTAGGTTTTAAGACCCGCATGCATTAGGTATTTGTCCTAATGTTCTCCCTCCCCTTCTCCCCCACCCCCCTACAGGCCCTGGTATGTGACGTTCCCCTCCCTGTGTCCATGTATTCTCATTGTTCAACTCCCACTTATGAGCGAGAATATGCAGTGTTTGGTTTTCTGTTCCCGTGTTAGTTTGCTGAGAACGTTGGTTTCCAGCTTCATCCATGTCCCTGCAAACAACGTGAATCATTCTTTTTTATGGCTGCATAGTATTCCATGGTGTATATGTGCCACATTTTCTTTATCCAGTCTATCATTGATGGGAATTCGGGTTGGTTCTAAGTCTTTGCTATAGTGAATAGTGCTGCAATAAACATGCATGTGCATGTGTCTTTATAGAATGATTTATAATCCTTTGGGTGTATACCCAGTAACAGGATTGCTGGGTCAAATGGTATTTCTGGTTCTAGATCCTTAAGGAATCGCCACACTATCTTCCACAATGGTTGAACTAGTTTACACTCATACCAACAGGGTGAAAGCATTTCTATTTCTCTCCACATCCTCTCCAGCATCTGTTGTTTCCTGACTTTTTAATGATTACCATTCTAACGGGTATACATGTGCCATGAGATGGTATCTTATTGTGGTTTTGATTTGCATTTCTCTAATGACCAGTGATGATGAGCTTTTTTTCATATGTTTGTTGACTGCATAAATGTCTTCTTTTGAGAGGTGTCTGTGCATATCCTTTGCCCACTTTTTGATGGGGTTCTTTGTTTTTTTCTTGTAAATTTGTTTAAGTTCCTTGTAGATTCTGGATATTAGACCTTGTCAGATGGATAGATTGCAAACATTTTCTCCCATTCTGTAGATTGCCTGTTCACTCTGATGATAGTTTCTTTTGCTGTGCAGAAGCGCTTTAGTTTGATTAGATCCCATTTCTCAATTTTGGCTTTTGTTGCAATTGTTTTTGGTGTTTTAGTCATGAACTCTTTGCCCATGCCTATGTCCTGAATGGTATTGCCTAGGTTTTCTTCTAGGGTTTTTACGGTTTTAGGTCTTATGTTTCAGTCTTTAATCCATCTTGACTTAGTTTTTGTATAAGCTATAAGGAAGGGGTATAGTTTCAGTTTTCTCCATATGGCTAGCCAGTTTTCCCAGCACCATTTATTAAATAGGGAATCCTTTTCTCATTGCTTGTTTTTGTCAGGTTTGTCAAAGATCAGATGGTTGTAGATGTGTGGTGTTATTTCTGAGACCTCTGTTCTGTTCCATTGGTCTATGTATCTGTTTTGGTACCAGTACCATGCTGTTTTGGTTACTGTAGTCTCATAGTATAATTTGAAGTCAAGTAGCAGCTGTGTAATTCTAAGCAAGACATTTAATCTGCCTTTACCACTCACAATAATGTCTCTGTGTTAGTCCATTTGCATTGCTATAAAGAAATATCAGAGACTGGGTAATTTATTTATTTTTTATCCAAAATGTGTTTATTGAGGCCAGGCACAGTGGCTCATGCCTGTAACCTCAGCACTTTAGGATGTCGAGGTGAGCAGATCACCTGAGGTCAGGAGTTCAAGATCAGCCTGGCCAACATGATGAAACCCCAAAATAAGCCGGGCATAGTGGCGCATGCCTGTAATCCCAGATACTCAGGAGGCTGAGGCAGGAGAATTGCTTGAACCTGGTAGGCGGAGGTCGCAGTGAGCCAAGCTCACACCACTGCACTGCAGCCTGGGCGACAAGAGTGAAACTCAGTCTCAAAAAAAAAAAAAGTGTTTATTGAGATGATTTCCCACTCATCTTGATTCGGAGTGCTTTTTAATGCTGCTTCCTCCTGAAGGAACATCCTTCTGTAAGCCTTGCTTTTCTTTCTGTAGGCTGGCAGAGGACAGTGGAGCAGCCAACACACAAAATTTCTGTTAGTGCATGGCTAAAGACTGTGATGATTTTGTACCATCCTGGGCATTTACACCCATGAAGTAGGAATTGGGGCTCTGCATCAGGCACTGCTTCTTGTGTTTCCTCTTCCCCTATTCTGGAGAGGGATGAAGGAGATCCTTTGTGAGAGGCATGTTCTCCTGGGTAGGTCGTCACCGCTGGAAAAAGACTGGGTAATTCGCAAAGAAAAGAGGTGGCCGGCCACAGTGGCTCACGCCTGTAATCCCAGCACTTTGGGAGGCCGAGGTGGGCGGATCACCTGAGGTCAGGAGTTCAAGACCAGCCTGGCCAAAATGGTGAAACCCCATTTCTACTACAAATACAAAAATTAGCTGGGCGTGATGGCGGGCACCTGTAATCCCAGCTACTTGGGAGGCTGAGGCGGGTGAATCGCTTGAACCTGGGAGGCGGAGGTTGCAGTGAGCTGAGATTGCACCATTGCACTCCAGCCTGGGCGACAAGAGTGAAACTCCGTCTCAAAAAAAAAGGAGAGAGGAAAAAGAAGAGGTTTAATTGGCTCACCGTTCTGCAGGCTGTATAGGAAACATGGCACCAGCATCTGCTTGGCTTCTAGTGAGGCCTTAGGGAGCTTTTACTCATAGCAGAAGGCAAAACAGGAGCAGACATGTCACATGGTGAGAGTGAGTGGTGGAGGTGGAGGAGGTGCCACACTTTTTTAAACAACCAGAGCTCTCAAGAGCTCTCAGAGCGAGAACTCCCTTATTATTGTGAGGACAGCACTAACCCATTTATGAGGAATCTGCCCCCATGACCCAAACACCTCACACTAGCCCACCTCCAACAGTGGGGATCACATTTCATCATAAGATTTGGAAGAGACAAAACATCCAAACCTTATCAGTCTGTGAAAATGTTTGGAAGAATAAAGTGCTACTAGCAGTTGAGCCATTCAATATTTAAGGGCAAGCTGCTTCCATGGGCTTGGTCTTAGGAGGGAATTAAAGAATAGCTAAGGTGAAACCAACTCAATAGTCCCATAGACAGTTCTGGTCTTAAGCTTGAACCTTACATTTGTATTATCTGAGTTCCTTCCTCAGGAAAGGACCCTCAAAAGCCTCTCAAAAAGTACCTGAAGAAAAAGAACTGAAACTCACCAGATCGTTGCATCCAGACAATGAGACACCAGGCCCTTCATTCATCATGATTGCTTCCTTACCCCTCTCAAGTTGAGTTCCTGTTTTCCCATGCATAGTTACATTTCTTCCCTGCTAGATTAACCCCTAATTATAGTCAGTCAGGAGATGAATTTGAGACTAGTTCCCATGTCTTCAGCTGCAGCACCCAATTAAAGCTTTCTTCCTTGGCAATACTCATTGTCTCAGTGATTGGTTTTCTGTGCTATGAGGAGCAGGACTTAGACTGAATACCTGCTATTATGGTAACAAAAGCATGGTCTATGCTGGAGGCATCTGTGGTTTTTGCATGTCTAGCTTCTATTAGAGCACACATGCAGCTTTTCATTTATAACTCACCCTTCTTCAGCCCAGCGCAGTGGCTCATGCCTGTAATCCCAGCACTTTGGGAGGTCAAGTGGGTGCATCACGAGGTCAGGAGATCAAGACCATCCTGGCTAACACGGTGAAACCTCGTCTCTACTAAAAATACAAAAAAATTAGCCAGGCGTGGTGCCAGGCGCCTGTAGTCCCAGCTACTCTGGAGGCTGAGGCAGGAGAATGGCGTGAACCCGGGAGGCAGAGATTGCAGTGAGCCAAGATCGCACCACTGCACTCCAGCCTAGGCAACAGAGTGAGACTCCATCTCAAAAAAAAAAAAAGAAAAAGAAAAAGAAAAAAAAACCTTATCTTTCTTCCATTCCATGAGGTCCTGACGGGATTGTGTTCTGCCCACACATTAGCGGATATGAGATCCAGGCTGCCTCATCTGATGTGGTGATAGGTTCAAAGATGGACACATAACCCAAACCAAGACCTATCAGACGCTTCCAGAGACATGATAGAAAGCTGCTGGAAGAGAGCCACTTCCCTGTAACCCACTACGTGCTTATGTACTGGAGCTGACACCAGGCATCTTCCGCAGTTACACAGAGAAAGTCTAAACATGACAGCATGAGACTAAATATGCTGTGAGAAGCAGTGAAGATGAGAGAAACAGACTGAAAGGGAACCCTGAAGCCAAGTCAGCTCCTAAACTTCTCAGTTCTCTAATTCAAAAGAGTCCCTTGTATGCATAAGCTGATTTGAGTTTCTGTTATTAGAAACCAAAGCCGTTCTGACTAATACAGTTTCAGTCCTCAAATTCATATCTTATGAAATTTGATAGTTATTTACTTAATAAGAGACCATTTAAAAAATATCAGCTAATTCTGAAACATACAAGCTCAGTTTAAGCATCTTATGATGACCTCAGCACCCTAGAAGGCCTGTTTCTAGAGAACACTACTTCTGCTCTCAATAGTGGAGATGGGTGGTTAGCAATAGTTGTGTTGTACCTAAACCTGTTATTCCCACTTGTACTTGCTACTACATGTGTGTACGTATGTGTATGATTTAATTAAATATTATTTAAATGATAAAATATGATGCGGGCCAGCTGCTGTGGCTCAGGCCTATAATCCCAGTACTTGGATAGGCCAAAGTGGGTGGATCACCTGAGGTCAGCAGTTCAAAACCAGCCTGGCCAACATGGTGAAACCCCGTCTCTACCAAAAACACAAAAATTAGTCAGGCATGATCGTATGCACCTGTAAACCCAGCTACTCAGGAGGCTGAGGCAGGAGAATCACTTGAACCTGGGAAGTGGAGGTTGCAGTGAGCTGAGATCATGCTGTGTCCGGAATTGGTTCCTTACGGTGGATTCTTGGTCTCGCTAACTTCAAGAATGAAGCTGCAGACCCTCGTGGTGAGTGTTACAGTTCTTACACGTAGTGTGTCCGGAGTTTGTTCCTTCAGATGTTCAGATATGTCCAGAGTTTCTTCCTTCCGGTGGGCTCGTGGTCTAGCTTGACTTCAGGAGTGAAGCTGCAGACCTTCGCAGTGAGTGTTACAGCTCTTAAATGTGGCGCATCCAGCGTTGTTTGTTCCTCCCGGTGGGTTCGTGGTCTCACTGATTTCAGGAGCAAAGCTGCAGACCTTCGCAGTGAGTGTTACAACTCATAAAGGTAGTGCGGACCCAGAGGGAGCAGCAGCAAGATTTATTGTGAAGAGCAAAAGAACAAACCTTCCACAGCCTGGAAGGGGACCCGAACTGGTTGCTGCTGCTGGCTCCGGTGGCCAGCTTTTATTCCCTTATTTGGCCCTGCCAACGTCCTGCTGATTGGTCCATTTTACAGAGTGCTAATTGGTCCATTTTACAGAGTGCTGATTGGTCCATTTTTACAGAGTGCTGATTGGTGTGTTTACAAACCTTTAGCTAGTCACAGAGCACTGATTGGTGCATTTTTACAGAGTGTTGATTGGTGCATTTACAAACCTTTAGCTAGACACAGAGCGCTGATTGGTGCATATTTAGAGTACTGATTGGTGTGTTTACAAACCTTTAGCTAGACACAGAGTGCTGATTGGTGTGTTTACAATCCTCTAGCTAGACAGAAAAGTTCTCCAAGTTCCCACCCAACCCAGAAGCCCAGCTGGCTTCAATTCTCAATGCCACTGCATTCCAGCCTGGGCTACAGAGTGAGACCCTGCCATAAAAACAAACAAACAAAAACCACACAAATAACATAAAATAAAATATGATGACCCCAACAGAAAGGTGTTTCTAGGCTGGGCACGGTGGCTCATGTCTGTAATCCCAGCACTTTGGGAGGTGGAGGTGGGTGCATCACGAGGTCAGGAGTTTGAGACAAGCCAGGCCAACATGATGAAATCCTGTCTCTACTAAAAATACAAAAATTAGTCAGGTGTGGTGGCATGCACCTGTAATTCCAGCTACTCAGGAAGCTGAAGCAGGAGAATCTTTTGAACCTGGGAGGGAGAGGTTACAGTGAGCTATGATCGCACCATTGCACTCCAGCCTGGGCGACGTAGTGAGACTCTGTCCCAAACAAACAAACAAACAAACAAAAAGGTATTTCTATAAAAATCAAGTTAATTGTTAAAAGACTCATAATGATGTTGCTTTAGAAAAAAAAAATGTTGGCTAGGTAGGGTGGCTCACGCCTGTAATCCCAACACTTTCGGAGGCTGAGGCTGGAGGATCCTGTGAGCCCAGGAGTTTGAGACCAGCCTGGGCAGCATGGCAAGACCCCCTCTCTATGAAAAAATTAAAAATTAGCCAGGCGTGGTGGCACACACCTGTGGTCCTAGCTACTCAGGATCCTGAGGTGGGAGGATCACTTAATCCCACAAGGTCAAGGCTGCAGTGAGCCGTGTTCACACCACTGCACTCCAACCTGGGTAACAGAGCGAGACTCTGTCTCTAAAAAAAATGAATTAATGAAAAATGAAAAATGAAAAAAAATTAAGACAAACTATGGCACCCATATGTCACTTTTTGATGTTTAGCTTTAATCTACTTTTTTGAATTGACATTCTAATTACTGATCCCAGCTGTGTCAGGTAAGAGAGCAACAATCTGTTGACTTCAAAATTATCTTACCTGAACAATAGGAGATATGAACTTACTTAGGGGTTGGAAGATTTATTTTAATTATGACCCCACAGAAAAGATTCAAGACAACAAAACTTTAAGATAAGACTTTCTAATATATTAGGTAACAGAGTAAACTTAAATGAGATATTTGTTTACCTTTATTTTTATTTATTATTATTTATTATTATTTTTTGATGGGGTCTTGCTCTGTCACCCAGGCTGGAGTGCAGCGGCAAGATCTCGGATCACTGCAGCCTCCACCTCCTGGGTTCAAGCAATTCTCCCACCTAAGCTACCTGAGTAGCTGGGATTACAGGGGCACGCCACCACACCTGGCTAATTTTTGTATTTTTAGTAGAGACAGGGTTTCACCATGTTGGGAAGGCTGGTCTTGAACTCTTGACCTCACGTGATCCACCCACCTTGGCCTCCCAAAGTGCTGAGATTACAGGCGTGAGCCACTGCACCCCGGCCTATTTTTATTTTTTAATATTTATTTATTTTTGAGACAGAGTTATGCTCTTGTTGCCCAAGCTGGAGTGCAATGGCGTGATCTCGGCTCACCGCAACCTCTGCCTCCCGGGTTCAAGCAATTCTCCTGCCTCAGCCTCCCGAGTAGCTGGGATTACAGGCATGCGTCACCACACCCAGCTAATTTTGTATTTTTAGTAGAGACAGGGTTTCTCCATGTTGGTCAGGCTGGTCTTGAACTCCCGACCTCAGATGATCCGCCCGCCTTGGCCTTATTTTTATTTTTTTAGAGACGGAGTCTGACTCTGTCACCCAGGCTAGAGGGCCGTGGTGTGATCATAGCTCACCACAGCCTTGAACTCCTGGGTTACAGTGATCCTCCCGCCTTGTTCTCCCAAAATGCTGGTATTACAGGCATGAACCACCATGCCTGGTTGCAGTCTTACCTGTTTTTTTTCAAAAATGTTCTGACTATTCCATCCTATTGTAGCCTCTTCAGAATTCTCTCTCTCCAGGATTTAAGGCGCTATCAAGGTCTGTCAATCCTGAGATGAGTTATGTGAAAGTATTTAAGAAAGGATAGGGCCGGGAGCGGTGGCTCACGCCTGTAATCCCAGCACTTTGGGAGGCCAAGCCGGGTGGACCACGAGGTCAAGAGATCGAGACCATCCTGACCAACATGGTGAAACCTCGTCTCTACTAAAAATACAAAAACTTAGCCAGGCATGGTGGTGGGCAACTGTAGTCCCAGCTACTCGGGAGGCTGAGGCAGGAGAATCACTTGAAACTGGGAGGTGGAGGTTGCAGTGAGCCGAGATTGTGCCACTGCACTCCAGCCTGGGTGACAGAGCAAGACTCCATCTTAAAAAAAAAAAAATGATAAGGACTAAGGACTATATACATGTAAAAGTATAGTACTTCCTTCTCTTTCTCATTCTGTCTCTCTCTCTCTTTCTCTCTTTCTTTCACAGGATCTTGCTCTGTTGCCCAGGCTGGAGGGCAGTGGTGAGATCATGGCTCACTGCAACCTGGAACTCCTGGGCTCAAGTGATCCTTCTGCCTCCTGCCTCAGCCTCCAGAGTAGCTGGGACTACAGGCTTGCTCCACCACATCTGGCTAATATATACATCTAATATATTAGATGTATTATATACATATAATATATGTATTATATACATATAATATATGTATTATATACATATAGTATATGTATTATATATTCATATACTATAGTATATGTATTATATATTCATATACTATAGTATATGTATTATATATTCATATAATATAGTATATGTATTATATATTCATATAATATAGTATATGTATTATATATTCATATAATATAGTATATATTCATATAATATAGTATATGTATTATATATTCATATAATATAGTATATGTATTATATATTCATATAATATAGTATATGTATTATATATTCATATAATATAGTATATGTATTATATATTCATATAATATAGTATATGTATTATATATTCATATAATATAGTATATGTATTATATATTCATATAATATAGTATATGTATTATATATTCATATAATATAGTATATGTATTATATATTCATATAATATAGTATATGTATTATATATTCATATAATATAGTATATGTATTATATATTCATATAATATAGTATATGTATTATATATTCATATAATATAGTATATGTATTATATATTCATATAATATAGTATATGTATTATATATTCATATAATATAGTATATGTATTATATATTTCATATAATATAGTATATGTATTATATATTCATATAATATATTATATATTATATATTTCATATAATATATATATTATATATTCATATAATATATTATATATATTATATATTTCATATATATATATATTTTTGAGATGGAGTCTTGCTTTGTTGCCCAGGCTGGAGTGCAGTGGTGCCATCTCGGCTCACTGCAACCTCCGCCTCCCGGGTTCAAGCGATTTTTCTGTCTCAGCTTCCCAAGTAGCTGGGATTACAGGTGCACGCCACCACGCCCAGCTAATTTTTGTATTTTTAGTAGAGATGGGGTTCCACCATGTTGGTCAGGCTGGTCTTGAACTCCTGACCTTGTGATCTACCCGCCTCAGCCTCCCAAAGTGCTGGGATTACAGGCGTGAGCCACTGCGCCCGGCCTCTGGCTAATATTTTTAAAACATTTTTTGTAGAGCCAGGTCTTGCTCTGTTGTCCACACTGGTCTCAAGCTCTTGGCTCAAGCGAAACTCCTGCCTTGGCCTCCCATAAATGCAGGAATTACAGATGTGAGCCACTGTGCCCTGCCTTAGTATTTCTTGAGTTGTTATTTAAATGTAAATATTCCCTTGTCTTTAATGCAGCAGAAAATTCCTCAAGAGCCAAAAATACTTTTTAAATTTTTAAAATTTAAAAGTTTTTAAATTGTTTAATTTTAAATTTTAATAAATAAATAAATAAAAATTTAAAAAAATTAAAAATTTTAAAGGGCACTTCATAAATCTCAAACTGCCCTGGTCCTCACAGTCTTTCTAACTTGGCTGAAGATAGCTCTGCTTTTGCTGAGAAAATGTAGATCACTTTCCTCTCTCTCAAAGGATCTGTGGAGTCATCCCTCTCCTCTTACAACCTCTGCTCCCTCTCCTCACATTGTACACTCAGATTTCAAAATCTTGGAGGACGCACCTCCCTCATCCTTCTCGGGGTTAGCTTTATGTTCTCCGAGTGCACCTCCCAAGGGGCAGCCCACTGATTCCAAATTGGAAGTGCTTTCCTTGGTTCTTATGAACCAATGCAGCAGTTTTTTCTTTTCTGTAAGTAAATTTTTATATTGCACTAAGGACTCCTAGTAACTTTCTTCAGGAGTTACTAAGGATAACATGTCTTTGCTATCCAACACCTAGGGTATTAGGCCGGCTGTGGTGGCTCATGCCTGCAATCCCAGCACTTTGGGAGGCCAAGCTGGGAAGATCACTTGAGCCCAGGAGTTCAAGACCAGCCTGGACAACATAGTAAGACCCCGTTTCTAAGACAAAAACAAAAACTAAAACCCTGGGGTATTAGCACTTAAGTTGACAGAGGAATTGATTTGGCATTGTACTGAAAAGTTGAGCTGGCCGGGTGTGGTGGCTCATGCCTGAAATCCTAGCACTTTGGGAGGCCGAGGTGGGCAGATCACTTGAGGTCAGAAGTTCAAGACCAGCCTGACCAACATGGTGAAACCCTGTCTCTACTAAAAATACAAAAATTAGCCGGGTGTGGTGGCGGGCGCCTGGAATCCCAGCTACTCGGGAGGCTGAGGCAGGAGAATTGCTTGAACCTAGGAGGTGGAGGTTACAGTGAGCTGAGATCATGCCACTGCACTCCAGTCTGGGCAACAGAGTGAGACACCATCTCAAAAAAAGGAAAGAAAAGTTGAAAAGTTGAATTGCTGGTAACTATGTGAAGCTCCCACTATGCAAATACCTACATCCTTGGGATTCCTCAATTTTCTAGTTAGATAGGTATGTTATCAGTACTTTATGTGTTGACTCAGACAGCTCGTTAGGTATTAGCTTGGCTTAGTCTTTCCTTTAAAATGTCAATTATTAGTTTAGCTTCATTATTATCAATTTGGTGTTTCCTTTAGCCAACTGTATAATTTTTGTGATGCTCATTTGCATGAGCATTTTTTTTTTGACACGGAGTCTCGCTCTGTTGCCCAGTCTGGAGTACAATAGCATGATCTCGGCTCACTGCAACCTCCGCCTCCCAGGTTTAAGCGATTCTCCCGCCTCAGCCTCCTGAGTAGCTGGGATTACAGGTGCGTGCCACCACGCCCAGTTAATTTTTGTATTTTTATAGAGATGGGGTTTCTCCATGTTGGTCAGGCTGGTCTCAAACTCCTGACCTCAGGTGATCCACCTGCCTCGGCTTCCAAAGTGCTGGGATTATAGGCGTGAGCATCAGGCCCAGCCAAGTAGGCTTTCTAGGCCATAATTTTCAAGGAATTCGACTTCAAGATGTGTTAGTTTGTTATTCTTTTTTTTTTTTTTTTTGAGACGGACTCTTGCTCTGTCTCCCAGACTGGAGTTCAGTGATGTGATCTCAGCTCACTGCAACCTCTGCCTCCTGGGTTCAAGAGATTCTCCTTCCTCAGCCTCCTGAGTAGCTAGAATGACAGGCGCCCACCACCAGGCTGGTCTCGAACTCCTGACCTCAGGTGGTCGGCCCGCCTCGGCCTCCCAAAATGTTGGGATTACGGGTGTAAGCCACCACGCCCAGCCGGTTTGATATTCTAATAGGATTCTTCTATATCCATATTGCTAAATCAGAGGTTTGTATAATTTCCTAAAAATATGCTTGCACTATGACACTTCATTGGTTATGTGCTTCTCATGAATTTGTGCTATTTATATAACATGGAAGCCAGGTAGGTGTAATGAAATGACTGCGTTCTTTTTTATTTATTTATTTATTTTTCGAGAGGGAGTCTCGCTCTGTCACCCAGGCTGGATTCAGTGGCGCGATCTTGGTTCACTGCAGCCTCTGCCTCCTGGGTTCAAGTGATTCTCCTGCCTCAGCCTCCCAAGTAGCTGGCATTACAGGCATGTGCCACCATGCCTGTCTAATTTTTGTATTTTTAGTGGAGACGGGGTTTCACCATGTTGGCCAGGCTGGTCTTGAACTCCTGACCTCAAGTGATCCATCTGCCTTAGCCGCCCAAAGTGCTGAGATTACAGGCGTGAGCCACTGCACCCGTCCGATGACTGGGTTATTTTTAAATGTATAAGGCACTTTGTACAATATAAAACCATGTGGACAAGCTCATATTCTTTTTATCAAGTAAATACCAAGTGATTGTATATTTTGTATCCAGCAACATATCCACCCCAATTTGTTTATGGGTAAAAGCCTATCAATTGTATCCCTAGTGTACATCATGGTATCATATTGTGATATGACATTGAGAACATGTTTATTGTTTTGCTAGAAATATATAGCTATTTTCAACAAGGGTACCATTCAATGGAGAAAGGACAGTTTTTTTTCAACAAATGATGTTGGGAATATTGGATATCCACATGCAAGAAAATAAAATTGGACCCTTACCTTACTTACACCATATGGTGGTTAATTTTATGTGTTAAACTTGACTGGACATAGGGATGCCCAGATAGCTGGCATCATGTCTGGATGCATCTGTGAGGGTGTTTCTAGAAGAGATTAGCATTTGAATCAAACTGAGTAGAGATCACCCTCACCTGTGTGAATGAGCATCTTCCCGTCGTTGAGGACCTGGATAGAACACAAAGGCAGAGGAAGGGCAAACTTGCTCTCTTTTCTGGAACTGGAATATCCATCTTCTCCTGCCTTTGGACATTAAAGCTCCAGGTTCTCAGGCCTTCAGACTCAGATTGAATTATACCACTGGCTTTCCTGGTTCTCCAGCTCCAGCCCACAGACACCACACTCTGGGACTTCATGACCTCTATATTTGCATGAGCCAACTGCCATAATAGATCCCCTCTTATTTGTCTATGAATATCCTATTGCTTCTGTTTCTCTGGAGAACCCTAACACACGCCATATACAAAAATTAACTCAAAATAGATCAAACACCTAAATGTAAGAGCTAGAAGTATACAATTCTTAGAAGGAAACAGAGAAAGGCTTCGTGACGTTGGGTTTGGCAATGATTTCATGGATATGATACCAAAGGACAGCCAACAAAGGGAAAAATAGGTAATTCGGACCATATCAAAATTAAAAATTTTGTGCATCAGAGGGCACTATCAACAGTGAAAAAGCAACCCACAGAATGGGAGAAAATATTTGTGAATTGTATATCTAATAAGCAGTGCTTATCCACAATACATAAAGAACTCCTGCAACTCAACAAAAAAGCAAACAACCCAATTCAAAAATAGACAAAGGACTTGAGTAGACATTTCTCCAAAGAAGATATACAATGGCCAGTAAGTGGATGAAAAGATGCTCAACATTATTAATCACTGGAGAATGCAGATCAAAACCACAATGAGATACAATTTCACACCTATTAGGATAGCTGCTATTAAATAAACAAATAAACAAAAACAGAAAATAAGTATTGGTGAGGATGTGGAAAAATTGGAACCCTCCTGCATTGCCGATAGGAATATACAGTGATGTAGCCACTGTGGAAAAAAGTATATTGACTCCTCAAAAAATTAAACATAGAATTACCATATATCAGCAATTCCACTTCTGGGTTTGTACCCAAAAGAAGTGAAAGCAGGCTATGGGCGCGGTGGCTCACACCTGTAATCCCAGCACTTTGGGAGTCTGAGGCGGGCGGATCACCTGAGGTCAGGAGTTCGAGACCAGCCTGACCAACATGGTGAAACCCCATCTCTACTAAAAATACAAAATTAGTTGGGTGTGGTGGCAGGTGCCTGTAATCCAAGCTACTTGGGAGGCTGAGGCAGGAGAATTGCTTGAACCCAGGACACGGAGGTTGCAGTGAGCCGAGATGGTGTCATTGCACTCCACACTGAGCGACAGGAGCGAAACTCCGTCTCAAAAAAAAAAAAAAAAAATTCCACAGTATATACAACATCATCATTAGTTTTTATTTTCATTAAGGTTAAATGTGAGCATGCTTTATTTTTCTTTTTTTTCACGTCAGAGTCTTGCTTTGGCTCAAAGGCTGGAGTGCAGAGGTGCTATCACGGCTCACTACAGCCTTAAACTCCGGGGCTCAAGTGATCCTCCTGCCTCAGCCTCCTAAGTAGCTGGGACTACAGACATGAATCCCCATGCCTGGCTAATTTTTTATTGAGGCAGGGTCTCGCTATATTGCCCAGGCTGGTCTCAAACGCCTGGGCTCAAGCAATCCTCCCATCTTGGCTTCCCAAATTGTTAGGATTACAGGCACGAGCCACCATGCCCAGCCAGAAGCACTTTCAAAACTTTTGTTTGATAGTCACATATTCTAATAAGTGCTACTTCGTGGTTCTTCACAGTTATTGGCTATGAACCTCCAACTATGAAAGAAGAGAATTTAATTATCTTTCAATCATCTTGAACCCAGTAATGCATAAATATGTAACTAATGTCATTCTCAATTCTTTCTACATGTTAAGTCTTCCTTTTGAATAGAACGATAATCAATGTTTAGTTTACTATGCCTATAAAAATATTCTCAGCTAAGCCATAAGTTTTCCCCTATTTAAAACATTTTTTTTTTTCCTGGAAATACTGTGTTGCTATTCCCAAGGTTAGTTTCCTATATAATTGACACTAATTCAGGCCCAGTCTTCTCCAGAATAGTCTAACTGTCCTCTCGATATGTTCAAATACATCAGGAGTTCTGCAGTTTTCATCCCCTTGGTGATCTCTCTCCTGGAGCATCCTGACTGTCTCCAAACTGGACGGTTCCCCATATGTGACACACAGGTATCATTCTGGAATTTCTCCTTACCATCATCCTAGGCCGTTCTTCAGCCTGTTTTGAATTAGATACATATTACTAGATCCCATGTCATTCTCCTTCTCAGTTCCTTTGAATCACCTACCTCTTCCAGACCTTCCCCAGAAAAATCTCTTTTTGAGACCTTACAAGTCTGAAAATGTCTTTATTCTACCTACACTTAACTGATAGTTTGGCTGGGTATCTAAGTTGGTAACAATTTTCACTACAAACTTTGAAGGTGACTGCTCCCTCTCTGCATCCGGTGTTGCTAATGAGAAGCCAAACAATTTTAATTCCAGATCCTTTGTGTGTGACCTAGTTTTTCCTCTCTGGAAATGTTTAGGGTTAATGGTTTATTGTGTATTCTGAAATTTCACAATTATGGGGTCTGCCTTCCTTCAATACGTTAGGCACTTGGCAGTCCCTTTCTTTTATCTTCGTTGCAGAGATGAGGTCTTGCTGTGTGACCCAGGCTGGCCTGGAACTCCTGGCCTCAAGTGATCCCCCAGTCTCAGCCTCCCAAAGTGCAAGGATTAGAGCTACGAGCCACCCTTCCCAGCCAACAGGCCCTTTCAATCTAGATAGTTCTGTCCTTCAATAGAAAATTTCTTTGAACTATGTCTTTGATGATTTTTTTATCCTATGTTTTCTTTTTTTCTCATATCATTCTCATATTAGACCTTCTGGATAAATCCACCAGTATTCTTATCTTTACTCTCCTATTTGAACCTCTTTATTTTACTCCTTTTATTGTACTTTCTGGAATATTTCTTCAACTCTATCTTCTATAGTACTGGGTTTTTCATTTCTACTATATTTAACCTCAACCACAAGCAAATAAATACCAAGCTAAAACAATGAGACTTTTTTCTTTTTCTTTTGCCTGTGAGTTTTGGCCAATATAAAAAAGTTTCGTAATACCTAATGTTGGCTAAATGTGGGAAAACAATAAATGAAAGTTCTTTGAAGAACAACTTTACAATATCTATCAAAATTCACAAAACATGTAAAACTCTTGACTCAGTAATTTTACCTCTAGGAATTTACCATGCATTTATACTTGTACAAGTGTTCAAAAATATAGATATAAGCATTATTTGTTAATAGCAAAAAAAATCTTAAATATCCAACAGGAAGCAATTGGTTATATAAACCATAATTATCCCTGAAATATCCAACAATTTCAAAAACAACATTGATCTAGATATGGTGATATTGAATGACTTCCAAACGACTTAAGCGAGCCGAGATTGCGCCATTGCACTCCAGCCTGGGCAACAAGAATGAAATTCCGTCTCAAAAAAAATATATATGAAAACAGGGACTCCAAAAGATATTTGTACACCCATGTTCATAGCAGCATTACTCACAATAGCTAAAGTGGAAGTAACCCAAGTGTCCATCGGTGGATGAAAGGATGAAGAATATGTGCTCTCTATATACAATGTAGCCAGAAAGAAAACGTGGTCATTATATATAATATAGACATGATGGCTCATGGCTGTAATCCTAGCACTTTGGGAGGGCAAAGCCGGAGGATCACTTGAGCCCAAGGAGGTCAAGGCTGCAGCGAGCTGTGATTGCACCACTGCACTCCAGTCTGGGCGACAGAGCAAGACTTTGTTTTTTTTTTTTTTTTTTTGAGACAGGGTCTCGCTCTGTTGCCCAGGCTGGAGTGCAGTGGTGTAATCACAGCTAGCTGCAGCCTTGACCTCCTTGGGCTCAAGCGATCCTCCCACCTCAGCCTCCTGAATAGTTGGGACTACAGGCACATGCCACCATGCCTGGCTAATTTAAAAATTTTTTTCAATTTTTGTAGAGATAAGGTCTTGCTTTGTTGCCCAGGCTGCTCTCTAACTCCTGGCCTCAAGCAATCCTCCCACTTCAGCCTTTCAAAGTGCTGGGATTATAGGCATGAGCCACTGTCCCTGGCCTTGGTATAATTTTAACTTGCATTTTACTTTATATGAGTGAGGCTGAGCACATTTTCTTATGTTTAAAAGCCATTTGAGGCCAGGCACGGTGGCTCACGCTTGTAATCCTAGCACTTCGGGAGGCTGAGGCAGGTGGATCACTTGAGCCCAGGAGTTCAAGACCAGCCTGGACAACACAGTGAGACCCTGTCTCAAAAAAAAAAAAGCCATTGGGGCCGGCAGCATGTGCCTGTGGTCCCAGCAACCAGGGAGGCTGACGTGGGAGGATCACTTGAGCCCAGGAAGTCAAGGGTGCAGTGAGCTGTGATTTCGCCACTGCACTCTAGCCTGGGTGACAGAGCAAGATCTTGTCTCAAAAAAAAAAAAACAACAAATGCTGAGAGTTAACAGCGAGCAGTGAGGAGTGCTGTGCGGGTTGGCCCAGCTGGTTTGGTTTGGTTTGATTGGGGAGGGGTTAGCCAGATGATAAACTCCCCTGGCTTTTTCACTAGGTTTGGCTTGCTGCTGTGTTCCCAATAGCTAGCACAGTGCCTGACATATAGCAGATGGGCAACAAATTTGTTGAAAAAAAATGAATGGAAGGCATCCTGGAGGTAAGTGTTTGAGAGCTGTTTAGGAAGAAAGAACCTGGTCATGAATTGGATGCTGGGGAGAGTGAAGTACATGCATAGGTTTCTGACTGCGAAGAAACCAAGAGTCTATGTTTCTGCACGAATGTTTTATTCATGTGGGTGGGGCTCTGCTGAGCTGGCTTTTACAACTTAAAACCTTTTCACTGGGAGGACAATTCCAAAGTCTAGCAGAAGCAAGCTTCAGGAAGAACAATAGCTCCAACCCCACCCCAGTTTTTCAATTTAAGCGAAAAATTAGCTTCTCTGAGACCTCTCCACCCTCCTCTTTGAATATTTGGATGGGATTAAGACAGTCATTCCGGGAAAAGGGGCATCTCAGAGCCTGGAAGAGAGGAGGCAGAGTCAGCTGCCACAAGCCAGTTGAAAATAAAACAGATTTCACGACAGAAGGAAGAGCATGGTGGCTGAATTTGTTAGGTTATGTCCTTGGAAATTCAGAGCTGAAAATCAGAGCCACGGACTCTTCCCTCTTCCTTCTTCCGGGATTAAAAATAATAATAGACTGACCATCCTGGCTAACACGGTGAAAGCCCATCTCTACTTAAAATGCAAAAAATTAGCTGGGCGTGGTGGTGGGCGCCTGTAGTCCCACCTACTCAAGAGGCTGAGGCAGGAGAATGGCGTGAACCCAGGAGGCGGAGCTTGCAGTGAGCCGAGGTCGCGCCACTGCACCCCAGCCTGGGCGACAGAGTGAGACTCCGTCTCAAAAATAAATAAATAAATAAACAAACAAACAAATAAATAAAAATTATAGACTGAATCTAGCACTTCCAACTTCTCTGGTCATGCCTCAAAGTTATATTAAGAGATTAAAGCCACATCTTCCTTTTATTATTGGGCACTGGTCTTAGCTTTCCACAGCTTTTAAAAATTGTTTAAAAAAAAAAAAAAAAAAAGGAAGGGGCTAGGCACAGTGACTCACACCTATAATCCCAACACTTTGGAAGGCAGAGGCAGGGGGTTACTTGAGCCCAGGAGTTCAAGACCAGTCTGGCTGACATAGGGAGACGGTGTCTTTACAAAAAATTTTTAAAAATTAGCCAGGCATGGTGAGGTGCACCTGTGGTCCCAGCTACTTGGGAGGCTAAGGTGAGAGGATCACTTGAGCCCAGGAGGTTGAGGCTGCAGTGAGCCGTGATTGCACCACTGCACTCCAGCCTGGGTGACAGAACGAGACTTTGTCTCAAAAAAGAAAAAAAGAAAAGAAAAGGAAGTAACATCCCTCCTGGTCTTTTGAACTTGTGGGCCACTCCTCCAATGCACACCACCCTAGCCCCTCAGAAAAGAAAGGTAAGCAACATAACAAAGTTTGGTTTCTTTCTGGTTTTTTTTTTTTTGAGACAGGGTCTCCCTCTGTCACCCAGGGTGGAGTACAGTGGCATGAACACGGCTCACTGCACCCTGGACCTCCTGGGCTCAAGTGGTCCTCCTGCCTCAGTCTCCCCAGTAGCTGGGCTCACAGGCGTGCGCCACCACACCCAGCTTATTTTTAATGATTTTTTTTTTTTTTTTTTTAGAGGAAGTCTTGCTCTGTCGCCCAGGCTGGAGTGCAGTGGTGCAATGTTGGCTCACTGCAAGCTCCACTTCCCGGGTTCACACCATTCTGCCACCTCAGCCTCTCAAGGAGCTGGGACTACAGGCGCCCGCCACCACGTCTGGCTAATTTTGTTTTTGTTTTTTTTAGTAGAGATGGGGTTTCACCGTGTTAGCCAGGATGGTCTCGATCTCCTGACCTCGTGATCCACCCGCCTCAGCCTCCCAAAGTGCTGGGATTACAGGTGTGAGCCACCAGGCCCGGCCTTAATGATTTTTTTTTTTTTAGAGATGGGTCTTGCCATGTTGCCCAGGCTAGTCTCAAACTTCTAGGCTCAAGTGATCCTCCCACCTCAGCCTCCGAAAGTGTTTATTATTTTATTTAAAGGGCTTATCTGGAGTTGAAATAGCCACAAACAAAAACAAACAAACAAAAACAAGGAAAGAAAGAAAAAGAAAAAAAGCTAAAAGGCTTATTAACTGATTTATTTTGGTAAAATTTTAAGTAGTTTTCCTTCCTCTTATTCGGAATATATGTTGAATTATTATAATGAGATAACTAGATAAAAATAATTTTCTATAACATTAGATATAACCAATCTTTGTGTTGCTGTTTTGAAAAGGTCAGGTTTTGTTAGCATGGTGCTTCAGTTATTTGCGATATTTATGAAACTATCTCAAAATTCAAATGCTTGTATCTTATCTTCTAAAAGCTCAGGGAAACTAGACTGCAAACAGGGCAAAGGTTGCAGCATGAAAGTAAATATTTAGATTGCCTCTTAACTCTGCCAGGTGTAATATTCCTGTAAAATAGTGATACCGAAACCAGCTCTGGAGATGGAAAGTATAATCAGGAGGTTTGTTTTATAATAATTTTAATACCGTTGTCCCAAGTATTTGTTTCTGATAACTACTTTCCTATTTTCTTACTCAATATTTATACCTGAATCCCCATTCTCCCAGTTCTCTGAATGAGCTCTCCCATCATATATTCCTAATTTCATTCACATGTCCCACAACAGTTTCACCAAGTATGTGTTCTATTTTCTTCAGAATCTTTTGACCTAGAGGATCTGTGAATGATTCACTGAAGCACTCCCTACCCACTGCTACAAACCAAAAACACGTGTGAAACCTGTCTCTTCCATTTTCTTTCTTCCTTCCTTCCTTCTTTCCCTTACCTTCCCCTTCCTTCCTTCCTTCCTTTCTTTTTTTCTCTCTCTCTCTTTCTTTTTTTTTCTTGAGATGGAGTCTCACTCTGTCTCTCAGGCTGGAGTGCAGTGGCATGATCTTGGCTCACTGCAACCTCTGCCTCCCAGGTTCAAGCGATTCTCCTATTTCAGCCTCCCGAGTAGGTGGGATTACAGGCATCTGCCACCACACCCAGCGAATTTTTGTATTTTTAGTTGAGACCAGCGTGACCAACATGGTGAAACCCATGTTGGTCACGCTGGTCTCTAACTCCTGACTTCAGGTGATCCATCCACCTCGGCCTCCCAAAGTGCTGGGATTACAGGCATGAGCCACTGCGCCCAGCTGTTTCTGCCATTTTCTACCCAATTTATGGACACCCAGGTTTGGAGTACAGAGGACAAGTACCAAGCACAAGGCTTGGGTACTGGGTACCCAGAAAACACAGCTGCAGGTCTCAAAGGAGTCTTGGCCTTGTTGCTTGACTTCTATACTTTTAATTTTTTTGTGACCTACTATACTTATCTGGCCAGCCCAACCAGCAGTCCAACAGTAACATCTGTTGACCTAAACTCCACCATCATTAAGCCCCCTATCAGATTATATTATTTTTGTATCCAAAGATAATTTAGCTGAGATTATTTTCTGGCATATATTTTTACAACTCTTCTGATGAACAAACAGATGGATTTAGCCAAGTTCAAAACTAAATCAAATTCAAAATATATAAAGAACTCCTACAACTGAACAACAAAACGACCACAACCCAATTTAAAAATGGGCAATGACCAGCCGGGCATGGTGGCTCATGCCTATAAATCACAGCACTTTGGGAGGCCGAGGCGGGTGGATCACGAGGTCAGGAGATCGAGACCATCCTGGCTAACACGGTGAAACCCCATCTCTACCAAAAATACAAAAAATTAGCCGGGCATCGTGGCACACACCTGTAGGCCCAGCTACTCGGGAGGCTGAGGCAGGAAAATCATTTGAACCCGGGAGGCGGAGGTTGCAGTGAGCCGAGATCGTGCCACTGCACTCCAGCCTGGGTGACAGAGTGAGGCTCCACCTCAAAAAAAAAAAAAAGGGCAATGGATTTGAATGGCCATTTTTCAAGGAAGATGTACACATGGCCAGTAAGTACGTGAAAAAAATGCTGAACATCACTAATCATTAAGGAAATTCAAACCATAATGAGATACCACTTCACATCTATTAGGATGGCTATTTATTTATTTATTTATTGAGACAGTCTTGCTCTGTCGCCCAGGCTGAAGTGCTGTGGCGCAATCTAGGCTCACTGCAACCTTTGCCTCCCAGGTTCAAGTGATTCTCCTGCCTCAGCCTCCTGAGTAGCTGGGATTACAGGCATGCACCACCATGCCCAGCTAATTTAGTATTTTTAGTAGAGACGAGGTTTCACCGTGTTGGCCAGGCTGGTGTCAAACTCCTGACCTCAAGTGATCCGCGTACCTCGGCCTCCCAAAGTGTTGGGATTACAGGTGTGAGCCACTGTGCCTGGCAGTATGGCTATTTATTAAAAGAGAGAAAGAGAAAATAACAAGTGTTGGCAAGGATGTGGAGAAATTGAAACCCGCATGCATTGCTGGTGGGAATGTCACAAAGAGGAAGAGGAATTTCTACAGTACAGTCATTCAGTACCAATTTCTCCTCTTGAGAATAGGCAGAAATCAAGGAACTGTAGGGAAACAGTGACTCTCTGAAATTGACTCATGAGTTACTCATGGACATTTGGCACATTGACATCAAACACCTACCATAATGTTGTTCTTACAGTATGTAATCTCTCATATTC
Source organism: Homo sapiens (assembly GCF_000001405.40). Lineage (NCBI taxonomy): Eukaryota > Metazoa > Chordata > Mammalia > Primates > Hominidae > Homo > Homo sapiens. The sequence continues at coordinate 116,961 of NW_025791777.1, read as the reverse complement.
TCTAATTTCAAACCCTTAGCCCTGAGGGTTTCTTTCTTTCTTTTTTTTTTTTTCTGAGATGGAGTTTTGCTCTGTCACCCAGGCTGGAGTGCAGTGGCGCGATCTCGGCTCACTGCAAGTTCCACCTCCTGGGTTCACGCCATTCTACTGCCTCAGCCTCCTGAGTAGCTGGGACTACAGGCGCCTGCCACCACGCCTGGCTAATTTTTATTTTTTTTTTTGTATTTTCAGTAGAGACGGGGTTTCACTGTGTTAGCCAGGATGGTCTCGATCTGCTGACCTTGTCATCTGCCCACCTCGGCCTCCCAAAGTGCTCGGATTGCAGGCGTGAGCCACCGCGCCCGGCCAACCCTGAGGGTTTCTAAGAAAATCCTGGATATCACTATAAACTCTAAGAACAGTGGCCGACTGTTTTCACCACATTGCTGCATCTGGGCAGCTATATCACATGGCAGGCACCTTCCAAATACTTGGGAAGCTAGTTCTGAGTAACTTTGTCTTTTAACTTGGCTTTGCCCTTCAGCAATAGCAATCCGCAGAGTACCCTTGAATATTAACACTGGCAGGCTTACTGGTCACAAACAAGATTTAAATTGGGAAGGGCTACTATTGTTCACACATTAACTAACAGCATTTTCCCCACGTGTCATACATCCTTCAGCCTCCTGCCCTATACACAAAGGGAATTCATAGGCATGAATGCAATTATGTTGAATAAAAGCATTTAAACAGGTATAAATCAGGCCCATTCACTTGCAGACTTTTTGTTTTAGAACCACTCATAGGGGAAAAGGGGACGAAATGGTTATATCTACCATCTTAGATGTGGGGTTTGGCTTCAAGTCATACACACACACACACACACACACACACAGGCTTGGGTTTCAAATATGGCTCATGAAGCCAATAGTTGTAAGATTTTTGTTTCTCCAGAACTTTGTAAATGTTTTCCAAAGATCACTAGAACACTACAGGCAGTTCCCAATTTATGAAAGCATTGTATTCTTAAATTTACATTTTTTTGGCCAGGCGCGGTGGCTCACGCCTGTAATCCCAGCACTTTGGGAGGCTGAGGTGAGTGGATGACCTGAGGTCAGGAGTTCGACAACAGCCTGGCCAACATGGTGAAACCTCATCTCTACTAAAAATACAAAAATTATCCAGGTGTGGTGGCTCACACCTGTAATCTCAGCTACTCAGGAGGCTGAGGCAGGAGAATCACTTGAACGCAGGAGGCAGAGGTTGCAGTGGGCCGAGATCACACTACTGCACTCCAGCCCAGGCGAGGGAGTGAGACAGTGTCTCAAAACAACAACAACAACAACAACAACATTACTTAAAAAAAAACTGTGAACATACTTTTGTTCAAACATGTATACAGTATAATTGTTAGAAATTGAGGGCCAAGCACGGTGGCTCACGCCTGTAATCCCAGCACTTGGGAGGCCAAGGCGGGCAGATCTGGAGGTCAGGACTTCGAGACCAGCCTGGCCAACATAGTGAAACCCCGTCTCTACTAAAAATACAAAAAATTAGCCGGGCATGGTGGCAGGCGCCTGTAATCCCAGCTACTCGGGAGGCTGAGGCAGGAGAATCGCTTGAACCTGGGAGGCAGAGGTTGTAGTGAACTGAGATCGTACCATTGCACTCCAGCCCTGGCAACAGTGCAAAACTCCGTCTCAAAAAAAAAAAAAAAATTTGAGATATACCAGCCTGGGCAACATGGAAACCCCATCTCTTAAAAAAAAAAATTAGCTGGGCGTGGTAGCTTGCTCCTGTGGTCCCAGCTGCCCAGCTGCTCCGGAGTCTGAGGCTGGAGGGCTGCTTGAGCCTGGAAAGCAGAGGTTGCAGTGAGTTGAGATCACATCACTGCACTCCAGCTTGGGAGACAGAGCAAGACCCTGTCCAGGCGCAGTGGTTCACACTTGTAATCCCAGCACTTTGGGAGGCCGAGGTGGGTGGATCACTTGAGGCTAGGAATTCGAGATCAGCCTGACCAACATGGTGAAACCCCGTCACTACTAAAAATACAAAAATTAGCTGGGCGTGGTGGCTCACACCTGTGATCCCACCTACTCGGGAGGCTGAGGCAGGAGAGTCACTTGAACTCTGGAGGTGGAGGTTGCAGTGAGGCGAGATTGCGCCACTGCACTCCAGCCTGGGCAACAGAGAGAGACTCCGTCTTAAAAAAGAAAAAAAATTGAGGTAAAATACATGTATAATATATGTACAGTAAAAGGCACCAATTTTAAATGCTTAGCTTGATGGATTTTTAAATATGTATATATCCTGGTAAGCAACGAACCAGATGAAGGTATAGTACCCAGAAAGCTCCCTCATGCTCCTTCCCAGCCAATAAACCTCTCTCACAGGTAACCCCTATTCTGAATTCTATCATCAGAGGTTGGAGTTTCAAAATAACTTTCTTTTTTTTTTTTTTTTCCGAGACTGAGTCTTGCTCTGTTGCCCAGGTTGAAGTGTGGTGGCGCGATCTCGGCTCACTACAAGCTCCGCCTCCCGGGTTCACGCCATTCTCCTGCCTCAGCCTCCCGAGTAGCTGGGACTACAAGTGCCCGCAACCAAGCCCAGCTAAATTTTTTGTATTTTTAGTGGAGACGCGGTTTCACCATGTTAGCCAGAACAGTCTCGATCTCCTGACCTCTTGATCCGCCTGCCTCAGCCTCCCAAAGTACTGGGATTACAGGCGTGAGTCACCGCACCTGGCCTCTCTTCTTTCTTTCCTTCCTTCCTTCCTTTCTCTCTCTCTCTCTTCCCTTCCTTCCTTCTTTTCTTCTTTTTCTTTCTTCTTTCTTTTCTTCTTTCTCTTTCTTTTCTCTTTCCCTCCCTCCCTCCCTTCCTCTCTCTCTCCTTCCTTCTTTCTCTTTCTTCTTTCTCTTTCCCCCTCCCCTCCCCTCCCCTCCCCTCCCCTCCCTTCCCTTCCCTTCCTTCTGCAGAGTCTTACTCTGTCACCCAGGCTGCAGTGCAGTGGCATGGTCTCAGCTAACTGCAACCTCCACCTCCTGGGGTCAAGCAATTCTCATGCCTCAACCTCTCGAGTAGCTGAGATTACAGGCGTGCACCACCACACCAGGCTAATTTTTGTACTTTTTTTTTTTTTTTTCTGAGACAGAGTCTTGCTCTGTCGCCCAGGCTGGGGTGCAGTGGCACGATCTCAGCTCACTGCAACCTCCACCTCTGAGGTTCAAGCGGTTCTCGTGCCTCAGCCTCCCGGGACTACCTCCAGGGACTACAGTGTGCGACAACACGCCCAGCTAATTTTTGTATTTTCAGCAGAGAAGGGTTTTTGCCATGTTGGCCAGGCTGTTCTCAAACTCCTGGCTTCAAGTGATCCACCCACATCAGCCTCCTAAAGGGCTGGGGTTACTGGCATGAGCCACCACCCCTGACCTAATCAATTTTCTATAATAAATATATTACCTATATACTTTTTAAAAAAGCTTTTTATAACTTTTATTATTCAAAAGAAGTCATTTTGATAGTCTATAGCCACCTTATTATTTAACACAATGAAAAGTATATTTTGAGTATCTAGCCACCAGTTATTGAGCAAGTATCTTCGTGGTGTTTTACATTATTTAATTTTCACAACAATTTCGTCAGGTGGTATTATCGCCACATCACAGTTAAGGAGGCTGATGGTTGGAGATGTTAATTTGTCAAGGCCACATAGTAAGAAATGGAGTCTTGGTTGTGATGAGCTCAGAAGTTCACCTTCTTCGCCTTCTGCGGGGCTAAACCATCCCTCCTGCCTTCTGCCTATCCCCAGTTTGTCTATTATAGGACAAGTAGTCTATTACATGCTCGAGCAGGTCTGTCATACTCTCCTTTAAAAACCCATTGAAAGCAGCCGGGCATGGTGGCTCATGCCTGTAATCCCAGCACTTTGGGAGGCCAAGGCAGGTAGATCACTTGAGGTCAGGGGTTCAAGACCAGCCTGGCCAGCATGGTGAAACCCTGTCTCTACTAAAAATACAAAAATTAGCTGGGCATGGTGGTGTGCGCCTGTAATCCCAGCTACTCAGGAGGCGGAGGCAGGAGAATTGCTTGAACTCAGGAGGTGGTGGTTGTGGTGAGCGGAGGTAGCACCACTACACTCCAGCCTGGGCAACAGAGCAAGACTCCATATCAAAACAACAACAACAATCCCAAAAAAGAAACCCATTGAAAGCATTAAAGTAGACAATTTTAAAGTGATTTTACAGCCAGGTGTGGTGGCTCATGCCTGTAATCCCAGCACTTTGGGAGGCCAAGGTGGGCAGATCACTTGAGGTCAGGAGTTCAAGATCAGCCTGGCCAACACAGCAAAATCACATCTCTATTAAAAATACATAAATTAGCTGGGCGTGGTGGTATGCGTCTGTAGTCCTCATTGCTCAGGAGGCTGAGGTGGGAGGGTCACTTGAACCCAGGAGGGGGAGGTTGCAGTGAGCCAAGATCATGCCACTGCACTCCAGCCTGGGCGACAGAGCAATACTTCATCTCAAAAATAAAATGTCTAAAGCCATTTTTGTAAAAATAAATAAATAAATAAATAAAGGTGATTATACACACCACAAAGGTCTGGGAGGGTATACTGCAAACAGTATATACTGCCAGGGAATAGAATTGGTACTGGTAGGACTTTTGTTTTCTAAGCTTTTATACTCATTATTTTTAAAAATTATAATAGTTAAAAAAAGATGGTCAGAAAAAATTGTAGACTTTTCCTGTGTTGTATCTTTCAAATGTCGGTGCATCTCAATATCAGAAACAATTTCTAGAAATATGTACTTCATTACCACCCCCAAAGTCTCTACCTGTTTCACTGATTTCAGTATCTTTAATGCTAACATATCTGGGACAATAAAAGCATTTGACATATAACTGGCATATACTTTTTTCAAGTTTTAGATATACTGACATATCCTCATATTAATTTTCAAATTAGAATACATGTTAAAATAATATGGAAGGGCTGGGTGCAGTGGTTCACACCTGTAATCCCAGCACTTTGGAAGGCTGAGGCAGGGGAATTGCTTTGGGAGGCCGAGGCGGGCAGATCACTTGAGGTCAGGAGTTCGAGAACAGCCTGGCCAACATAAGATGAAACCCTGTCTCTACTAAAAATATAGAATTTAGCTGGGTGTGGTGGTGAGTGCCTGTAATCCCAGCTACTTGGGAGGCTGAGGCAGGAGACTAGCTTGAACCCAGGAGGCAGAGGTTGCAGTGAGCCAATCACACTACTGCACTCCAGCCTGGGCGACAGAGTGAGTCTCCATCACAAAAAATAAAAGAAAAAATAATATGGAAGAAAGAAAATGTACAGGGAAGTACTTTTCCTTCTGAATCTTGTAACTTGCCAAAGGTAGCTATTACAGGCTAAACTGTGGCCTCTCAAAAAGATAACACTGAAGTTCCTAACCTCCAGTACCTCAGAACGTGACTTTACTTGGAAATAGCGTCCTAGCAAATGTAATGAGTTCACAGGAGGTCATGCTGGAGAAGGTGGGCCTCTCATCCAATATGACTGGTATGGCCAGACAGGGAGAAGGCCATGCGAGAATGGAGGATTGGAGAGATGCATCTACAAGCCAAGGAACATCAAACATGGCCAGCAAACCACCAGAAACTAGAAGAGGACTCCCCTACAGGTTTTTGAGGGAGCATGTCCCAGCTGACACCCTGCTTCCAGACTTCTAGGCTGCAGGTCTGTGAGACAACACACTTCAGTTGTTTTGAGCCACTCAGTTTGTAGTACATTGTCATGGCAGTCCTAGGAAACTAATATAGTGGCCTGGACTTTGAATTATTGCGAATAATGGGGGAAGGAGAAACAGTGAGTCACCTGAGCATCGTGACCTACGGGTTTTCAATGACTTTCCAGTTTATTTTCTGACAAGTGAAAATATTTTCAAGAACATGCACAGTGAACACAGGAATGCTAGGAAGGCAAACATAAAAGGGCACACACACACACGGCAGGTGACTGAAACTTTAATGCACCTAGGGATTGACCACAACATTTACAAATCAGTGTTACTGCATTGGTTTTTCAAAGATTAGCTACATTTATAAACTTTATTTTAAAAGTTTCACAAAGTTAAATTTCCTTAACACTTCAACAGGAATCTAACTCTTTACAGTCTATCAAAATGGTAATATTTTACCTTTTTTTTTTTTTTTTTTTTTTTTTTTAAAGCACTGGTGCTCTTCTTAAGTGAAATGTTAACACAGGGCTCAATACATAAAAGAGAAAGTGAAGTTGTTCCATTTGGGGGGTCCCATAAGGGGCCTCATGTTTCCCTAGGTGTTACCCCTTCAGACACAGCACAGCCTACAAAGCCATGGAATTAAAATATTAACAATGAATGCATAAAGATTTCACTGACAAATAAAAACCAGGGAGTGCATTCAGTGACCACAACTTTCTAAGCTTCTGCTTTTCCACATGCTTTTCTTTGGTTTTATCACTTTAGAAAACTCTTTGAACATTAATTGTCTGAATGGCAGCTATATTAGTCAGAAGCTGTAATGCTACACCTGGGAATTTATCTACATGATAGATGCTGCTGAATAAAATCCAACAAGAACGATTTTGTTTAAAAAAAAACTTTGTTAAGGCAGTCTATTGTTCATACTAACAGAAATAAAACATTTATGAATAAAGTCCAAAGCCAAGATAATTCTTAGAAAGATGAAGCATCCCTGCTGGGCACAGTGGCTCACACCTGAATCCCAGCACTTCAGAAGGCCGAGGCTGGTAGATCATCTGAGGTCAGGAGCTTGAGACCAACCTGGCCAACATAGTGAAATCCTGTCTCTACTAAAAGTACAAAAAATTAGCTGGGCATGGTGGTGGGTGCCTGTAATCCCAGCTACTTGGGAGGCAGAGGCAGGAGAATCGCTTGAACCCAGGAGGCAGAGGCTGCAGTGAGCCAAGATCATACCACTGTACTCCAGCCTGGGCAACAAGAGCGAAACTCCATCTCAAAAAAAAAAAAAAAGGGAGTTTCCAAGGAAATGCTACATTGTGGGACTGTAGCATGTATGTCCAAAGGGAATAGAAAAGCAATACCAGCTGGGCGCGGTGACTCACGCCTGTAATCCCAACACTTTGGGAGGCTGAGGCGGGTGGATCATGAGGTCAGGAGATCGAGATCATCCTGGCTAACACGGTGAAACCCCATCTCTACTAAAAATACAAAAAAATTAGCTGGGCGTGGTGGCAGGTGCCTGTAGTCCCAGCTACTCGGGAGGCTGAGGCAGGAAAATGACGTGAACTTGGGAGGCGGAGCTTGCAGTGAGCCGAGATCGCACCACTGCACTCCAGTCTGGGCAACAGAGTAAGACTCTGTCTCACAAAAAAAAAAAAAAAAAAAGCAATACCATTCATACAATTCAATGTGTCCAGGGCAGGCTGGACTATGGGGAGATGGAGAGATGTACAGTCACACTGATGAAAGACAGGGAGGCCATGTGGAACCCCAGGGGCCACAGAGCCACAGTGAAGCACCAGGCTAAGGCCATGAGTTAACACCACAAACCAGAAAGGCACCAGACACTTGGGCTTTTGGTTAAGTAGGTTGGGCTTGCTCATTAAGGACCTTTTCTTGAGACTCATTCTTTATAATTTATTCATTTCACAAACACTTCAGTAGACTTCACAAACACTAATATAGTTCCTACCATATTAGTAACTCCTTTAATCCTAACAACTCTATGAGGAAGGAACTATTATTAGCCCCATTTTACAGAAGAGGAAACAGGCACAGAGAGATTAAGCAATTTGCCCAAGATCAGGATGTCTGAAAATGTTGATCTGGGATTCAAACACCTTTCAAGGGAATAAATGACACCTTTGAAAGATGTCACCCTTTTTCCCTTAGAAAAATCCTTTAGAAATCCCCTAGGAATTTCTCTAGGAAGAGAAATTTGTCCCAGAAAAATCCTAGGAACCTGCCTGAGTAAAAAAGGAAAAAGTAGCACCAGAATTGATGGTCCACTTGCCCATCACACTGCCAGGATACGATCTCTAAAATGATGACACATTTAAATGAGATAGATGAATATGAAATTGGTCACAGATGAAAGATGAACACAGGATTTTTTCCATTCTTAGTAAAGGCCCTTAGAACATTTGAATTCGTTTAAAAATGTCTGAGTAAAATCTTTAATGTTGCATACTGGTTAAACCAATTGGAAGCTGATTTGGGAAGCGCTTGCTTCTCTACCACAGAGGCTAGCATTAAAAAGGCAGTAAATAAATAGTAAACTTGCTATTTTTTAAAAAAAGTAGTTTCCCAGCCTGACCAACATGGTGAAACCTCGTCTCTACTAAAAATACAAAAATTAGCGGGGTGTGGCAGCGCACGCCTGTAATCCCAGCTACTGGGGAGGCTAATTGCTTGAACAGGAGAATTGCTTGAACCCGGGAGGTGGAGGTTGCAGTGAGCCGAGATTGTGCCACTGCATTCCAGCCTGGGTAACAGAGCGAGACTTCATCTCAAAAAAATAAAATAAAATAAAAAAATAAAGTGGTTTCAAATAAGCGTTAAGAATAACCTTGTACATCCCAATTCATTACTTTATCATATTCTTGAATTCTTTGCTTTATGTGAGAAAGTTTATTCTTTAGGTAATCACAGCGTTCTTTTTTTTCCAGAAATGTAGGATCCTGTAAAAGAAATATAAGTATTATTTTGGCTCCTGGCTTCCTCAGTGAAAAACACAGAAACATACATTGTCACCCAGGAAATGATCATACATAGCAAAAGTCTCTACAGCAGATTCTGAACTCAGGGTAACAGTTAAGCTCTCTACATATTTTTTAAATGTACTTTTTTTTTTAGAGCAGTTTTAGGTTCACAGCAAAATCAAGCAGAAGTACAAAGTGCTAAGACACCTTTCATTTTAATATCTGATAAAGCCAGGTACAGTGGCATGTGCCTGTAGTCCCAGCAACTCAGGAGGCTGAGGTGGAAGGATTGCTTGAGCCCAGGTATTTGAGGCCAGCTTAGGCAACATGCCAAGACCCCATCTCTTTAAAAAAAAAGAAAAAGTAATAAGTATAGAAAATACTAATAAACGGTCTCTCCAGCCTTTACTGATTTTTTTTTTCTTTTTGAGACAGGGTTTCACTTTGTTGCCCAGGCTAGAGTGCAGTGGCGTACTGTCTCCCAGTGCAACCTCTGCCTCCCAGGCACAAGTGATCCTCCCACTTCAGCCTCCCAAGTAGCTGGGGCTACAGGCGTGTGCCACCACTACCGGCTAATGCTTGTATTTTTTTGTAGAGACAAGGTTTCGCCATGTTGCCCAGGCTGGTCTCAAACTCCTGGGCTCAAGCGTTCCACTCGCCTTGGCTTCCCAAAGTGCTGGGATTACAGGCCTGAGCCAGTGTCCAGCCACCTCTACTGATTTTGAGATTAAGTTAGAGTTGGAAAGATGTAAAATCAGTTCATCTTTTTGAAGGAACAGGTGGAGAATTCCTGATCAATGCTCATTTCTCTAGGTTGCTAAATCAGGACACAGCAAAATGTATTCAGAGCAGACATGAGAAGAAATGGCATCCAGCAGCCATTTTCTCTTAAAAGGAGCATCCCATGAAATACAAAAAGGAACTATTTTAGCTAACAGAATCTAGAGTCTGTAAATTATCACATATGTACTTGGATAAGAATACAGTTTGAAGAAAACTGTTTTACTCACATTCTTTTTTTTCTTAAACTCTTCATGGATTCTTGAAATTCTCTCATGTTCCTAAAAATAATACATTGTATACTTAAGTTAAAACATTTGCATTTACTCAAATCATATCTCAAAGCACACTGAGAATTAGAACAAAAAATAATTTTTACCTAAGAAAATAATGAAAACATTCACACACAAAAATTCAATTCACAGGCAAATATTTGAAGGCTTACTGTCTGCTAGGCCCAGGCGATAAAAGAGAGAAAGGGCCCTGACCACATGCAACCAGACCCAAGCCCCAGGCCCTTAGGGAGGATACATAGCTTGCCCAGGGTCATACAGCTGGCAAGTTCAGTTTCCTTACTGGTAAAATGGAAATAAAACCATAATGATCTCAAAGGGTTGTAAGAAGGTTCACTTATTTGAAATGATCCTTATAAAGTGCTTGCCACATAATAACCACATTAGCTATGATTATGTTCATCCTTTTTGGAAAGTTCTTTTTTGAGTTATTAGGTGTTGGGATTAAGAAGTTTGAGAGTATGCAACTTTTGAAAATAGCTAATATAAGGCTCCTTGTAACTTTTTTCTAAGTTTTATAATAAATACGAACTTTGTTAAGGAGTTGAACGGCCTATCCAAAGGGAACACATTACTATAGCAATGCCCTCGTTCATCCATGCAAACCTATGCATAGAGATTGTCAGACAATGCAAACCTAATAAATAAATAAATATAATAATTTACAGCGTTTTTTTTTTCATTTTAAGACAGTCTCCCTCTGTCGCCCAGGCTGGAGTACAGTGGCGTGATCTCAGCTCACTGCAACTCCCACCTCTCTGGCTCAAGCTGTTATTGAGCCTCAGCCTCCCAAGTAGCTGGAATTATAGGTGTGCATCACCATGCCCAGCTAATTTTTGTATTTTTAGTAGAGATGGAGTTTTGCCATGTTTCCCAGGCTGGTCTCGAACTCCTGGCCTCAAGTGATCCACCCACCTTGGCCTCCCAAAGTACTGGGATTACACGCATGAGCCACTGTGCCCAGCCAGTAATTTATAGTTCTAAAAGCTTGCCCTACACCTGTAATCCCAGCATTTTGGGAGGCTGAGGCGGGTGGATCACCTGAGATCAGGAGTTCAAGACCAGCCTGGCCAACATGGCGAAACCCCATCTCTACTAAAAATACAAAAATTAGCCAGGCATGGTGGCGGGCACCTGTAATCTCAGCTACTTAGGAGTTTGAGACAGTAGAATCACTTGAACCCAGGAGGCGGAGGTTGCAGTGAGCCAAGATCACGCCACTGCACTCCAGCCTGGGCAACAGAGACTCTGTCTCAAAAATAAATAAATAAATAAAAAACTAATAAAATAAAAGCTTGGCCTGAGAACTTTTTCTATCACTGACCCATATCCTTTTCCCAGTATATTTTCTTCTTTTTTTTTTTTTTTTTTTGAGACAGGGTCTTGCTCTGTTGCCCAAGCTGGAAGGCAGTGGTGTAATAGCTCACTGTAACCAAAACTTCTTGGGCTCAAGTGATCCTCCTGTCTCAGCCTCCCAAGTAGCTGGGATTATACGGCACATCACCAGGCCTGGCTAATTTTTATTTATATTTATTTTTTTTTATTTTTGAGATGGAGTCTCAATTCTGTCACCCAGGCTGGAGTGCAGTGGTGCGATCTCGGCTCACTGCAACCTTCGCCTCCTAGGTTCAAGTGATTCTCCTGCCTCAGCCTCCCGAGTAGCTGGGATTACAGGCACCTGCCACTACGCCCAGCTAATTTTTTGTATTTTCAGTAGAGATGGGGTTTCACCATGTTGGCCTGGCTGGTCTCGAACTCCTGACCTTGTGATTCACCCACCTCGGCCTCCCAAAGTGCTGGGGTTACAGGTGTGAGCCACCATGCCCGGCCGCTAACTTTTACTTTTTTGTGTGTAGATGCAGTCTTGCTATGTTGCCCAAGCTCATCTTGAACTCCTGGCTTTGAGCACTCTTCCTGCCTTGTCTCTCAAAGTGTGGGGATTACAGCCATGAGCCCCCTTGCCTGAACTATTTTAATTCTTCAATCTCTTTTACATACTGAGATCATGAGTATGTTTGTGTTTTGAATGCTTGCCAGCAGTGAAGATAAACCTGGTGATTTAATTGTAATCTGTAATAACAGATCCTGGACAAGGAATAAACTTGCTATTGGGGTTAGCACTGCTGTGCTGGAGATGCAGGCAGAGATGAGCTGTAACATCCATCTAGAGTCTGTCACTGAATTTAAGGAGTGGTGAGGACCAGAGGGATTGTTTGGGGCAATATTTCTACTTTATGGGCTCAGAAAAGTCATGTGACTATTTTTCAGTGGTGCACAACCATGTCTGTGGGAGAACCTGCCTCCAAACAGGCCCACTGGGCTTTGAAATGCCTCACATGCTTCCATGGGGACATGGTGGGAAAACGAATGAGCCTGTGGACTCCTGCCCAGGACAAAGCTCAGCCTGTGGCCAAGGAGAAGCTAACTTTTGTAATATGGTTAATATTTCTACTTTAGATAAGGACTGGAGGATACACTGATAATAATAACCGTGGGCCTGCCATTGGGTTACTTACAAGCCCTGTCTTGTTAAAAATCACAGGTAATGGCTGTTGTTGATATTGTGTGGAAACATCATGGGAAGACTTGGTCTCTCAACCTGTACTGTCATCAGGACCCTCTTGATTTCCCAACTGCAGACCATGTGCTGCAGCCCTTGTCCATTCATACAAAGCACACAAACCAGATACCACTGGGTGTTGGCTCAAAGATTACAGGTCAAGGTCAAGATTTTCTTTGTTTTTTTTTTTTGAGACAGAGTCTCACTCTGTCACCCAGGCTGGAGTGCAATGGCACAATCTCGTCTCACTGCAACCTCCGCCTCCCAGGTTCAAGCCATTCTCCTGCCTCAGCCTCCCGAGTAGCAAGGATTACAGGCGCCCACCACCATGCTCGGCTAATTTTTTGTATTTTTAGTAGGGACGGGGTTTCACTATGCTGGCCAGGCTGGTCTCGATCTCCTGACCTCATGATCCGCCTGCCTCGGCCTCCCAAAGTGCTGGGATTACAGGTGTGAGCCACCGCGCCCAGCTTTTTTTTTTTTTTTTTTTTTTTAAGACAGAGTTTCGCTCTTGTTGCCCAGGCTGGAGTGCAATGGCGCGATCTTGGCACACCAGAGCCTCCGCCTCCTGGGTCAAGCGATTCTCCTGCCTCAGCCTTCCCGAGTAGCTGGGATTACACACATGCACCACCACGTGCGGCTAATTTTGTATTTTTAGTTGGGATGGTTTCTTTTTTTTTTTTTTTGAGATGAAGTCTTGCTCTGTCGCCCAGGCTGGAGTGTAGTGGCACGATCTCAGCTCACTGCAACCTCCGACTCCCGGGTTCAAGCAATTCTCTTGTCTCTGCCTCCTGAGTAGCTGGAATTACAGGCACACACCACCATGCCTGGCTAATTTTTGTATTTTTAGTAGAGACGCGGTTTCACCTTGGCCTCCCAAAGTGCTGGGATTACAGGCATGAGCCACTGTGCCTGGCCGAGATGGGGTTTCTCCATGTTGGTCAGGCTGGTCTGGAACTCCCAACCTCAGGTGATCTGCCCGCCTCAGCCTCCCAAACTGCTAGGATTACAGGTGTGAGCCACCACACCCGGCCTTACAGGTCAGGATTTTCTTCATTATTTCTCCCAACAAGCCTGCATTTCCCAGCCTGTGCTGATCCAGATTCCTGGGGCCTCATGCCTTCCTGCACTCCTTTGACGGCCTCTGAGAGACTAGGTCACCCTTCTTAGACCTGTGGGCCTTGCTTATTTTCCAAATGGTACTGACATTCAACCTCAATATTTGCTGAATTTCTCTTGCTTCCTGGTACTGGCGTCTCTTAGCCAACACCATTCCATTGCTCCAGGATTAGGAAAATGTTACTGTAATACACATTTGGCTTAGTTAACTCATAACGATAAGTGATTTAAATGCACACTTAACAAAGAGTCTGTGATTGAAACAAAGACACCTAACTTCTCAGGTAAAAAATTTATATATATGTGTGTGTGTGTGTGTGTGTGTGTGTGTGTGTGTGTGTGTGTGTGTGTGTTCCCATACATAAATTTGACATTTAGTTTTTTTTGTTTGTTTTTTGGTTTTTTTTGGCTCTGTCGCCCAGGCTGGAGTGCAGTGGCATGATCTTGGCTCACTGCAACCTCCGCCTCCCGGGTTCACACGACTTGCCTGCCTCAGCCTCCCAAGTAGCTGGGACTGCAGGCATGTGCCACCACAGCCAGACCGACATTTAGTTTTTACAAAGCTGTGTTTTTAAAATTTAATCATACATGTAATAGATTAATACAGCCTCTTTTAAAAAGACAGAATATTACACAAATATTTATACCAGCATTATTCGTAACAGCCAATGAGTGGAAATGACTATATAGACATTTGGAAATGACCAAATGTCTATCTCTTGATAAATGGATAAACAAAATGTGGTATATCCATATAGCAGAATATTATTCCACCACAAAAAGGAATATGTATTGACTTATGCTAAAATATGGATGAACCTTGAAAACATTATGCAAAATGAAGAAGCCAGACACAAAAGATTGATATGAAATGTTCAAACTAGGCAAATCCATTCGGACAGAAAGTAGATTAGTGGTTGTCAATGGTTGGACAGAGCTGAGAATGGGAAATAACTGCTAATTCGTAAAGGGTTTCATTTTTTTTTTTTTTTTTTTTTTTTTTTGAGACAGGGTCTCACTCTGTTGCCCAGGCTGGAGTGCAGTGGCGCAATCTTGGCCCACTGCAACCTCCACCTCCTGGGTTCAAGTGATTCTCCTGCCTCAGCCTCCCAAGTAGCTGAGATTACTCAGCCTGCCAACATGCCCAACTAATTTTTGTACTTTTAGTAGAGACAGCATTTCACCATGTTGGCCAGGCTGGTCTCGAATTCCTGACCTCAAGTGATCTGCCTGCCTCAGCATCCCAAACTGCTGAGATTACAGGCATGAGCCACCACACCCAGCCAATATAGGGTTTCTTTTTGGGGTGATAAAACTGTTGTGGAATTTGAGTGGTGCTGATTGCAAAACTCTGTAACTATACTAAAATTCACTGAATTGTACACTTTAAAAGGGTGGGTTTATTATATGTGAATGAGATCTCAATTAAAAAGAGTACATCTGGGCCGGATGCAGTGGCTCATGCCTGTAATACCAGCACTTTGGGAGGCTGAGGTAGGTGGATCACCTGAGGTCAGGAGTTCGAGACCAGCCTGGCCTAAATGGGGAAACCCTGCCTCTACTAAAAATACAAAAATTAGCCGGGTGTGCACCTATAGTCCCATCTACTCAGGAAGCTGAGGCAGGAGAATCGCGTAACCTGGGAGGCAAAGGTTGCAGTGAGCCGAGATTGCACCACTGCACTCCAGTCTGGGTGACAGAGCAAGACTCCATCTCAAAAAAAAAAAAAAAAAAGAGTACATCTGATTAAAAAATGGCACAGGTGGCCAGGCACGGTGGCTCACGCCTGTAATCCCAGCACTTTGGGAGGCTAAGGCGGGTGGATCATAAGGTCAGGAGTTTGAGACCAGCCTAACCACCATGGTGAAACCCCGTCTCTACTAAAAATACAAAATTAGCTGGGCATGGTGGCGCATGCCTGAATCCCAGCTACTTGGGAGGCCGAGGTGGGAGAATCGCTTCAACCCGGGAGGCAGAGGTTGCAGTGAGCCGAGATCGCGCCATGGCACTCCAGCCTGGGCAACAAGAGCAAAACTCCATCTCAAAAAAATAAAATAAAATAAAAATTAAAAAATGGCACAGGTTATAAGGCATTCCTATTTCAATATTCCTATTTCAAAATGTGAAAAATGTGGGGGGTGCGGAAGAGCACTACGAAAAAGCTTAAGCCTCTGTAACTACCATATCTACTCCTGGTTTTCCTCTTTGTCATAATCACAGCTACCTGTCTGATGTGTGTGTCCAGCAGCTCACATTTGTAGCATATCTCATATCTGCTTGCTTTTTTTTTTTTTTTTGGAGACATGGTCTCACTCTGTCCTTCAGGCTGGAGTGTAGTGACAAAATCACAGCTCACTGCAAACTCCACCTCCTGGGTTCAGGCAATCCTTGCACCTCAGCCTCCTGCTGGGTCTACAGGTGCATGCCACCATGCCCGGCTAATTTTTATATTTTTTGTAGAGACAGGGTTTCACCATGTTGTCCAGGCTGGTCTTGCATGCCTGGGCTCAAGCGATCTGCCCACCTTGGCCTCTTAAAGTGTTGGGATTACAGGCATAAGCCACTGCGCCTGGCCATTTCTGCTCTCTACTCTTACTCAGTGGGCGCTCTGCCTTTGGGCCTGGGGTGCTAACTGCTGGGCTCTGGCTTAGCAGGGGAATGCAATGCCCCTGGTGGCTTCCCTACATTCCCTTTCTGAATAAACCTTTGTGAATTATCCTAGTTTGAATGTGCTATCTGTCTCCTTTGGGACCCTGACTGACTCAGTATCTATCTTAGGCAAATTCGTATTTTACTTAAGTAAGAAAATAAAATATGGGTAAGCACAGAGTGAAAAAAAAAAAAGAAGAAATACTGTTTAATAATTGAAGACAAAAGATATTAAGTTACATAATTTGAATTGTCATCTTGACTAGACACCTTGAGGATCTCAAATGCTTTCCTAGACACAGAAAGCAGATGTAAATGGTTATAAATTTTTTTAAAAGCCAGATTTTGGGGGCCAGGCGTGGTGGCTCCCACCTGAATCCCAGCACTTTGGGAGGCCGAGGCAGGTGGATCCCGAGGTCAGGAGATCAAGATCATCCTGGCTAACACGGTGAAACCCCATCTCTACTAAAAATACAAAAAAATTAGCTGGGCGTGGTGGCAGGCGCCTTAGTCCCAGCTACTCGGGAGGCTGAGGCAGGAGAATGGCATGAACTCGGGAGGTGGAGCTTGCAGTGAGCCAAGATCACGCCACTGCACTCCAGCCTGGGTGACAGAGTGAGATTCTAGCCTTAAAAAAAAAAAAAGCCAGATTTTATGCCAAATGCGGTGGCTCATGACTGTAATCCCAGCACTCTGGGAGGCCAAGGCAGGTGGATCACTTGAGGCCACTCTTGGCCAACATGGCAAAACCGCGTCTCCACTAAAAATAGAAAAAAATTAGCTACGTGTGGTGGCATGTGCCTGTAATCCCAGCTACTCGGGAGGCTGAGGCAGGAGAATTGCTTGAACCCAGGAGGTGGAGGTTGCAGCAAGCCAAGATTGTGCCACTGCACTCCAGCCTGGCAACAGAACAAGACTCTGTCTCACAGAAAAAAAAAAAAAAAAAAAAAAAAAAGCCAGATTTTATTCATCCTCTAGATTTCAGTGCTCCTCCTAGGCAGCTGCACATACTAACCTGTCGGCTTTCCGAATGATGTGGCAATCTGCTCATCACTGCATCCAGCTCATCAAACTTCCTCAGGACAGCCTGAACTTCTGCAGACAGCTCTTTGTACTCTGAAAACTGGTCTTGGAACACAGCTTTATAGCGTTCTCGCTCATCATCTGTCTGAATCACAGGGTATTTTCTAGGGGAAAAACATAAGCCAAAGATATAATTGTTTCACTAAAAGAAGCTGAATGGGAAATCAGCTTATCTTATTCCTTACTGATCATATTGTACCTTCAATTCAATACATTACCTCTCAGATAACAACTATTTACATACACGATTTTAAGCACAGAGTATTAACTTGGAGACAAACTGGAAAATGAAAGGACCAAATGGGGCCTCTCAACTTCTACCTTGAGGAAGAATTCAGACTGACACTCACGCCACATAGTCGGGCATCACGATAGGTTTAGGAATGTGGCCTGGGGGGATGTGTCCACTCAGTAGTTCAGGTTTCATTTTTGCTGTTCTCAGTTCCTTGAAATTAACTTCTGAGTCTCTTTGTCTGTCACCACTGGTGGCCATTTCACACTGCAGTTAGGGAGAAAAAGAGGATTTGTTAATAAACATAAGTAGAAAAAAACCCTCTGAATTCATTCTTAGAAAATGAGGAAGAAGATCAGGTGGGGTGGCTCAAACCTGTAATCCTAGCACTTTGGGAGGACAAAGCCGGAGGATCACATGAGGCCAGGAGTTCAAGACCAGCCTGGCCAACATGGCAAGACCCTGTCTCTATAAAAAGTTTAAGGCCAGGCACAGTGGCTCACGCCTGTAATCCCAGCACTTTGGGAAACCGAGGTGGGCTGACCACTTGAGATCAGGAGTTTGAAACCAGCCTGGCCAACATGGTAAAACCCCATCTCTATTAAAAATACAAAAATTAGCTGGGAGTGGTGGCGGGTGCCTATAATCCCAGCTCCTCGGGAGGCTGAGGCAGGAGAATCACTTGGGCCCAGGAGGTGGAGGTTGCAGTGAACCAAGATTGTACCACTGCACTCCAGCTTGGGAGACAGACTGAGACTCTGTTTAAAAAAAAAAAAATCTGGCAGATGCAGCGGTGTGTGTCTGTAGTCCGCTAGTAGCTACTTGGGAGGCTTGGAGGCTGAGGTGGGAGGATTGCTTGAGTCCAGGAGGTAGAGGTTACAGTGAGCTGTGATTGCATTACTGCACTCCAGCCTGGGCGATAGAGTGAGACTCTGGCTCAAAAAAAAAAAAAAAAAAAAAAAAGAAGAAGAAGAAGAAAATGGGGAGGAAGACAGGAGGAAGAAAAGTGGAAATAAGAGTTAACATTTCACATCACAATTATATGTTTTATAGTCACAAAGTTGTTCTGAACGTTTCTGTAATAGCTAAGGGAATCACATTTGGGATATGGTAATACACAGTAGGTAAAACACACTCCAGCCCCAATCGTGTACATGTCAAAGGTGGATGATGCAATGCCAAACACGCAGTCTTAAGAACTTACCTATTTAGAATTTACACCCCAACTAAACGTAAAAGAATAAAAAATGTAATTCAAAATAAATTCAAGGATAAAAATGGAACAAGGCTACTTAAATGGAAAGAGAAAGTAATGATAATGGCAATTTGGGATGATTTAATTGTAAGTAACCACTGAGTGGATTAGAAAAGGAAATGAGTTGGCCGGGCACGGTGGCTCATGCCTGTAATCTCAGCACCTTGGGAGGCCGAGGTCGGTGGATCACGAGGTCAGGTGTTCGAGACCAGCCTGGCCAGCATGGTGAAACCCTGTCTCTACTAAAAATATAAAAATTAGCCGGGCATAGTGGCGGGCGCCTGTAATCCCATCTACTTGGGAGGCTGAGGCAGGACAATGGTGTGAACCCAGGAGGCGGAGCTTGCAGTGAGCCAAGATCACGCCACTGCACTCCAGCCTGGGCAACAGAGTGAGACTCTGTCTCAAAAAAAAAAAAAAAGAAAAGAAAAGAAGTGAGGTTGAGGCCAGGTGCAGGGGCTTACACGTGTAAGCCTAACACTTTGGGAGGCTGAGGTGGGAGGTGGGAGGATCACTTGAGGCCAGGAGTTCGAGGCTGCAGGGAGCTGTGAATGGTCCACTGCACTCCAGCCTGGGCATCAGAGCAAGACCCTGTCTCTTAAAAAAAAAAAATTAAAAACAGAAGTGAGGTTCAGAGAGGTCAAGTCAATTCTCCAAGGTCACATAACTATTAAGTAGAAAAGCCACAATTAAAACCCAGAACTGGGCCAGGCAAGGTGGCTCACGCCTGTAATCTCAGCACTTTGGGAGGCCGAGGGGGGTGGATCATTTAATGTCAGGAGTTCAAGACCAGCCTGGCCAACATGGTGAAACCCTGTCTCTACTAAAAATACAAAAATTAGCCGGATGTGGTGGTGTGCGCCTGTAATCCCAGCTACTCAGGAGGCTGAGGCAGGAGAATGGCTTGAGCCCGGGAGGCGGAGGTGGCAAGGAGCTGAGATTGTGCCACTGCACTCTAGCCTGGGTGACAGAGCGAGACGCCGTCTCAAAAATAAATAAATAAATAAATAAAACCCAGAACTAGGCCACGTGCAGTAGCTCATTCCTGTAATCCTAGCACTTTGGGAGGCCAAAGCAGGAGGACTGCTTGAGCCCAGATGTTTGAGACCAGCCTGGGCAACATAGGGAGATGCTGTCTCTACAAAAAAAATTAAAAAAATATATTTTTTCTTGAGACAGAGTCTCGTTCTGTGGCCCAGGCTGGAGTGCAGTGGCACGATCTCGACTCACTGCAACCTCTGCCTCCAGGTTTAAGCAATTCTCCTGCCTCAGCCTCCTGAATAGCTGGGACTACAGGTGCACACCACCATGACTGGCTAATTTTTTGTATTTTAGTAGAGATGGGGTTTCACCATATTTCCTAGTCTGGTCTCAAACTTCTGAGCTCAGGCAATCCACCCACCTCAGCCTCCCAAAGTGCTAGGATTACAGGCATGAGCCACAGTGCCTGGCCAAAAAATAAAAAATTAACTGGGTGTGGTGGCATGCACCTGTGGTCCAGGCTACTTGGGAGTCTGAGGTGGGAGGATTACTTAAACCCAGGAGGTCAAGGCTGTAGTGAATCGTGATCATGCCACTCTACTCAGCCTGGGTGACAGAGTGAAACCCTGTCTCAAAAAACAAACAAACAAATAAATAAATAAATAACCCAGAACTATTTGGTTTATTGATACTTTTTTTTTTTTTTTTTTGATACAGAGTCTCACTGTGCCACCCAGGCTGGAGTGCAGTGGCGAGATCATATAGCTCACTGCAGCCTCGAACTCCTGGGCTCAACCTATCCTCCCTCCTTGGCCTCCCAAAGTGCTAGGGTTACAGGTGTGAGCCACGGTGCCTGACCTGGTTCATTGATACTTTAAATGAATAACATAAAGAAACCTGTTAGCTTAAATGTATATTGTTCATATCCTAAAGTTGCATGAAGTTCTAGTAGCACACTAGAAGTGAGCTTGTGATGGACAGGGCAAGCAATGCCATACTGCTACTGGAAAGTAAGATCGTGCTTGGGAACATGATTCCTCTTTGGAGCAGTAACCTCCCTCCCCTCTACTGACCCCTTAAGCCTTCGAGAAATGCTTGCTGAACTAAACTGAGAGTGGCTTGGGAGGGCCCCTACTTCACTGCAAATAAAAAACCAAACAGGATTTTAAAACCTTAATCTTCATCTTGCCAGGAAGCTTTAAAAATCCTTTGTTTCCTGATTTCCTTACCCTGAAACTGGCTTTGGTTTAATATTAGCTCATTCTAAAAACCACTAGCACTTTAACTCACCAAATAGCACACCCTTTAGATTGGATTAGGTGTGGAGGCTGCTAACCAGCCCTAGGGGAAGGTTATGAAAAGGAAAAGCTCTCCAACCATGGCTCTAGGTGGGACAGAAGCCAGATCACCTAGATGTAGAAAGCATGCCTCGCCACTTGGTCTCCCAATCTGCAAAAACATGAGCGGCGAGCAGAGTACCCCGAGGAAATGAAATTAAGCCAGGATATTTTTAGGCAACACATTTTGAAGTTAGTATTTATTCTGCTGTATTTCTTGCTGATTAGGATGCCATTTCTTCATCCTAATGAATTCCTATATACTTAGTCTTGAAAACGAATAATGGTATTAAACATTAGGGGGAGCATTTTTGGCTTTAATAAATGAATTTCTATTTCTCTTTAACTTCTGTTTTATTTTTTTTGACCCCCATATGGACACATGGTTTAACTCCTAAATGTTTAACAATCCAGATCTCATGGTGCTGAGGAAGCTGCTATGAGCTTGTTGATCCTCTGGATCTCAGCAGCAGTCCCAGCATCAATCTCAGATCTCCTGGTCAAAGCTGCTTTGGGCAGAAGGTCCATCATTAATTTGTTTTCTACATAAAATTTTTTTAAGGAAGAACTAATCATTTTTCTTACTTGCCCATCCCTAATTGTAAGACTTACCTTTTAATATAGAAAGGGAGCCTGAAGAAATCAGAATATTTCCATGTAGACATTTCATCTGCTTTAAATTTATTTTAATTACTTAATTTATTTATTTTTGAGACAGTCTCGCACTATTGCCCAGGCTGGAGTGCAGTGGTAACAATCTGGATCTCAGCTCACTACAACCTCCACCTTCCAGGTTCAAGTCATTCTCCCGCCTCAGTCTCCCAAGTAGCTGGGATTACAGGCTTGCGCCACCACACCCGGCTAATTTTTTGTATTTTTAGTAGAGATGGGATTTTGCCATGTTGCCCAGGCTGGTCTCAAACTCCTGACCTCTGGTGATCCACCCACCTTGGCTTCCAAAAATGCTGGGATTACAGGTGTGAGCCACCATGCCCGGCCTAAATTTTTTTTTATTTTTATGGTCTTAACTTTTTTTCTGCTCTTTTTGGATGAACCTTCCCGATCATCAGTTTGGAAAACTCTATTGGGAAAAAACTTTTTTTTTTTTGAGACATAGTCTCGCTCTGTCACCCAGGCTGGAGTGCAGTGGCACGATCTTTGCTCACTGCCACCTCTGCCTCCCAGTTCAAGCCACTCTCCTGCCTCAGCCTCCCGAGTAGCTGGGATTACAGGCATGCACCACCATGCCTGGCTAATTTTTGTATTTTTAGTAGAAATGGGGTTTCACCATGTTGGCCAAGCTGGTCCCAAACTCCTGGCCTCAAGAGATCCACCTGCTTTGGCTTCCCAAAGTGCTCGGATTACAGGCGTGAGCCACTGCACCTGTTCTCTATTGGGAAGAAATCTAAAACCACATATGAGACAAAGAATTAAATCTTCGTCAGGCTTTTGTGGGAAGACTGCATTAAGCTCCAGCACGGGAAAGGCCACTCTTAGACAGTACTCTTGATGACAGACATGTCAAAGGAAAGGGGAAAATGTCCCAGTGCCCCAGAGTAACATGACCGTTCTTTGCTTCCAGCAAAAACTAGTCTAAGTAATGTTATGAATATAATTATTAAACTTTTCAACTTAAAAATGGGCTGAATGAATATCTGTCAGGTTAGAAATAGAGAGAACTAAGGGAGGCTGAGGCAGGACAATTGCTTGAACCAGGAAGTCGGAGGTTGCGGTGAGCCGAGATCGTGCCACAGCACTCCAGCCTGGTGACAGAGTGAGACTCTGTCTCAAAAAAACAAACCAAAAAAAAAAAAGGAAAAGATATAGGGAGAACTAGCTATGTGTTTCAGTATGCATTTATTTCTCCAATTCTTGATTCTCTCTCCCTTTGAGTGTATAATATAATAATGCACAGGCCCCTGACCTCAAACCCATACCATCACGTTCCATGCCCACATTAGATTCCGGCTTTTCTAGCTTATAATATAAACCTGCACAGCACTTAAAGCACAGACTTCAGAATTTGTTGCTGTCTCTATGTGATCTTATATCTATTATTTCTTTTAAAAGTAGTCTTATTTGCTTTTAAAAATTATATTAATTAAAACACAAAATAAGAAGGCACCCCCTAGTATTAAACCAAACAACAGACAGGAAACTGAAGTTCAGAGAAAGTAAGCAATTTCCCCAGGATCGCAGAGCTAGTAAGTAGCTGACCTAGTACTCAAATTTAGATTGCCTGATTCTGAAGTTCACTTGCTGGCTGGGTGAGGTGGCTCACACCTGTAATCCCAGTGCTTTGGGAGGCTGAGGCAGGAGGATCACTTAAGACCAGCCCAGGCAACATAGTGAGACCTCTTCTCTACTAAAAATTATTTAAAAATTAACTGGCATGGTGGTGCATGCCTGTAGTCCCAGCTACTTGGGAGGTTAAGGTGGGAGGACTGTTTGAGCCCAGGAGTTTGCGGCTGCCCTCAGCCTGGGTGACAGACCCTTTTGAATTTTCAACCAAGTAAATATGCTCTCTTTTCAGAGAAACAAATCCAAAGACTGAATTCTCAACTCCTTGCTAAGAAATAATGTCCAGGCCGGGCGCGGTGACTCACGCCTGTAATCCCAGCACTTTGGGAGGCTAAGGCGGGTGGATCACGAGGTCAGGGGTTCGAGACCAGCCTGACCAACATGGTGAAACCCTGTCTCTACTAAAAATACAAAAATTGGCTGGGTGTGGTGGCGGGCGCCTGTAATCCCAGCTATTCAGGAGGCTGAGGCAGGAGAATTGCTTGAACCTGGGAGGCGAAGGTTGCAGTGAGCTGAGATCGCACCACTGCACTCCAGCCTGGGCGACAGAGCAAGACTCTGTCTAAAAATAATAATAATAATAATAATAATAATAATAATAATAATAA
Source organism: Homo sapiens (assembly GCF_000001405.40). Lineage (NCBI taxonomy): Eukaryota > Metazoa > Chordata > Mammalia > Primates > Hominidae > Homo > Homo sapiens. The sequence goes on along the minus strand of NW_025791777.1, from coordinate 93,068 downwards.
TGTCCAGTATCTCAAAAAATGAGGGTAAAATTTTCAATGAGGGTAAAATTATGATTATTAAAATAAATTATTACATATATGTAAATAATGATAACAGCATCTCACTGAGTCCTCTCAGCAAACTTGCGAGGTATGAATTATTATTATTGCAATCTCACAGATGAAGAAATGCAGGCATAGAAAGGTTAAATAATTTGTCTGCTGCCACACAGTTGGTAAATTGTGGAATAGAAATTCCCTGACACTACAAAATTTGGCATCTTTAAAAAAAAGTATTATTGGCCGGGCATGCTGGCTCACACCCATAATCCCAGCACTTTGGGAGGCCGAGGCGGGCGGATCACGAGGTCAGGAGATCGAGAACATCCTGACCTCGTGAAACTAGCTAACATGGTGAAACCCCGTCTCCACTAAAAATACAAAAAATTAGCCGGCCGCGGTGGTGGGCACCTGTAGTCCCAGCTACTCGGGAGGCTGAGGCAGGAGAATGGTGTGAACCTGGGAGGCGGAGCTTGCAGTGAGCCGAGATAGCGCCACTGCACTCCAGCCTGGGCGACAGAGACTCCATCTCAAAAAAAAAAAAAAGTATTATTATTATTAATTTCTTTTTTAACTGTCCTGTGAGTGTAGTAAAAAATTTGGCATCTGAAAGCAAGGTGAGAAGGATACAAAGAACAGCACAGAACTTTAAATACAAGTGAAGAAAGTTTCAGAGAATCACTTTCATTTAAAAAATAATTAAATTTCAAACATATGTTGGTTTGTTTACTTGCATAAATTTTCATCTAACAAAATTAAAAGCAGCTATAGATATGATTGTTTAATTTGGTCCTTTTAGTATCTGGAAAAAAGCTCAAAGTCCTAATATGAACTCGATGTAACAGCTACAATTTCTTTTTTTTTTTTTTAATATATATATATTTTTTTATTATACTTTAAGTTTTAGGGAACATGTGCACATTGTGCAGGTTAGTCACATATGTATACATGTGCCATGCTGGTGCGCTGCACCCACTAACTCGTCATCTAGCATTAGGTATATCTCCCAATGCTATCCCTCCCCCCTCCCCCGACCCCACCACAGTCCCCAGAGTGTGATAATCCCCTTCCTGTGTCCATGTGATCTCATTGTTCAATTCCCACCTATGAGTGAGAATATGTGGTGTTTGGTTTTTTGTTCTTGCGATAGTTTACTGAGAATGATGATTTCCAATTTCATCCATGTCCCTACAAAGGACATGAACTCATCATTTTTTATGGCTGCATGTAATAGCTACACTTTCTTTTCTTTTTTTTTTTTAAACAGTCTCACTCTGTCACCCAGGCTGGAGTGCAGTGACGTGATCTTGGCTCACTGAAACCTTCACCTCCCAGATTCAAGTGGTTCTCGTGCCTCAGCCTCCAGAGTAGCTGGGATTACAGGCGTGTGCCACCACGTGCAGGTAATTTTTGTATTTTTGGTAGAGACAGGGTTTCACCATTTTGGCCAGGCTGGTCTTGAAATTCTGGTCTCAAGTGCTCCGCCCTCCTCAGCCTCCCAAAGTGCTGGGATTACAGGTGTGAGCCACCACACCTGGCCAATAGCTACATTTCACAGATGTACGATACTACTATGTAGATAAACAGACCTAAGAGAAAAGTATTAACAAATCTAAAGCATAATATGAAGTAAACTTTATTCTTACCATTTTCCTTTTCGATGACAATGATGGCTCATTTATCTGGAACACAAAGAGTTCAAATAGTTTTTCAAAGGCATGTGAAGCTACTTTGCAAATATTTTCATCCATTTGCATTTATAGCCCAACCTCAATTTTAAGAGGTTGATCCTCTACTTGACGGGTGTTTCTCATCCTTTTTTTGCCTAGGTTTTGAAGGGCCAGTGGAGAACTGAGAAGAGGGATAACTGTAATTCCCTGTCAATCAGGGCATAGAGAGGAGTAGGGAATACGGAGATGGTGGAAACTGTTAGATAAACCACTCTGAATTACCCTCAAATTTTATTTATTCTTGCCTCCCATTACTTTGCATGATTAAAGAGTTAGGACAATTACTCTATAAAATTAATAGAAAAAAGCCCTAGGCCATTACATCTTCTAACCTTTAGGAAGTTATAGCAACGTACAGACAGGCACAACTTTCAACATCAGGTGACTGAAGTCTAATTAGGCATTATGAAAAGTCTCATAGACATAAGTTTTTGTTGAGAAAGGAAAAAGAAATAAAAGTATTATGTTGATCATTCTATTCATATAGAATTTTTAAATATTAAGATTTAATAACTTATGCAACTAGCATAAATTTATGAGGAAGTATGTGTTTCACTATCTGGATTTCATACTGATTAGAATTAACATTTTTTACTTTGTACACAGAGATGTACATTTAAGAAATAAACTGTAACTTTAAGAAACAAAAATTTAATACATGTGAAGGTTACATAAAAAAACAAAAATGTAAGAAATATGCTTAAAATGCTAAGACACATTTTTAGAAATAACTTGAATCTATGTAGAGTTCTAGCAAGATAAATTATTTTGTGACAATCAAGCTAGGCATGGTGGCTTATGCCTGTAATCCCAGCACTTTGGGAGGCTGAGGGGAGAGGATTGCTTGAGGCCAGGAGTTTGAGACCAGCCTGAGCAACATAGCAAGACCCCGTCTCTACAAAAAATTTAAAATATATATAGAGAGAGATCACATGGACACATGTCAAAGTCCTTTGTATAACATGTAGGTACTTGTTATAAAACTATTTTTTTCCATCAAGCACAGTGGCTTATACTTATAATCCCAACACTTTGGGAGGCTGAGGCAGGAGGATTGCTTGAGCCCAGAAGTTCGAGACCAGCCTGGGTAACATAGTGATACCCTGTCTCTACAAAAAATATTGAAAAATAGCCAGGTGTGGTGGTGTATGCCTGCAGTCCCAGCTACCTGGGAGGCTGAGGTGGGAAGATTGCTTGAGCCTGGGAGGTCAAAGCTGGAGTGAGCCATGATTGTGCCACCGTATTGCAGGCTGGGTGACAGAGTTAGACCCTTCCTCAAAACAAACCATCAACAACAACAACAACGACAACAAAACGATTTGTTTCCCATTCCACTAGGTGTAAAAAGAAAATCTAAGGCTGGGTGTGGTGGCTCACGCCTGTAATCCTATCACTCTGGGAGGCCAAGGCAGATGGATCACCAGAGGTCAGGAGCTCAAGATCAGCCTGGCCAACATGGCAAAACCCTGTCTCTACTAAATACAAAAATTAGCTGGGCATGGTGGCATGTGCCTGTAATCCCAGCTACTAGGGGGGCTGAGGCAGAAGGATCACTTGAACCTGGGAAGCGGAGGTTATAGTGAGCAGAGATTGTGCCACTGCACTCCAGCCTGGTGCCAGATATTGGGGGAAATTCATCCCCGATATTTCACGTAGGTTCTTTTCTATATTCCCTAAGTGTCGGCCAGTCTGAGAAATAAAGGGAAAGAGTACAAAAGAGAGAAATTTTAAAGCTGGGTGTGCAGGGGAGACATCACATGTCGGCAGGTTCCGTGATGCCCCCGAGCCATAAAACCAGCAAGTTTTTATTAGTGATTTTCAAAAGGGGAGGGAGTGTATGAATAGGGTGTGGGTCACAGAGATCACATGCTTTACAAGGTAATAAAATATCACAAGGCAAATGGAGGCAGGGCGAGATCACAGGCCACAGGACGGGGCAAAATTAAAATTGCTAATGAAGTTTCAGGCATGCATTGTCACTGATAACATCTTATCAGGAGACAGGGTTTGAGAGCAGACAACTGGTCTGACCAAAATTTATTAGGCGGGAATTTCCTCGTCCTAATAAGCCTGGGAGCACTACAGGAGACCAGGGCTTATTTCATCCCTTATCTATGATTGTAAAAGACAGCCATCCCCAAAGCGGCCATTTCAGAGGCCTACCCTCAGGGATGCATTCTCTTTCTCAGGGATGCTCCTTGCTGAGAAAAAGAATTCAGCGATATTTCTCCTATTTGCTTTTGAAAGAAGAGAAATATGGCTCTGTTCCGCCCAGCTCACAGGCAGCCAGAGTTTAAGGTTATCTCCCTTGTTCCCTGAACATTGCTGTTATCCTGTTCTTTTTTCAAGGTGCCCAGATTTCATATTGTTCAAACACACATGCTCTACAAACAATTTGTGCAGTTAACTCAATCATCACACGGTCCTGAGGCAACATACATCCTCCTCAGTTTATGAAGATGACGGGATTAAGAGATTAAAGACAGGCATAGGAAATCACAAGGGTATTGATTGGGGAAGTGATAAGTGTCCATGAAATCTTCACAATTTATGTTCAGAGACTGCAGTAAAGACAGGCATAAGAAATTATAAAAGTATTAATTTGGGGAATTAATAAATGTCCATGAAATCTTCACAATTTATGTTCTTCTGCCATGGCTTCAGCTGGTCCCTCTGTTTGGGGTCCCTGACTTCCCGCAACAGTGCCACTGCACTCTGGCAACAGAGTGAGACTCTGTCTCAAAAAAAAAAAAAAAAAGAAAGAAAAGAAAATTAAAAAAACCAAAAAACGGGCCAGGCATGGTGGCTCACACCTGTAATCCCAGCACTTTGGGATGCCAAGGCAGGTGGATTGCTTGAGTCCAGGAGTTTGAGACCAGCCTGGACAACATGGCAAATACTCATCTCTAAAGAAAAAAAAAATTAAAAAAATTTTAAAACCAAAGCGCTATTTGTTGCTATGCATCAGATTCAAGCAAAAGATTAAAAACAAAATACATATGTCAGTGTGTGCTGTTATAAGGACAGGATTTAATTTTTATTTATAGTTTTGCCCAATATATACCATGTGCAATTGTATAGTATCTAAGAAGTCTTAGGAAAAGTGGAAAAGCAAAAATTCATAATATAGTTAACTTAAAATTACAAAAAATTTTAAGGTAAATACTGAAAATTTCAGTGGCATAGGAGAGTCTACTATACACATATCCTTGGAAGAAGGCAAAATATCAACTTACTTCAGAGAATAATGTAGCCAGTGGAACATACTCTAACATTTGCTACTGTTCAACCAAAATAATTTTAGGTAGGGCTTTTATCTCATCCTTCAGTTATTATTATTTTATTCTTCTTATTGTTCTCATTATTATTTATTCTCATTATTATCCTATTAAGTTCTAGAAATATAAAAACAATGTAGGACTTCCATTCTCATTTTGGACCATACGTCTTCCTCAAATAAAGACAAATTATCAAAACCACTGGGCAAGTTTTCAGAGTATGTTCATTACAATTCAATCTCTCAATACTTAAAAAAAATCAAACATGGTTTACCACATTCTTATTTGGCTTTATTCAACTCACTGGGAGAAAGTAAATTGTAACATTTAAATGAAAAATTAGGAGCTTTTATTAAAGAATTAAGATTGTTCTCAAACTTAATGATGAGACACTTATTTTACTGAGTACACTCTTCTTCTTTGCAAAAATTCGGTAGCTGTATCTTTCCCTTAAGCTTCAGACAGACAAAATAATGCAGCCAACAAACTATATATTACACATCTGGTGTCTACTTGCAATGTTATGTAACAGCCAAACACCAGAGTGGGTTATCCCAGTCAAAGCATGTCAGATATTGCACTAGGACTTTTGAATCTCAGACCATTGAAAAAAAAAAAAAGGAAGAAAGAAAAGATTTCTATGAAAGCTTTCTGTTTTGAGCGCTATACATTTTTTAACAAGGGAGCAAATAACAGAAAAAACAAACATACACACACAAATGAGGGATTATGAAATCACTTACCTCCTGTTGTTCCATATATTCTCTATGTCTCCGAGCTGCCTCATGCCTCCATAACTTTAGGCAAACCAAAGCACTAATGAGATAAACTATCATGGTGACAAACAGGAAGATCATTGCAGCTATCTGTCCTCCTTCTACCCGGCAGAACACTGCATTCACTGGTGTATTAAATAACGGATAGTAGCAGAGGCCACCTCGGTTGGTATCATTCACATAGACTATGGCTGCGGCCATATACAAAATAAACAAGGCAACGTTAATTCCAAATTCAGTTAGGGGCCACCAATTAGAGTCCAGAAGAATGGTCCGGTAATACATGGACATGCCAAGAACCAGAATAATAATGGTGGTGATCCAAGCTAATCCAGCAACCACGAGTACAAAAGGGGTCTTAGGGCCAGTGTAGTAATAGCCCCCATACATACTGCCCAATCCACCAACGCCTCCCATGCCATACGGTTGTGAATATCCAAACAAGTTGTACCACTCACTGTCCTTGTGAATGTAAGCTGTGACACAAGCAAAGACACCGGCCCCCAAAAGCAGCTCCACCACACCCAGTATTCTCAGCAGGCCTGCCCACGACTTCATGTAGGAGTATCTCAGGTTATACTCCTCCACCTTCTCACTGTATGTTCGAACTGTTTGTGTGTGTCGGTCTAGAGATCCATAGGGATCCCGGGGAAACACTGCGTCAGCCTCTTTCCGGGAACTAAAGGTTCCTTCTGACCCTCCGTAGGGATCTTTGCAGGAGTTGAGGGGCGAACGGTGGTTTGGTCTTGCTGGAGAGGCTGGTGGTGAACACTCCACTCCATCGGAGATGTACCTGATATCAGACACCGGCTTATCCCATTCGGGGTCCTTTTTCTTCCCTCTGAAAAAGTTCTTCCAGGAGTCAGGGACAAAGCGCCTTACTGGTTTGAGATCTGGCGCTATAGCTGGTTCTTCTGTGTCACTTGAGTAGAAGTCTGGGCCGAATGGTGGCTGTAATGGGAGAGGGGGTGGTGGCAAGGGATCAGCGCTCACTGCCCGCTCACTGTCATGAAGAGTTGGGTGGGTTCTTATGGTGGTATCTTGATAGGGCAGGTCGCTTGGGACCTCATCGTAGCGCCTGTCCCGATTCCTGGATCTTCCATCATTTGACATTTGTGATTTTCACACCTGTGGCCAAATTTAAAGTTATCACTTATGATTAGTTACTTATCCTCTCAATGATGCTGATTTTATTCATGTAGTAGCAAAAAGTATTTAGGAGACCAACAGGATCATGTCTAATTATTATGATATACAAAAATGATAAATATGATACCGGGCACGGTGGCTCATGCCTGTAATCCCAGCACTTTGGGAGGCCAAGACAGACGGATCATTTCAGGTCAGGAGTTTGAGACCAGCCTGACCAACATGGTGAAACACTATCTCTACTAAAAATACAAAAACTAGCCAGGCGTTGTGGCATGCGCCTGTGATCCCAGCTACTCAGGTGGCTGAGGTATAGACCGCTTGAACCCGGGAGGCAGAGGTTGCAGTGAGTCGAGATTGCGCCACTGCACTCCAGCCTGGCTGACACAGTGAGTCTCTGTCTCTAAAAAAAAGAAAAAAAAAAAGAAATGAAAAATGATTTATAAATCTAATTTATCTGTGAGCCCTATTAAACAATAAAATAAAAAACAAAAGTGACAAAACTTTAACACAACAGAACGCGAACACACTCCCAAGTAGAGTCATTTCCTCAAACATCTAAATCAAAATACTAAGAGTTTGAGTGTAGCGAAATTTGATGGGTCAGCAAATATTCTTCATTTTCACTTGGAATAGCCTAGGAGAGGCAGTCTGTTAAAACACAGGGTATGCACAGCCCTTCCCCTTCCTAAATCAACAAAGTCATTTTAGAGGACTTGCTTCTTCCAGTCTAAAATATTAACAATTGAAACTAGATGTAAAAAAATTGAATCTCAGAGACAACATCACCAAAGGCTAAGGCTCCCCCAAGGCACAATAGAGAATGGCAGCAATGACCATTACTATTACTCTTTCGAGGGCAATTCAGGTGATTTACTGTTCCCAAGGAGAGACTCAAGTATCTCAGAAGGTATTCAATCCACCTCAAAAATAAAGCATAGAAAATGCACTTTTACTAAGCCTGTTGATTCATGAAATCAATGCTCTGCACCCATATACAGAAAGAAGGAAACCATTTGTGAATTAACTACTAGTTTTAAGGTATGCTGAATTTCTCTCTCGAATTGTTTATAAGTATTTTGTTTGAAGACTTAAAAAAATTTTTTCATTCACACCCTGCCAAGACTCATTATTGAAGACTTAAACTGGGCACATGGTATTGTACTTGATACTATGAAGGTCTCAAAATTAAAATGGATAACCCCATCTTTTTTGTTATTGTTTTATTTATTTAATATTTTTAAGACAGGGTCTCACTCTGTTTCCCAGGCCAGAGCATAGGAGCACAATCATAGCTCACTGCAGCCTCAATCTCCCTGGCTCAAGCACTCCAGCTGCCTCAGCCTCCTGAGTAGCTGGGACTACAGGTGCATGCCACCATACCCAGCTAATTCTTTTTTTTTTTTTTTTTGAGACAGAGTCTCAATCTGTTGCCCAGGCTGGAGTGCAGTGGTGCCATCTCGGCTCACTGCAAGCTCCGCCTCCCAGGTTCATGCCATTCTCCTGCCTCAGCCTCGCAAGTAGCTGGGACTACAGGTGCTCGCCACCACGCCCGGCTAATTTTTTGTATTTTTAGTAGAGATGGGGACCATGTTAGCCGGGATGATCTTGATCTCCTGACCTCATAATCCACCCGCCTCGGCCTCCCAAAGTGCTGGGATTACAGGTGTGAGCCACCACGCTCGGCCGCTAATTCTTTAAAATTTTTAGTAGACATTAAGTATCACTATGTTGCCTAGGCTGGTCTTGAACTCCTGGGCTCAAGCGATCCTCCTGCCTTGGCCACCCAAAGTGCTGGGATTACAAGCGTTAGCCACTGCACCTGGTCTGATAACCCCATCTTTATACTGTTGAACAATTTGGAAATTCCTAAGGCTTTATTTTATTTTACTTTGGAAAACGAAGACCCTTCATTTAACCTGCCTTGCACCAGGCATGCTGAAAGTATACTGGTGGACAAACCAGACTGAAATCCTTGCCTTCATGATGCTTTAACCGGGGGAGTGCCGGGCAGATTGACAGATGATAGATAAATGAAATATACAGTATGCTAAAGAACAAAGTTGAGAAAGGGGGTAAAGACTGCAATGGGGACAGGATGTTACCATCTTAAACCGAGTGGGCAGGGAAATCTTCACAGAGAAAGGGATATCTGAGTATAGAACTGAAGGTGAAGGAGGAAGCCAGGCCATTATCAGGGACAAGTGTTCAGGCAGATGGAATAGCTAGCGCAAATGCCCTGAAGCAGGAGTGCCTGGTATGTTCAAGAAATATTTAGGCATGGAAGCTACTGTGGCAGCAGCAAAGTGGGTAAGAAGGTGAATAGTAGAACTGAGGCCATCTGAATCATGTAGGGCCTTGAAAACCACTGGAAAGAAAGGACTTTGTCTTTTGCTAGGAGTGAGATGAGAAGCCACTGGAGGATTCTGAATAGAGGAGTGACATGACTTGACTTGTTTTAACAGTATCACTATGGATGCTGTGTTGAGAGTACACTCCAGAAGGCAAGAGGTAAAACAGGAAGACTGGCTAGGCCATTGAAATAATCCAATGGATCACTGAGATCTTGAGAAGAGGTCAAATGCTAGACAGGTATTTAAAATTTTTATTATAGAATTTTTCAAACATAATAAAAAGTAGAAAGAATAGCATTATGAACCCTTGTGTACCCACATCCAGCTTCTACACTTATCGATTTATGGCCAAACTTGTTTCATTTATACTCCCCATACTATTTCCTCTGCCAATAGAGTCCTCTGAAGTAAACCCCAGACATCTGATCATTTTATCTATCTATACCTCATTCTCCACCCCTCCAGCTTAGCCTTGGGGAGCAGCAGACTGAAGAGTGTTTCAGATGCGTTAAAAATCCAGGTAGAGACGTTAAGAGGGCAAGCAAGGCACACAGGGTATGTACAGACTGGAGACAAGGGAATGCGGTGGAAACCCAGGGTCTTCTAATAGGGCACTCCGACCTTAGAGGATTAACTGTGATGGCCCCAGCAGGGTGCCCAATGCAAAGCGGCTCTGTATATTATAACAATCAGTTATTTTTGTACCTTTCTCTTTCTTTCTCTAAAAAAGTGTAAGTTCTAGAAATGCTATTACGACTCTAGTTTTTGAAACACATTCCTAAGAAATGTAGAAGCAAAAGCACAACAAATGATTTTAGCAAGTTTTACACAGCATTTACAGGATACGCTATGCTTAATTCAACTCACTGGTAAAAATACGATTCACTGTAATGGATTTAACTCTTCACCTGTGAAGTGGCTTATTTGAATCAAACCACCCTATCCATTTTTAAAGAAAAAACAAGCAATTATTAAAGAGTTGTGGAAAAGCAAGATAATGTGATTTTTAGAAGGGAATGGTTAGCTGTATTTCATTACATCTTAAATATCTGGATACCCCTAATGTCTTTCAAGATGTCACTGAGAGTTCGTTCTGGTCCCGCAGGTCGCGGCAGCGTGTGTCTTTGTCCTGCTCAGGCCCCGGACCCTTACTCCACTCTTGGACACTCATCTTGGAAAGCCGCGGCAATGGCAGGAGAAATGGCTGCCCCAGCAAAGTGTCACAGGAATCATGCCTGGTCACCTTTACACAAACAGAACCACCGGTTTACCTGGCTTAAAAGTTTTGCTGGACCCAAGAAACGGGTAGATTTCGGATACTTCTGCGCTTCCGAGGGGTCGGGAAAGGCTCTGCGGTTCTAACTAACCCACGACTGCCCGGGGGTACCGAGCATTTTAGCTGTGGGGTCTCCCCCGCGCCAGCCTCTGGGCGCCCGGTCCCACAAATCTCATTGTGTCCTCGGTTCTGCCCGCGCCGGCTAGGCGTTCGTCTTCGCGTTTCTGGCTGAAACCCACTGTCTTTGGAGATTCCGACCCAACGAGGCCGAAACTAAGCCGGGAGACCTCCCAGGTAAGGAGCACCGAGATCGCCCCGAGGTGCGCGCCCCGCCCCGCGCCCGGAAGGACGGCGGCTCGGCCGCACCTGCGTCCGCAGAGCGAAACCTGGCGGGACGCGGGCCTCCCCGGATCCCTGGCTCCGGCCTCCCCCGCGGGCTATGGCAGGCTGAGCGCCGAGCGCGGGCAGCCGTCCGTCGCAGCACACCTGGGCCGGGGGCCGCCGGGCCCTCCTCTCCCGGTCACGTGGCCCCACCCCGGTCCCACTTACCTGCGCAGCCGCCAGGAAGAGCGCGCACGCTGCCCAGGACTCTGAAACCGGTATCGGGCTCCCGGGGTGGGGGCGGGGCCGGGACGGGACGAGCCCAGCTTTCCCCGCCCGGCTTTGCCCCGCCCGGATCTGTCGGCCCGACAACCGCTCTGGGCCCAGGCTGCTCGGTGCCACCAGCCGGCACGTCGCGGCAATGACCACACACTGGGCTCTTTTGGAAAGAGTTTACAGTTCTCATCGCAACGTTGCCATCCTCTTCCCTATCTTTTGAAAAGTTTGACACTGGGGGAGGGAGATTGGTGCACTGTGCTTAAGGACCCATGGCAGAGAGTGCGTGCTAGATAATGTTAAAAGACAGGAGAAACAAAATTAAATTCAACATTTTAATTGTGATATAACTTATGTAAATACTTTCCAAAAAGTATCTAAGATATTCCACTGTACAACACATCAAAACTATCTGAGAAGCGGGAGACAATAAAGTGTAAATAAGGCACACAGTTTACACTCGTAATTGCATCCTAAACTGTTGAATAGTTGATATTTACAACCCCCCAATAACGTTTTTGCATCCTGAATTAGTCCTTCACATCTTGATATTTGGCATAATGTTCAAACACACTTTATACACACTGACCGCTCCTTAAACCACTCACAGATTTAATAAATACCGAAAAAATTAAGAGATTTGAAGGCTTGATCTTCTATTTACTTCAAGATGACAGAAGAGTAGGTTTCTTGTGATGAAATACTACAAGAATGAAGAATTAACAAACTGTTGTGTAATTCATCAGAAAAGCATATTAACTCTGCTGAAGTACCACTGAATGAAACAAAAATGAAGCTGTGAAGTAGCAATCTGATTAGCAGGCTGGCTTCTATGTCCCATCACTCTCGTAGTCTTCTATTATTATGTTTTCTTCCATGTCTCCTTGGGCTGAAAAGGGCTGGGGCTGGCTAGCAGGCAGTTCACTGGCACTATTCTGACTCAAAGGAAGAGACCAGGTTTCCGGCACAGTGGCTTGAGTGGGTTCACCCAGAGATTCCTCTGCAGAATGTCCTCCATTAAGCTGGGCTTCATCTCCGCTGTCAGGGTCTATCATTCCATGTTCCCTGTCAGTCAGGGCTTCCATTTTCAATCTGTCAGATTCACAGTGCAGGCATTAATAAGAACCAAAGGAGAAGATTTTTAAATTACACCATGAGTGTGATGATTATGAAGCCATCTTTCATTTACCTACATTGTGCTGTTTAGCTAGTCCCTTTAACTATAAAAACAAAACTACAAGGTAAATGACAAACTGAATAAGTTCCTACAACTTAAAATACAAAAAGGAGCTGAACACGGTGGCTCATGCCTGTACTATCTGCACTGTGGGAGGCCAAGGCAGGCAGATCACTTGAGGCCAGGAGTTCAAGACCAGCCTGGCCAACATGGCAAAAACCCATCTCTATTGAAAATAGAAAAATTAGCCAGGCGTGGTGGCACGCATCTGTAATCCCAGCTACTCAGGAGGCTGAGGCAGGAGAATTGTTTGAACCCAGGAGGCAGAAGCTGCAGTGAGCCAAGCTCGTGCCACTGAACTCCAGCCTGTACGACAGAGCAAGACTCTGTCTCCAAACAAAAAACAAACAAACAAAAAAACCAAACCAAACCACAACAACAAAAACACCTAAAAATAAAAAGAAATAATGTCTTCAGTAAAGAATTTTTCTTTTTTCTTTTTTTTCATTGAGACTGTCTTTCTCTATCGCCCAGGCAGGAGTGCAGTGGTGCAATCTCAGTTTACTGCAACCTCTGCCTCCCAGGTTCAAGCGATTCTCCTGCCTCAGCCTCCCAAGTAGCTGGGATTACAGGCACATGCCATCATGCCCAACTAATTTGTATTTTTAGTAGAGATGGGGTTTCACCATGTTGGCCAGGGTAATCTTGAACTCCCGAACTCAGGTGATCCATCTGCCTCCGCCTCCCAAAGTGCGGGGATTACAAGTGTGAGCCACCACACCCAGCCTTCAGTAAAGAATTTTTACAAATTAAAAAGGAAAAAATGAAATAGAAAAATGGGCACAAACATGGACAACTTATAAAACAAATACAAATGGTTCCTAAATTGTTAAATCTAATTTGTAATTTTAAAAATGAAAATTAACATAATGAGCTACTACTGTCATCTTTTTTTTTTTTGAGACAGTCTTGCTCTGTCACCCAGGCTACAGGGCAGTAGCACGATCTTGGCTCACTGCAACCTCCACTTCAGGTTCAAGCGATTCTCCTGTCTCAGCCTCTGGAGTAGCAGGGATTACACGCGGGCACCACCACACCCAGCTAGTTTTTGTATTTTTAGCAGAGATAGGGTTTCACCATGTTGGCCAGGCTGGTCTCGAGCTCCTGACCTTAGATGATCCACCCACCTCAGCCTCCCAAAGTGCTGGGATTACAAGCATGAGCCACTGCGCCTGGCCTATTACTGTCATCTTCTAAACTGGCAAAGATACTTTTAAAACCCAGTGGTGGCAAGGGTTAGGAGAAAAGAACATACTGATACACTGTAAGTGGATACAAAACTGGCAAAATATTCTTGCCAACAATTTGGCAATAAAGAGGAAAAGCCCCAAAAGGTATATACCTATTGATCCAGCAATTTCATTTGTAGGAATTCACCCTAAGTAAATAGTATTTGAAGTGCATGATGACTTATCTATAAGGCTGGGATAGTAAAAGCTGAAAAAAAGCTAAATGGGCAAAAATAACGTGTAGGTTGAATTACAGGAAATTAAACACCTATTAAATATTAAGTATTAATATTTAATACTAAATACTAAACATATGAACAATGGTTTTAAATATGGTCAACATAAATAAAAGATAGTACCAGTCATTGTAATATATAGCACTGAAAATACTGCCTCTCGTGGCCAGGCGTGGTGGCTCACGCCTGTAATCCCAGCACTTTGGGAGGCCGAAGTGGGCGGATCACGAGGTCAGGAGATCAAGACCATCCTGGCTAACACAGTGAAACCCTGTCTCTACTAAAAATACAAAAAATTAGCTGGGCGTGGTGGCGGGCGCCTGTAGTCCCAGCTACTCGGCAGGCTGAGGCAGGAGAATGGTGTGAGCCCAGAAGGTGGAGCTTGCAGTGAGCCGAGATCGTGCTACTGCACTCCAGCCTGGGCGATAAAGCTAGACTCCGTCTACAAAAAAAAAAGAAAAGAAAATACTGCCTCTCAAGTCACATCAAGTAGGTAGTTGAACCAATAATAAAATAGTGAAGATTCTCATTCAATTTAGCCTTGTGTAAATTGCAGCAACTCAATACATCTCAGGAGCAAAAATACAATAGAACATACTTGTCTTTATTTTGATGCCATAATCTTAGGGGGTTGGGGAGAGAAGCCATCAAAGAGACTTGGTCCTGCTTTCATTCAGAGGGATGTGAGAAGAAAAGCAGTGTTTATGAAATGTGTAAGCCCTGATCACATCCCAGTGGGACGATGCTTCAAGATCCATCCATCATGGTCTTTCTGGGATAGGAAAGATGGGCCCCACATAGCTAAGCCAGTATACAGAAAAAAACATTAACACTACAAAGGCCTTAATGAATCTTGGAGGGTAAAGAGGGGGAAAAAGCTCACATCACAGGAGTTTTCCATTTGGGACCAGAAATAGGAGAAAAGGTAGGAGGAGTCAGAGGTGCCATTTCTATCACTTACTTTTGTCCATGCATTCAGTAAGCAAGATTTTTTTAAATCTTTTTTTTGAGATGGAGTTTTGCTTTTGTTGCCCAGGCTGGGGTGCAATGGTGTGATCTTGGCTCACTGCAACCTCCACCTCCTGGGTTGAAGCGATTCTCCTGCCTCAGCCTCCTGAGTAGCTGGGATTACAGGCATGTGCCACCACACCCAGCTAAATTTTGTATTTTTAGTAGAGACACGGTTTCACCATGTTGTCCAGGCTGGTCTTGAACTCCTTATCTCAGGTGATCCACCTGCCTCGGGCTCCCAAAGTGCTGGGATTACAAGCATAAGCCACCACGCCCGGCCATTTTTAAAATCTTTAAACAATTCCTAAGTGCTTAATTCGATCTTACAAATAAGCTAAGTCAAACTGAAATATAAGTTTTGTGTTAATCACTGATAATGGCACAGAAGCTACTTTCCAATAAAATGAACAATATATATATATATATATATATATATATATATATATATGGACAGATAGACATCTATTTTTTGCTTGTTTAAATTTTCTAAAATAAGAAAATATGAAGGACTCTTCTACTTTCTGAGGCAGTTCCTAGTCACTGCAGGTCTTCAAGCATAGGCTAAGAACATCTCTCAACAGGAAAGCTGGCAAGGGGTTTCTAGATTTGTTGAGTTGGAGGATTTTAAAGATTCCTCTGCCTTTGTGATTCCATGCTTCCATTTAATCTGGTATAGTCCATTGGGAGTGGGTGAAGATATGCTGTTATATTTAAGAAAAGGAAGGGTCTACAATACAATTATGTTTATAAATTACTAGGTACAGTATGTCTTTCTTGGATGTTACAGGTAACAGTTATTGATTCATATTGAACATATTCAGTAGACATTTCATTATCAGCTTTTTGGAAATTGAGATGATCAGCTTACCTTCCAAAGTGTCGCTTCAGAGGGAGCCTTCCAATATCTTGGATAAAAGAAATCTGAGCTGAAACAGATTTTTTAAAAGTTGTAAACAATTTTCCAAAGAAAATATACAAATGGCCAATAAGCACATGAAAAGATGCTGAACATCACTAATCTTTAGAGAAATGCAAATCCAAGCCATAGTGAGATACCAATTCACATCTATTAGGATGACTGTTACAAAAAACCAGAAAACAAGAAGTGTGGGTAAGGATGTGGAGAAGCTGGAACCCTTGTGCATTGCTCATGGGAATGTAAAATGGTGTAGCTGCTGTGGAAAACAGTATAGTGCATCCTCAAAAAATTAAAAATGGAATTATTGTATGATCTAACAATTCCACTTCTGGGTATATACCCAAAATAATTAAAAACAGAGTCTCAAAAAGATATTTGTATGCCCATGTTCATATCAGCATCAACAATAATCAATGGGTGGAAGCAACCCAAGTGTCCATCAACAGATGAATGGATAACCAAATATGGTATATACATCTCATGGAATATTACTCAGCTTTAAAAAGGACACATGCTCCAACACAAATGAACTGCGATGACATCATTCTAAGTGCAACTAGTCACAAAAGAACAAATATTGTATGATTCCACCTATATGAAGTATTTAGAGTCATAAATTCATAGAGACAGAAAGTAGAATGGTGGCTGCCAGGGGGAAGGGAAAATGGGGAATTAATGCTAATAGTTATAGAATTTCAGTTTTGCAAGAAGCAAAAGTTTCGGAAACTGGTTGCAGAACAAGGTGGATATACTTAACACTACTGCACTGTAGAATTCAAAATGGTTAAGATGATAAACTTTATGCTTTGTATACTTTATCACAATTAAAAATGCAAAAAGAAAAAGAATGACATAGTAAACTTTCAGGATGACAGCATAAGCTCTTGTGTACCCACTCCCAAAGATAAGCAAAATCGGTGAAAACTTTTAAAAATCAATCATTTGAAGTCTCTGGAAATTGTCCTAATAGCATACAGCAAATGAGAAAAGATCTATTCAAGAAAACCAAACAGGAAGAATCTGAGGCATCTGAGCCACTATCTCCTCCCTCCCATTCCCAACCCTGAGCTGAGAGGGCTCAGCTTGATGAACATTTCATTCCAGGTGGGTACAGCCAAGAACAAAGGACTCCTTCCTACTGGAGTGCAGCAGGGTGTTTGGGGCTTCCTTTCCCCACCCGGCCCTACTCATAGGATAAGAGGTTCTAACCCAAAGGCACTGTCCCCTGTCCCAGCTGCAGTCTCCCTTACCCCAGCTTGTTACATAGCAGAGGGTCCACACTGGGAGAGGCAAGCCAAAATAATCAGAGGCTACCTCTGCAGCTGGGCACCCACCCAGAATAAGTGGCTTAGAGATTTTGCCCAGAGGAGAGGCAGTCCGTAGGAAAAAGCTCCGAAGCCTTCCCCAAAGGAACTCACTTTATTTGAAACATAGTGTGGGGAAGTTCAAGCCTAAAGGGCACCCTGGAAACCAGCTCCTCTTAAATAAGAACAAGCTAAACATAAGCCAACTAGTTCATAAGAAACCAGGGAAAGAGACAACTAAGAAGGGCCCTCCTGGTTTCAGAACAACCCTCAGAAACTGGCTTGAAAGCCTACACCTGCCCAAATTAAATTGGATCAGCCTGTGGAGAAATTTTTGTCCTAGAGCACTGCTGAAAACAGAGCAATTAGATAGTAATTAGGGAGTAGTCAGGCACAGTGGCTCACGTCTGTAATCCCAGCACTTTGGGAGGCCAAGGTGGGTGGATCACTTGAGGTCAGGAGTTCAAGACCAACCTGGCTAACATGGTGAAACGCCATCTCTACTAAAAATAGAAAAATTAGCTGGGGATGGTGGCACATGCCTGTAGTCCCAGCTACTCAGGAGGCTGAAGCATAAGAATTGCTTGAGCCCAGGAGGCGGAGGTTGCAGTCAGCCATCGTACCACTGCACTCCAGTCTGGGTGACAGAGCGAGACTCTTTCCTCAAAAAAAAAAAAAAAAAAAAAAAAAGTAATTAGGGTAGCCAACAGTGTGATAACAAAGGAAGCAAAGAGCTATACAGACATATCAGGGAAAGAGACAAAGTGAGCTCTGCTAAAACCACCATCATCCCAAGTAAACTGTGGGCACAGCCAAGGATGAGCTCTCTGAAGAGGGAGGAAGGCTTCATGTTGCAAAAGACAGACTTCATTACATGAGTTTAGCCAAGTCACTAAACAAATAAACAAGCACACAACAATAAAAACAAGCCCCAGAGGAGGAGAATCAATATTCTCCAAAATTGCTACAATATATTCCCTAAAACATCTAGTTTTCAACAAAAAATTATGACTGTAAAGAAACAGGAAAGTGTGACCTACACACAAGAAAAAGGTGGGTAAAAGAAACTGCCTTTGCGAGGGCTCACACATTAAATTTAACAGAAAAAGACTTCAGATAAACCATTATAAATATTTTCAAAGTAGAAAAGGAAATCATGCTCAAAGTAGTAAACAAAGCTGTAATGACAATGTCTCATGAAAAAGAGCATCAACAAAAAGACAAAAATTATAAAAAGAACCAAATGAAAATTCTGCAGTCAAAAGGTACAATAACTAAAATGAAAAATTCACTAAAGGGGCTCAACAGTAGATTTGAACCAGAAGTATCATCAAACTTGGACATAGGCCAGGCGTGGTAGCTCATGCTTGTAATCCCAGCACTTTGGGAGGCCGAGGCAGGCAGATCACCTGAGGTCAGGAGTTCAAGGCCAGCCTGGCCAACATGGCGAAACCCCGCCGGGCATAGCGGCACATGCCTGTATTCCCAGCTACTCAGGGGGTTGAGGCAGGAGAATTGCTTGAACTCAGGAGGTGGAGATTGCAGTGAGCTGAGATGGTGCTACCGCACTCCAGCCTGGACAACAGAGGGCGACTCTGTCTCCAAAAAAAAAAAAAAAAAAAAAAAAAAAAAAAAAAAACTTGGACATAGATTGACATATAGAAGACAGAAGAAATATAAACAAAATCTCAGAAAAATGTGGAACACTTTCAAGTGAACATACCCTAATGAAAGACTAGAAGGACAGAAAGCAGCAGAAAAATATTTAAAGAAATAATGGCTGAAAATGACATAGTAAATAAAAGCGGAAGAAACAGTATAAAAATTGATAAGAAAAACCAAAACATCTTACTTTTACTAATTTTTATGAACCTTTTAAAGTTTGCACATCTAACACTATGAGGACCTTTGGATACTTAACCTGTTAAAAATTCTACTACACAGGCCGAAGCAGGCGGATCACCTGAGGTTAGGAGTTTGAGACCAGACTGGCCAACATAGTAAAACCCCATCTTTACTAAAAATACAAAAATTAGCTGGGTGTGGTGGTATGCGCCTGTAATTCAAGCTACTCAGGAGGCTGAGGTAGGAGAATCGCTTGAACCTGGGAATTGGAGGTTGCAGTGAGCCAAGATGGTGCCACTGCACTGCAGCCTGGGAGATACAGCAAGACTCCATCTCAAAAAAAAAAAAAAAAAAAAATCTACTACAAACAGAGTTATTTTAATTAACAAACAAAATTGTATATATTTACTGTGGGCAACATATTGTTTTAATATATATATAGTAGAATGACTATAGCTAATTAACATATATATTACCTCACAGAGTTATTATTTTTGTGGCAAAGACACTTTACATTCACTCTCAGCATTTTTCAAGAATACAATATATTGGTTCGGTGTGGTAGCTCACACCTGTAGTCCCAGCACTTTGGGAGGCTGAGGTGGGAGGATTGCTTGAACCCAGGAGTTCAAGACCAGCCTGTGCAACATGGCAAAACCCCATCCTTACAAAAAAAAAATACAAAAATTAGCCAAGTGTGGTGGTGCGCACCTGTGGTTACCAGCTACTCAGTAGGCTGAGGTAGGAGGATCACTTGGGCCAAGGAGGTTTAGGCTGCAGTGAGCCGTGATCATACCACCACAATCCAGCTTGGGTGACAAGAGTGATACTCTGACTCAAAAAAAGAAACAAAACCACACACACACACAAAATACTATTAATTATAGTCACCATGTTGTAAAATAGAATTCTTGAATTTATTCCTCCTACATAACAAAATTTTGTATTCTTTGATCAACAACTCCCCTACCACCCAAGCCCATGGTAATCCCATTCTGTGCTCTACTATTATGAGATCAACTTTTTTAGCTCCTATATAAGTGAGAATATGCAATACTTGTCTTTCTGTGCCTGGCTTATTTCATTTCAAATAAGGTCTTCCAGGTTCATCCATGTTACTGCAAATGACAAGATTTTGTTCTTTTTTATGGCTGAATAGTATTCCACTGTGTATATATACCATGTTTTCCTCATCCAATGGACAATTAGACTGACGCTATATCTTGGTTATTGTGAATAATGCTGCAATAAAACTGGGAGGGAGGGCAGATATCTCTTCAACATACTGACTTCATATTCTTTTTTTTTTTTTTTGAGATGGAGTCTGGCTCTGTCACCTAGGCTGGAGTGCAGCAACACAATCTCAGCTCACAGTAACCTCCACCTCCTGGATTCAAGCAATTCTCCTGCCTCAGACTCCACGGTAGCTGGGATTACAGGAGTACACCACCACATCTGGCTAATTTTTTATATTTTTGGTAGAGACGGGGTTTCACCATGTTTGCCAGGCTGGTCTCAAACTCCTGGCCTCAAGTGATCCGCCTGCCTCGCCTCCCAAAGTGCTGGGATTACAGGCATGAGCCACTGCACCTGGCCTTGACTTCATATTCTTTGGATATATGTCCAGTAGTGGGACTGCTGGATCATATGGTAGTTCTATTTTTAGAGTTTTTTTTTTGTTTGTTTTTTGAGACAGAGTTTTGCTCTTGTTGCCAGGCTGGGGTGCAATGGCGTGATCGTGGCTCACTGCAACCTCTGCCTCCCAAGTTCAAGCAATTCTCCTGCCTCGGCCTCCCAAGTAGCTGGGATTACAGGCATGTGCCACCACGCCCAGCTAATTTTTGTATTTTTAGTAGAGGCAGAGTTTCATCATGTTGGTCAGGCTAGTCTCGAACTCCCGACCTCAGGTGATCCACCCACCTCGGCCTCCCAAAGTGCTGGGATTACAAGCGTGAGCCACCACGCCTGGCCTATTTTTAGTTTTTTTGGTGTTTTTTTTTTGTGTGTGTGTGTTTTTAGTAGAGATGGGTTTTCACTATGTTGCCAGGCTGCTCTCAAACTCATGACCTCGTGATCCGCCCGCCTCAGCCTCCCAGAGTGCTGGGATTACAGGCGTGAGCCACTGCGCCCGGCCTATTTTCAGTTTTTTAAGGAACCTCCATACTGTTCCTCAAAACAGCTGTACTAATTTACATTCTTACTAACTCTGTGATTCCCTTTTCTCCACACCCTAGCCAACGTTTGTTATCATTTATCTTTTGGTAACGGCCATTCTAACTGGTGTAATATGATATCTCATTGTGGTTTTAAGTGTGTTTCCCTGATCATTAGTGTTAAGCCTTAATGTTAAGCAGTTTTTCATATACCTTTTGGCCAGTCTTCTTTTAAGAAATGTCTATCTGGTCCTTTGCCTTTTGAGACAGCATCTCACTCTGTCCCCCAGGCTAGAATGTAGCAGCGTGATCTCGGCTCACTGCAACCTTCCCTTCCCAGGCTCAAACCATCCTCCCACTCAGCCTCCAAGTAGCTGGGACTACAGGTGTGTGCCACTACACCCGGCTAATTTTATCTATTTTTTTTTTTTTTGAAACAGAATTTTGCTCTTGTTGCCCAGGCTGGAGTGCAATGGTGCAAACTCGGCTCATGGCAACCTCCGCCTCCCGGGTTCAAGCAATTCTCCTGCCTTAGCCTCCCGAGTAGCTGGGATTACAGGCGCCCACCACTGCACCCAGCTAATTTTTTGTATTTTCAGTACAGGTGGGGTTTTGCCATGTTGGCCAGGCTGGTCTCGATCTCCTGACCTCAGGCGATCCACCCACCTCGGCCAACCAAAGTGCTGGGGTTACAGGCGTGAGCCACCGTGCCCGGCCAATTTTATCTATTTTTTGTAGAGACAGGGTTTCACCATGTTGCCCAGGCTGGAATTGCCTGTTTTTTAATTGGGTTGTTTTCTTACTATTGCATTCTTTGAGTTCCTTATATATTTTGATTATTAACCCCTTATCAGATGTATAATTTACAAATATTTTCTCCCATTATGTAGGTTGGCTCTTCATTCTGTTGTTTCCTTTGCTGTGCAGAGGCTTTTCAGTTTTGATGTAATCCTATTTGTTTATTTTTGCTTTTGTTGCCTATAATCAGGATCTTTAAAAAATAGCTCTTTGATATGAACAGCTTAGAGATGTGATCCCAGAATCTGAACTTTTAATTAGTGGAGAAATGATAAAAGTTAACTTCACCAGCAATTTTACCATCAGTTTCTCTTTTGTAATGTGTATTTTAAGGGCCATATTTCATTAATGATCACCTGTCTGTGGTGCTAATCTTCAAAACAGAATTTGTGTCATATTAAAAATGTTAGTAATCTACCATATAACTTATCAAAACATCTCAGAAATTTTATTTTTTTGGAGAGGGTCTCATCCTCACCCTGTCACCCAAGCTAGACAGGCTAGAGTGCAGTGGGGTGATCACAGCTCACTACACCCTTCACTTCCCGGGCTCAAGTGATCCCCTTACTTCAGCCTCCCGAGTAGCTGGGACTACAGGTGCAAGCCACAACACCCAGCTAATTTTTAAATTTTTTTGTAGAGACAAGGTATCACCGTGTTGCCTAGGCTGGTCTCAAACTCCTGGGCTCAAGCGATCTTCCCACCTTGGCCGCCCAAAGTTCTGGGATTATAGGCATGAGCCGCCATGCCTGGCCCAGAAATTTTAAAGATAGAGTTGACCTTATCAGTGATCAGAAGAAAGGATTAAAGACTAAATATCTACTTTGATACAATGAAGTGTTTTATCTTACAGCTTTTGTAAGTACTGATACTTAAAGTGTTTAAAATGTTGTGTATTCATAGGCAAAAATAACGTTTATGCAGTGGACATGATGAATCTGTTGGTCAGAATCCAGATATCTTTCCTCTCCTTGCCAATTTTTTTTAAGATCACTTCTGTGGTATTTCTGCCAAAAAAATACATATCCTGAATCCAATAATGAGGAATCACCAGACAAACCCAAATTGAGGGATCGTACAGTAACTGTCCTATATCCCTCTAAAATGTCATGGACAAAGAAAGACTACAAAACTGTTCCAGATCAAGGGAGACTAAAAACACACGGAAACTAAATCACTAAATGCATCAGGTTATCTTTCATTGGATTCTGGACAAGAAATGGGGAGTTATCATTTTACAAAGGAGATTATTAGGGCTGGGTGCAGTGGCCTGTGCCTATAATCCTAGCCCTTTGGGAGGCTGAGGCAAGAGGATTGCTTGAGGCCAGCAGTTCAAGACCAACCTGGCCAACAAAGCGAGATCCCATCTCTATTAATTAAAAATAATTAAAAAAGGATATTATTAGGACAATTGGAAAAATTTGAATGGGGACTATAAAATAAACGGTATTAATGTTAATTTCCTGATTTGATTGCACACTGTGGTTATGCAGGAAAATGTCCTTGTTTTTGGCAAGTGCAGACTTAAGTTTTTAAGAATAATGGGATATCATGCCTGCAATTTACTCAAGACTAGTTTAGCAAAATAATACATATATGTGCATGCTTATAAAGAGAGAGAATATAATCAGGCAAATATGGTAAAAAATGTAATAATCAGGAAACTTAGTGAAGGATATACAAGAATTTTTTGTACTATTCTTGCATCCTTACATTTAAAATAATTTTTTTTTTTTTTTGAGACAGAGTCTCACTCTGTCTCCCAGGCTGGAGTGCAGTGGCGTGATCTCAGCTCACTGCAAGCTCCGCCTCCCGGGTTCATACCATTCTCCTGCCTCAGCCCACTGAGTAGCTGGGACTACAGGCACCTGCCACCGTGCCCGGCTGATTTTTTATATTTTTAGTAGAGACGGGGTTAGCCAGGATGGTCTTGATCTCCTGACCTCGTGATCCGCCCGCCTCGGCCTCCCAAAGTGTTGGGATTACAGGCGTGAACCACTGCGCCCAGCCTGAAATAATTTCAAAATAAAGTTTAAAAACCAGTGGCCGGGCACGGTGGCTCACGCCTGTAATTCCGCACTTTGGGAGTCCGAGGTGGGCAGATCACTTAAGGCCAGGAGTTCGAGATCAGCCTGGCCAACATGGTGACACCCCACCTCTACTAAAAATACAAAAAAAATTAGCCGGGTGTTGTGGCACATGCCTGTAATCCCAGCTACTTTGGAGGCTGAGGCAGGAGAATCGCTTGAACCTGGGAGGCAGAGGTTGCAGTAAGTCGAGATCATGCCATTGCACTCCAGCCTCAGCAACAAGAGTGAAACTCCATCTCAAAAAAAAAAACAAAAAGTTTAAAAACTAGTGTAATCTTTTTTTTTTTTTTTTTTTTTTTTGAGACAGAGTCTTGCTCTGTTGCCCAGGCTGGAGGGCAGTGGTGCAATCTCGGCTCACTGCAAGCTCCGCCTCCCAGGTTCATGCCATTCTCCCGCCTCAGCCTCCCAAGTAGCTGGGACTACAGGCACCCACCACCAGGCCTGGTTTTTTTGTTTTTTGTGGGTTTTTTTTGTATTTTTAGTAGAGATGGGGTTTCACCATGTTAGCCAGGATGGTCTCGATCTCCTGACCTTGTGATCCGCCCGTCTTGGCCTCCCAAAGTGCTGGGATTACAGGCATGAGCCACTGCACCCGGCCAAAAACTAGTGTACTCTTAAAGCAATTGGCAAGGAGAAGGGCAATCTCTGGATTCTGATCAACAGATTAATCATGACCACTGCCCAAAAGTTATCCCATTTTTGCCTATGAATGCATAACATTTTCAAAACTTGTGCAGATGTATACTGCCACAGGCATAGTAATGTTTGTAGCATTATAATTTCGTAACAGAAATATAATGAAAAATACTATTAATAGGCATTTTTGTAATACTGAAATCCACCAAAATATCCATCATAAGGTTAAATAAAATGTTTACAAATTGGAAAAAAATGAGATTGCTGCTCTGACATTAACTTATAAGATATGAAAGGCTATCCACAGTAAGTGACATAAGCAAATTAAAGCTTGCCTCATTCTGCATGTTTCTACATCCACAGAAGAGTATCTGGAAGAATTTACATTAATCTGTCAAAGCAACCTGTGGTTGTAGGGGAAGTACTTTCAATTTTTACTTTAGAAACTTTTTTCTTTTTTCTGAGACAGTCTTGCTCTGTCGCCCAGGCTGGAGTGCAATGGCCTGATCTTGGCTCACTGCAACCTCCGCCTCCGGGGTTGAAGGTTCTCCTGCCTCAGCCTCCCGAGTGGCTGGGATTACAGACGCGTGCCACCACGCCTGGCTAATTTTTTGTATTTTTAGTAGAAATGGGGTTTCCCAGCCTTGGCCTCCCAAAGTGCTGGGATTACAGGCATAAGCCACCACGTTCGGCTCTTTATATATTTCTGTATCATCTGATGCTTTTTGTTTTTTTGAGACAGACCTCACTTTGTCACCCAGCCTGGAGTGCAGGTGTGCGATCTTGGCTCACTGCAGCCTCCACCTCCTGGGTTCAAGTGATTCTCCTGCCTCAGCCTCCCGAGTAGCTGGGATTACAAGCGCATGCCACCACACCTGGCTAATTTTTTTATTTTTAGTAGAGACAGGGTTTCACCATGTTGGCCAGGCTGGTCTCGAACTCCTAACCTCCAGTGATCTCCCTGTCTTGACCTTCCAAAGTGCTGAGATTACAGGCATGAGCCACTGCACCTGGCCTGTTTGATGCGTTTTAAAAAAAAAAACATAAAGGATCCAGAATTATCTGGATCAAAAAATAAAAGGAAAAAAAGTATCTCACTGCATATAGCAATAAATTGGCCCACAAAAAGATATTGCTATAAAACCCTACTTCTGGCCGCGTGCGGTGGCTCACACCTGTAATCCCAGCACTCTGGGGGGCCGAGGCAGGCAGATCACAAGGTCAGGAGATCGAGACCATCCTGGCTAATACAGTGAAACCCCATCTCTACTAAAAATACAAAAATTAGCCAGGTGTGGGGGCGCGTGCCTGTGGTCCCAGCTACTCAGAAGGCTGAGGGAACAGAATTGCTTGAACCCAGGAGGCAGAGGTTGCAGTGAGCCGAGATCGTGCCACCGCAATCCAGCCTGGACAGTAGAGACTCCCCCTAAAAAAATAAAATAAATAAATAAATAAATAAATAAATAAACCCTACTTCTTAAAAGAAAAGAAAAACCTATGTTATTACCTTGATTTCTCATTGGAATGGTTAGTAGAGCAAGGTATGGCAATAGCTGAGTTTGGAGGCATAAAGCTGGTAGGCAGAAGTCAGGAAAAAGTGCTTTTGCTGCCAGGCAATTTTCCCGATACTGTATAGAAAAGAAAAAAAAAAGATGAAAGGAAAAATGAAATTAAAAATATGTATTCCTAGACAAACTAAGTTTATTATATAAACTTACACAATAAGTTTATATTAACTTGTGGGTTTATATATCACAAATATACTTTTAATAGCTTATTTAAGTAGTCCTTTATAGTTTTTTTAGCATCGTTTAATAAAGTATTTTACCTACACAACTATTCCACATTTAATAAACAACAATTTTTAAAAGACATTGAATGTATAAGAAAACCAAATTTAAAACTCAAAGGAATTGTTTATGAGCACACACACATCATAAATTACACGAAAATAGTTTTCAATGAAATAATTTGTTTTCTTTAGTCAACACGTTATGCTGAGCAAGAGAAAAGCACAATCCCTGCCTTCAAGAAGCTAACAGTCTTAGATAATTTATATGCAGCAACAATGCAAAATTAATATATATGCTATAAAAGACAAAGCAAGTCAATGAGATATAAATTGCTTAAAAGTCATTAAATTCTCCAAGAAATCTGTTGGAAAAAATGTCCTAGGTAATAAATTATAGGGTAATTTTCAGCTGTATGATTTTAGAACTGGAAGACATCTCAGAGACGACCCAGTCCAGGGGTCACGAATTCAGATATTACAGAAGTCAAGCAGGCAATATAAGTGAATGAACCAGCTGGGGACAGTGGTGCCTACTACTCTCATCTCAAAGGGGCAGATGCTACATGGCGAGGTGATTGTTGCTACGCAGAAATATGAGCCAGTGTTATACTTCACTTTCATTTTTTTGAGAGATGGGGGTCTCACTCTGTTGCCCAGGCTGGAGTGCAGTGGCACAATCATTGTTCACTGCAAACTCTGCCTCCCAGGCTTATGCAATCCTCCCAATTCAGCCTCCCAAGTAGCTGGGACTAGGTAGGAAAAACAAAAAAAATTTTTCCTTTTTCCTGTAGATATGGGATCTCACTATATTGCTGGTCTCAAATTCCTGGTGTTTGCCACCACACCCAGCTAATTTTTTTATTATTTTTTTTTTTATACAGATGGGGTTTCACCATATTGCCCAGGCAGGTCTCAAACTCCTGGGCTCTAGTGATCCTTCCACCTCAGCTTTCCAAAGTGCTCGGATTACAGGTGTGAGCCACTGCACCTGGCCTCTTTTTTTTTTTTTTTTTTTTTTTTTAACCAGGAGATTCCAGAAATTCTGAAGCTAGAAATTCATATCTAACTTTTTTTTTTTCTTTCTGAGACAGAGTCTTTTTCTGTCGCCTAGGCTGGAGTGCAGTGGCATGATCTCGGCTCACTGCAACTTCTGCCTCCCGGGTTCACGCGATTCTCCTGCTTCGGCCTCCTGAGTAGCTGGGATTACAGGAGCGCACCACCACACCTGGCAAACTTTTGTATTTTTAGTAGCGATGGGGTTTCACCATGTTAGTCAGGCTGGTCTCGAACTCCTGACCTTGTGTTCTGCCCGCCTCAGCCTCCCAAAAGTGCTGGGATTACAGGTGTGAGTCACAGCGCCCAGCCGAAATTCATATCTGACTTTTAATCATTAGTCTGATTTTTAAAGATTGGCAATTCATTTTGAAAACTGTTGTGTATTTTGTTTTCAACTTGTGTGCCTCCCATTTTTTACCTCTAAATAATTCAATCATCTACATTTTTAGCTGTGGAGAGTAAGAACACATTAGGTGAATACCTTGTCCATATAGAGGCAAGGCCAAGATTTCTTCTCCTTTCTTTGATTAATTTAAATTGACAAATAAGCTCTGTATGTATTTATAGGTATACAACATGATGTTCTGAAATATGTATATATGGTAGAATGGCTAAATTGAGCCAATTAACATATGCATTACCTTACATACATATATTTTTTGTGTGTGGTGAGAACACTTAAAATCTACCGTTTTAGTGATTTTCTTTTTTTTTTTTTTAGATGGAGTCTCGCTCTGTCTCTCAGGCTGGAGTGCAGTGGCACCATGTCAGCTCACTGCAAGCTCCGCCTCCTGGGTTCACGCCATTCTCCTGCCTCAGCCTCCAGAGTAGTTGGGACTACAGGCGCACGCCGCCACACCCGGCTAAGTTTTTTTATTTTTAGTACAGACAGGGTTTCATCGTGTTAGCCAGGATGGTCTCCATCTCCTGACCTCGTGATCTGCCCGCCTCAGCCTCCCAAAGTGCTGGGATTACAGGCGTGAGCCACCATGCCCGGCCATGATTTTCAAATACATGACACATTGTTGTTAATAGTCACCATGTTATACAACATATCTCTTGAACTTAAAACTTATTCCTCCTGGCCAGCGAGGCTCCGTCTCAAAAACCAAAAACAAAAAAAACTTATTCCTCCTGCCTAACTGAAATTTTATATACTAGGGATTTCTATTTTCCAATCAGCATTCTCAGGTTGAACTAGGGTTTATTTATTTACAATTTTTTTCTTTTTCTTGTAGATATGGGATCTCACTATGTTGACCAGGCTGGTCTCAAACTCCTGGGCTCAAGTGATCCTCTTGTTTTGGCCTTCCACAGTGCTGGGATTACAGGTGTGAGCCACCATGCCTGGCCCTAAAGTTTGTTTTTAATTGAAACTGAAATATAACTATGCAGCTGGGCACAGTGGCTCATGCCTGTAATCCCAGCACTTTGAGAGGCCAAGGCGGGCAGATCACTTAAGGTCAGGAGTTCAAGAACAGCCTGGCCAACATGGCAAAACCCCATCTCTACTAAAAATACAAAAATTAGCTGGGCATGGAGGTAGATGCCTGTAATCCCAGCTACTCAGGAGGCTGAGGTGGGAGAATTGCTTGAACCTAGGAGGAAGAGGTTGCAGTGAGCAGAGATGGCACCACTGCACTCCAGCCTAGGCAAGAGAACGACTCTGTCTGAATAAAAATAAAAAATAAAAAATAAAATATGGCCGAGCATGGTGTCTCACATTTGTAATCCCAGCACTTTGAGAGGCCAAGGCAAGAGGATCATGAGGTCCAAAGATCGAGACCAACCTGGCCAACATGGTGAAACCCTGTCTCTACTAAAAATACAAAAAATTAGCCAGGCGTGGTGGCTGGCGCCTGTAATCCCAGCTACCTGGGAGGCTGAGGCAGGAGAACTGCTTGAACCCGGGAGGCGGAGGTTGCAGTGAGCCGAGATCATGCCATTGCATTCCAGCCTGGGCAAAAAGAGCGAAACTCCGTCTCAAAAAATAAAAAAATAAAAAATAAAATAAAATGTAACTACGCTTTGATTCCAATAAAACTGAACTAATATTTTCAAATTGTGATGGTCTTTTTTCCCTTAAAAAATTGTACAAGCATTTAAGAGTCACCTTTTTATGTTTTATAAAAACTCAGAATCTAATTGTGGACCTTAGCAACTATTTTATTAAAAATGAAATATTTTTTCCTTTGTTATGTTTTAAAGAAAATAACTGCTTTGAGTTATAATTCACGTACCATAAAGTTCACATATTGAAAGTACAGAATTTTTTTTTTTTTTTTTTTTACCTTTTTATTTATTAGAAACCACTGAGGTTTGTGCAAGGGTCGAAAACTTGATCCTCCTCCTTGGCAATGAGCATATCCTCGGGCTTTGTTGGAATGCATCACACCTCTCGTAGCTATAGATGTGCTATATTCCCTGAGTAAAGAGCGTGTCTAACAAATGAGACAAGATGTGAAAGAAAATAGATTTATAAAAGAGCATTACTGGTATTCCTGATATATACAAAAATACTAACCGTATTTAGTTTCTATGTGTTCACTTTCTTCAACATCACTACAGCCCTATAAATAACAGCACTATAAACTTATCTAAAGCAAATTCCACTGGGACATAGCCATCAAATTAAATGTGTAAACCCTGACTGGATCTTGGACAGGGGTGGAGGAAACAACTTTGAATACATTTTTGAGGCAAATGAGGAAATCTGAATAGGGACAATATATTGCTAGATTAGTGTCAAGTTTCTCTGGAAAGTTAACTTAATTATATAACTAATTAGTTAATGTAACTAATTAGTTAATATAACTAAAATATAATTGAAACTAAAATATGACTATGCAGCTGGGCGCAGTGGCTCACGCCTGTAATCCCAGCACTTTGAGAGGCCAGTTATATCAACTAGTTATATTTTAGTTTCAATGGGGTATGATAATGCTATGGTAGTTGTAATAGAACAATGTCCTTATGCTGCTTAAGTGTCACGATGTTCGCAATTACTAATACTTTCCAATTATTCAGCCAGAAACAAATACGTAAATATATAGAGAGATTAAGAAAAAGTGGCAAAATATGCAAACTGCTAAACAAAAGTTAAGGATATGCAGCTATTCATTGTACTATCATTTTTTTTTAATTTTTAATTTGTGTGGGTACTTAGTAGCTGTATATATTTATGAGGTACAGGGGTCATTTTGATACCAGCATACAATGTGTAATAATTACCTCAAGTTAAATGGGGTATCCATTACCTCAAGCATTTATCCTTGGTGTCACAAACAAGTCAATTATACTCTTTTCGTTATTTTGTATTATTATTTAAAATAGGGTCTCAGTCTGTTGCCCAGCCTGGAATGTGGTGGCACGATCACAGCTCACTACCACCTCAAACTCCTGGGCTCAAGTGATTCTCCCACCACAGCCTCCCAAGTAGCTACGACTACAGGTGCATGCCACCATACCCAGCTAATTTTTAAAATCTCTTCTAGAGATGGGGTCTCGCTGTGTTTCCCAGGCTGTTCTCAAACTTCTGGCCTCAAGTGATCTTCCTGCCTTGGACTCCCAAAGTGCAGAATTACTGGCAGGAACCACCACTCCTGGCTCATTGTACTATCCTTTTAATTTATTTATAGGATGGAAAATTTCAAAATAAGAAAGAAACAATTATTTTAAAAGTTAAGCAAATTCAACTGCTGAGTAATGAAGCTCTATAACATAAATGGTTTTTCTGTGTCTTTCCTAATTTTACTTATTACTGCTATTTCAATTTTTTAATTTTTTGAGACAAGGTCCAGCTCTATTGCCCAGGCTGGAGTGCAGTGGTGTGATCTCAGCTCACTGCAACCTCTGCCTCCCAGGCTCAAGCCATCCTCCCACCTCAGCCTCCTGAGTAGCTGGGACCACTACACCCAAACAATTTTCTTGGTATTTTTTTGTAGAGATGGGGTTTCATCACATTGCCCCAGCTGGTCTCATACTCATGAGCTCAAGTGATCCACCTGCCTCGGCCTCCTTAAGTGCTGGGTTTACAGGTGTGACCCACTGAGCCCGGCCTTATTTTAATATTTATAGCACACAGAAATATTAACGTATCAAAATAGTGTCGTCCAACAGAACGCCCTGCAATGATGGAAA
Organism: Homo sapiens; assembly: GCF_000001405.40. Taxonomy (NCBI): domain Eukaryota; kingdom Metazoa; phylum Chordata; class Mammalia; order Primates; family Hominidae; genus Homo; species Homo sapiens. The sequence continues at coordinate 61,423 of NW_025791777.1, read as the reverse complement.
TGTTTTGTATCTGGGCTGTTCAATAAAGTAGCCATCAGCCACATGCAGTTATCAAGTACTGGAGATGTGGCTAGTATGACTGAGGAACTGAATTTTTAATTAAATTTAAATGTAAATAGCTACATGTGGTTGGTGGCTGTTGTACTGGTAAGGGCAGTGTTAAGATGTTAAGAACAAAATACAAATTTTATGGTAAATAGTTTCAAATATGTAAAAGAAATAAATTTTAAAAACTAGCAGAAAGTGTAGCAACATGTACAGTTCTTTCTCTTGTATCTACTTCTTAATGGTTGTCATATTTTGAGTATGTATTAATTTTAAAATCAGAAAATAAGCTGGGGCTGGGCATGGTGGCTCACTCCTGTAATCCCAGCACTTTTGAGAGGCCAGGGCAGGCAGATCGCTTGAGCTCAGGAGTTGGAGACCAGCATGGGTAACATGGTGAACCCTGTCTCTAAAACAAAGAAAAAAAAATTAGCTAAGGATAGTGGTGCTTGCCTGTAGTCCCAGCTACTAGATGGGGAGTGCCTGAGGTTGGAGGATCGCTTGAGCCCAGAAGGTCAAGGTTGCAGTGAACCATGTTTGTACCACTGGACTCCAGCGTGGGCAAAAAAGTAAGACGCTGTCTCGAAAAAAAAAAAAAAATAAGCTGGGCATGGTGGTGTGTGCCTGTATTTCTAGCTACTTCGAAGGCAGAGAGGACAGGATTCCCTAAACCCAGTAGTTCAAGACCAGACTGGGTAACATAGCTGTAGATAGAGCCTCTTCTCAAAAAAAAAAAAAAAAAAAAAACCACCATAACACAAAACACAAAATCAGAAAATTTAGAGACAGGAGTGTGGTGGCTCACGCTTGTAATCCCAGCACTTTCGGAGGCTCAGGTGAGAGGACTGTCTGAGCCCAGGAGTTTGAGACCAGCCTGAGCAACACAGTAAGACCCTGTCTCTACACACACACACAGAAAAAAAAGAAAAAAAGAAAATAACTTTAGAAACAATTGGTGCTATATTATCAGCAGAAAAATCAGATTTGCTACTGAAGCTTCATTATAAACACTGAGTTGGTTACATTAACTTTAGCATAGTTATGAAGAAAAGTCACATAAAATAATGTCAGGCAATTAGGGATAAAAGTAAACTTTCTTTTCTTAATTCTAAGGAAATACTATAAACATAAACATTTTAAGTCAAATGGTCTTACATTCCAGTCACCACTGAGGATATCTGCAAAACTCAGAAATTCACTGGCTCTCACAATATCATCAATTTCCATGAAGAAATCTATGTAGTTTTGGTGAAGATATAAATTAAATAAGTCTCCAGGCATGTGTGACATTTCTACTACCTCCTATAAAAAGAAGCATATATACATAAATTTGGTAAAAATGCAATGGTCAAATATATATGCACACGAATAATATATCCTTTGTAACCTATACTAAGTGTCATCAAAGAACTTACCTCAGGTTCAACAAGTAATGTATCCCGTTCATATTCTGATAAATGAGAGGGCAACCGAGGTGAGTCTAATTCTGTTAAAGATGCTCCTATAAAAAATTTCTGGAATTATTAAAGATAATACCTTCTTTATAATTATATAGCACCTCTCATTTGAAGAGTTTGAAAATTTTAGACATACAATACCAACATAGTAACAAACTGTTAAAAAATAATAAATAAATAAAAAACAACTGGAAGCAAGCACCTATTTTTTCCACATTAGCAAGAACTAAATTAACAATTCTGATGCTTAGATTATGGCTTCTCTAGACTTAAAATATTCCATTTCCTAATGCACTCCCATTTCACCTTTTTCAGCTTTGGGTTGCTTTCTTCCCTTGATTTCTCATCTCAATACAGTGGTCTTTACTCTTTTATTTACTATGTAGGAAGATGTTGCTCTCTACATGAAAGAATACGAATTCCATTCACTAATGCAAGAGACGATAAACGTATGTTGGGGAGGAAAAGAAAGGAGAGAAAGAAAAGAATCAGGTGGGAATAGTCACTCAGGTTCAAAGTAAGAGGATCCAGTGACAGAGGAGTGTCCTCACTGCCACCTAAGTGATGCCCATTTTCCTCAGATGGTATGAAGGTTTCCATTTAGAAATCCTAATTTCTTTCCTTTAGGGTCATCAGACTGAAAACAGGCATTTGCTATCAAAAGGAGGGATTATTTGGGACACTAAAATGGGCAATAGGGAGTGAAAGAACTGAGGGGGAGCAGTCATCAAAAAAGACAGAAAAGGCGATAAACATCTCTGGTTGGGGAGACAGAACGCTTGTAAATTAGAGAAATACAAGACGATTGAAAGAAACCTTAAACTACCTGGTAATTTGTATAAGGCTCTGTTGGCTGGAGCCCAGTGTTAAGAGGGCTTTAGGCTACCAACACTTGCCACTACAAGTCTAGATGATCTGCTCTCTTACCTTCAGCAAACTATAATTTTAAAGATTTACACACATGGATATGGCCTGCAATTGCATGTTTTTACTTTTAATCCTGCTTACGGTCAGAAAATATTCTGATTTCCTACTATGTCTTAGGCCTAGGCAAACAGTATCTGACCTAGCTCTAACTCTTAGAGCAGAACCAAAATACATGACATTTTTTTAAAAGTGACATTTTATTTCCATTTTAAGACTATGTGATATCCAACAGATTTTAAAAGTGTAAAAATTTCTTACTTTTACAATATAGAATTTTCCCCAAAGCTCTGAAGAGAAACAGAGAAACATCTTTGCCACCAATAGCTTGGACCTCTTGATTTTCAAAAACCCTATCAGGTTTTTTTCTTCGTTTTGATTTTGACAGCACAGCATCTGATTTTAAAGACATTCCTTTTTTCCTTGGCCGTAAGTTGTTTTCTCCTGAATAATATACATCCAAGTGACAATATTTAAATTAAAATATGAAAATTAAAACTAAGAACACTTCAGATATAGTTACACTAAATATTCTAATTACAATTTGTTTTCCTAATAAACAAAAATTATAAATGACATTAACTGAGTTGGAATCCTCTTTGGGTTACTAACATTAAAATGGAATAAAGTATTATCTGAAAGTTATTTCATAATGCAGATTTCAAACTTTCACATGCACAATAGCACAATCTCTAATATAGGCTGACATTCCTGATCCAAAAAATTCAAACTCCAAAATACTCCAAAATATGAAACTTGCAGTGCCAACATGATGCTCAAAGGAAATGCTCATTGGAGCACTTTGTATTTCAGATTTTCAGACAAGGGATTTTCAATTCGTATAATGCAAATATTCCAAAATCTTAAAAAAATCTGCAATCCTTCTATTCCCAAAAATTGCAAATAAAGGATATTCAACCTGTACAGTCACATCGCCTTGGTTTCTCATCGTGTTATGTGCAAGATACTGTTCTTGGCATGTAATACATAGGAATTTAATCTTCATAACAACCCTGTGAAGGGAGAATTTTTTTTTTTTTTTTTGAGATGGAGTCTCGCTCTGTTGCCCAGGCTGGAGTGCAGTGGTGTGATCTCGGCTCACCACAACCTCTGCCTCCTGGGTTCAAGCGATTCTCCTGCCTCAGCCTCCCGAGCAGCTAGAATTACAGGTGTATGCCCGGCTAAATTTTTGTATTTTTAGCAGAGATGAGGTTTCACCATGTTGGCCAGGCTGGTCACAACCTCCCAACCACACAAATTGGCCTCCCCAAGTGCTGGGATTACAGGCATGAGCCACCATGCCCGGCCTTTTTTTTTTTTGACACAGGGTCTGGCTCTATCACCCAGGCTGGAGTACAGTGGCACAATCATAGCTCACTGAAGCCTCAACCTCCAGGCTCAAGTGATCCTCCCACCTCAGCCTCTCAAGTAGCCGGGACTACATGCACCACCATGCTGGCTATATATATATATTTTTAATTAGAGACGAGGCCTCGCTATGTTGCCCAGGCTGGTATCAGACTCTTGAGGTTGAAGCTTTCTTCCACCTCAGTCTCCTATAGTGTTGGGATAACAGGCGAGAGCCACTGCACCTGACCAATTATTATTAGACAGTTAATGAAATGAGATACAAAGAGGTAAAGTCATTGGCTCAAGGTCATCAGTGAGTGAATGACTGGAATCCAGGCAGCCTGGTTCTGCAATCTATGTTTAACAACCTCTCTATTGATGTTGAGAGTATCCAATTTATGAATATGCATGTGATCACATTTCTTGGGTTTTTATTTTTTTTCCTTAATTTTTTTGTAGAGACAAGGTCTTGCTATGTTGCCCAGGCTGGTTTCAAACTCCTAGGCTCAAGTGATCCACCCACCTTGGCTTCAGGCATGAGTCACCATGCCTGACCCAAGTTTCATTTTTAAGTCTAATATTTAGAACTCAAGAGTGCATGGCTTAAAAGCTACCTTGAACAGCAGAAAGAGCACAGGATCTGGATTTGAATCAAAATACTGTCTATCTCATCAGGTTGATATGAGAATTAAATGAAAAAAACATAATTGCTAACACAGTTCCTGGCCCACTCTTTGATGTCAATTATCAACGTTAAGCATTAAGTAGTCTGCTAAATGCCTTCTGAAGGAGGACTATGCAGTAAACGATGACCATTACAGTAAAAATGTAACTCACTGCCATTAGTGAAACTATCTTTTTACTACATCTTTCTACATATTAACAGGAAATTTATTAAACATATCTCATAAATTTATACTTTTTAACATTAACAGGAAATAAATTTATTAAACATATCTCATAAATTATTATAAAAATAATTTCAGGCCAGATGAGGTGGCTCACACCTATAATCCCAGCACTTTGGGAGGCCGAGGCGGGCGGATCACGAGGTCAGGAGATCGCAACCATCCTGGCTAAGACAGTGAAACCCCATCTCTATTAAAAATACAATTAGCTGGGCGTGGTGGCAGCTGCCTGTAGTCCCAGCTACTCAGAAGGCTGAGGCAGGAGAATGCTGTGAACCTGGGAGGCGGAGCTTGCAGTGAGCCAAGATCATGCCACTGCACTCCAGCCCGGGCGGCAGAGCGAGACTCCGTCTCAAAATAAATAATAATAATTCCAAAAGTAAACCTACCTCGGCACAGTATTATTAAACTGATTAATGGCTGGCCATTTATGAACACTTAATATGAATCAAGTACTGTAAGAAGCACTCTATAATAGTGTCACCTCACATATTCTTCATAGAACCCTAAGAGGTAAGTGCTCACATAAAAGGTGAGAAAACAGAGGCACAGAAAGATAAGAGTCACCTGCATAGGCCTATATAACTGGTAAGTGGCAGAGGCAGAATTTTTATCCAGGAAATCTGGTTCTAAGTTAACTTTGAAAGGTAAACTATCTCAAACAGAAACAAGGATATATACTACGACATATTCATAGAAGGGTATGTATGCATGTGTATATATTTAATTTTAAGCCACTGTCTCAGTAATAAAGAAGGATAAATAGGTATAGACCAAATGTAAGTTAAAATGTTTGATTTCATTGAATGAATTAAGAGAAAGTCAGTCACCTATATAATGCCACATGACTGTATCTTCCATAGTTACCTTTTGAAGAAGAAAACTGGAGGCTGTTTATTGCACTTCTGATATCACCAGAACATCCCTGACAGAGCAACTCTAGAGAAGTTTTGTCAGGGACAGTAATTTTTCCTCCATTCTAAAATAAGAAAATTAAATTTAAAAAAAAGTATTTTCTTAAAAATAACAACAACAAAAAACCCCAACCTATTTTCTAAACTTAATTAACGTAAATTAGATTCTTTTAAACTTAAATACTAAAAAGGGCTGGGCACGGTGGCACATTCCTATAATCTCAGCAATTTGGGAGACTGAGGCAGGAGGATCACTTGAGCTCAGGAGTCTGAGACCAGCCTAGGCAAGGTAGTAAGACCTTATCTCTACAAAAAATCAAAACAATTAGCTGGGCATGGTGGCATGCGCCTGTAGTCCCTGCTACTTGGGAGGCTGAAATGGGAGGATCACTTGAGACCTGGAGATGAAGGCTGCAGTGAGCTATGATCTTGCCACTGCACTCCAGCCTGGGCAATAGAGCCAGAAAAAAAAAATTATCTTAAAATAATAATAAAAAACTAAAAAGCCTTCATGCTAAACACTGGTCTATGAATGATACAAGCTTCAATGACTTATTACAGTTTAAGGTATACTTTCAGGAAATATTAAATACTGTATTATTTTACTTTTTCACTTTGACCAGGTTGTATTTTGAAGTTTTTACTCTTTCTCACTACATACACACAGATATATAACAACATATATGTGTACACACAAAAAAACCCTCAAAATGCAACAGACTGTGATAAAATTAAATATACACAAAATAATCTAACTAATTTATGAAATTTACATGAAAATTCCTTTACTGGGGTTATACATTATACAGTCTGGTGAGGATGAAAAAGCCATAATTACACCAATTATTTCTTCTTCTTCTTTTTTAAACCAGAGCCACTTGAACTAATCAATTCACTAAAAAAAAAAATTTTTGTTTTGACACAAGGTCTTACTATATCACACCTGGGCTGGTCTTGAGCTCCCAGGCTCAACAAATCCTCCCACCACTGTCAGCCTTTGTAGCTGGGACTACAGGCATGCACCATGGCTCAATTTGCAGTTCTCATGCTTATAGTAGAGAATGTAGATGTTTTTTTAGAGACAGGGTCTAGCTCTGTCCATGACAGACTACAGTCATTTCATCTAGATCACTGCAGCCTCAAACTCCTAGGCTCCAGCGATCATCCTGTCTCAGGCTTCTGAGTAGCTGGGAATACAGGAGCACACCACCATGCCCAGGTAATTTTTTTTCTTTTTTTTGGGATACAGAGTTTTGCTCTTGCTGCCCAGGCTGGAGTGAAGTAGCGCAATCTCGGCTCACTGCAACCTCCACCCCCTGGGTTCAAGCTATTCTCCTGCCTCAGCTTCCTGAGTAGCTGGGATTATAGGTACCCGCCACCACATCCGGCTAATTTTTGTATTTTTATTAGAGATGGGGTTTCACCTGTTGGCCAGGCTGGTCATGAACTCCTGACCTCAGGTGATACACCCACCTCGGCCTCCCAAAGTGTTAAGATTACAGGCGTGAGCCACCGCACCTGACCCATTAAATATTTTCAAAACACTAATAGCATAATAATTCATCACAGTAATTGCTTCCTGTATTATTGGACTCAGTTTGTTTCTCATTTTTCACTATTAATATCTGTTATTTATTCAGTTAGGTGCTCTACACTAACGTATTTAATCCTCAAAACAACCTCTCCCTTGGATATTTCCCTCAGTTCCTGTGGTCCTAGCAGTGCAACAAAAATTATGTTTCATGCAAGATTTGGTTGATTTATACCAATAGGATTCCCTAAAACCATGACGCTGGGAGCAGAAGGTCCATCAATTTTTTTTTAACATCATCTTGATTTGAAATACAGAAAAAATGACGTACTAAAAGTGAAAAGAAGCCGGGCACAGAGGCTCATGCCTGAAATCTCAGCACTTTCAGAGGCCGAGGAGGGAGGATCACTTGAGCCAGGAATTCGAGACCAGCCTGGGCAACACAGAGAGACCCTGTCTCTAAAAAAAATTAAAAAATTAGCCAGGCGTGGTGGTACCAGCCTGTAGTCCCAGCTGCTTGGGAGGCTGAGGTGGGAGGAACACTTGAGCCCAAGAGGTCGAGGCTGCAGTGAGCCATGATTATGCCACTGCAGTCCAGCCTGAGCAACAGAGTGAGACCCTGTCTCCAAAAAAAAAAAAAAAGTGACAACAGCTGTATATGAATGTAAATAGACTTTACAATACTGAAGTGTATCTTTGAAAATGGTTAAGATGATAAATTTTATGATACATGTTTTTCACCATAATTAAAAAAAATGTGAAAATAAAAAAGTGACAACAGGACAATAGGAAGAGTTGAATTGTTGATAACTACCATACCTACATGCCAGAAAACATTTTCTTGATGACAGACACAATTTAGAACAGTAAACCAAGCAAAGGAAAAATTTACCTCAATGTGAAAGTGAAAGTTTAATAGTAGAAAAATGTTAAAGATTTTTAAAATCAGTATTTCCTACATTTGCTAAAATGACATGCCTTATGAGTATAATAAAATGTTTTAATTCTAAAAAATTAAAATAACACTCCTTCAGTTTACATAATACTATTTAAGCTAGGCTTTCTATAGTTATCGAGTAAGGTTTAATTAATCAGAGACTTACCTTGTTAGCTTCTATAGTCACTATTCGATTAAGAAATTTCATCATAATTGTTGGTGCCACAGGGTTGAAACTAAGTTTTATAAAGAAAGATAGCAGTTAAATGATTAATTTAAAAATATAATATGTATGTGACCTTTATAAGCAGAAATTTCTTTCTTACCTAATATTTGAGATAGAACACTCTTCCTGAATTTCTTTGGGAAACAATAACCTTTGATTATTATCTCCACTGAGACTGTCCGAGATTATAAATATAAGAGGACATCGACCAATCCTCACATACTTCCTAAAATAACAAAATACAGCAATGTTGAAATTTAAGCCACTTCTCATTTAATTTGGAGTTTTAGAATACTTCACTGAAACCTACCTTAGAACTTCATGTAAAGTATGAGAATCCCGATAAAACTGGTTAGGTAAATCCTATTGAAAATAAAAAATAAATAATAGTATAGTTTTATTCCATTGCAAATTTATTTTTCAAATTTATATTTATTGAGGTAGGCAAAAATATATTTATTCAATGTATTTTAAACAGAACTTTCACAGGAAACATGAAATAGATGATATCCGAAACAGTAATATACATCAATGGGGATCCCAATTTTTAGATCAAATTTCTTTGGGTTGCTTTCCAGTTACAGTATTTTCACAAGGAAGTAATTTTCCAAACTTTTCTTTTGTTTTTCTATACTTAAACCATTAAAATTTATAACATTCCTTATCCTACAGCTATTCCATTCAAGTTTACTAGAAGAGACTTTAGGTTTCTACTATTACAAAGCCTTTGTGTTGTATTTTACCAATATCACTACTATAGAGACAAGTTAACATTATCATGTAAGATATATCTCACAATTGTTTAGTCAATAGCTACAGCAAAATTTTAAAAGTTGGCTGGGTGTGGTGGCTCACATGTGTAATCCCAGCACTCGGGAGGCCAAGGCGGGAGGATTACCTTGAGGTCAGGAGTTTGAGACCAGCCTGGCCAACGTGGCAAAACTCCATCTCTACTAAATATACAAAAATTAGGCCGGCATGGTGGCAGGTTCCTGTAATCCCCACTACTCGGGGGAGGCTGAGGCATGAGAATTGTTTCAACCCAGGAGGCGGAGGTGGCAGTGAGCCAAGACTGCACCACTGCACTCCAGCCTAGGGGTTAAAGAGAGACTCTGTCTCAAAAAAAAAAAAAAAAAAAAAGATTTTAGGCCAGGCATGGTGGCTCACGCCTGTAATCCCAGCACTTTGGGAGGCCACGGTGGGCATATCATGAGGTCAGGAGATCGAGACCATCCTGGCTAACACAGTGAAACCCCGTCTCTACTAAAAAATACAAAAAATTAGCCGGGCGTGGTGGCGGGCGCCTGTAGTCCCAGCTACTCCGGAGGCTGAGGCAGGAGAATGGCGTGAACCTGGGAGGCAGAGCTTGCAATGAGCTGAGATCGCGCCACTGCACTCCAGCCTGGGTGACAGTGACACAGCAAGACTCCATTTCAAAAAAAAAAAAAAAAAGATTTTAAAAGTTGTCCTTACTTCAACCAGAATTATCTTCTTATCAGTTCTCAGATCATCTCCAAGCATTTGTAACTTGTTATACTTTGTCGCTCTTAGTAGAAACTCTTTGAAAACTGCTATCTGAGACTGATAGGGAAACATATGGAAGCTTGATTCTGAAAGGAAACACATAACCACTTTTATTTTCAACAAATGATATACATTAATATTATACATCTGTATGTACACACACACATACTTGATGCATCTCACAATACTGTAGACTATTTCCCAATTAGGAAAAATCATTTAAATTTAAAATAGGATATTCCTTTCAAAGGACAAGAGTCAACATGTAGCCAGGCACAGTGGCTCACGCCTGTAATCCCAGCACTTTGGGAGGCCGAGGCAGGTGGATCGCTTGACCTCAGGAATTCAAGAGCAACCTGGGCAACATGGTGAAACCCGGTCTCTACAAAAAAATACACAAATTAGCCAGGTGTGGAAGCTTGTGCCTGTAGTTCTGGCTACTTGCAGGGCTGAGGCAGAGGGTGGGGGTAATAGCTTGAGCCCAGGAGGTGGAGGTTGCAGTGAGCCAAGATTGTGTCACTGCACTCCAGCCTGGGTGACAGAGTGAGACCCTGTGTAATATGGAGTTAACTGACCTAAGAACACAGCTGTCGGTATAACATTCATATAATTGGTAAAAATATCTATGACTGTGGCCTACCCAATGAAGAATCTCTAAATGAGTTCAAGCCTATAAATGAATTACCTTCAGTGATAAGGGTTTGGTTTGTTTGTTTTGAGACGGAATCTTGCTCTGTCGCCCAGGCTGGAGTGCAGTGGCGCAATCTTGGCTCACTGCAACCTCCACCTCCCAGGTTCAAGCAATTCTCCTGCCTCAGCCTCCTGAGTAGCTGGGATTACAGGAACACACCACCACGCCTGGCTAATTATTGAATTTTTAGTAGAGACGGGGTTTCTCCATGTTGGTCAGGCTGGAGTGATAAAGGTTTAACAACAAAAACAGAATAACTGATTAGTGAACTTGAGAATGAGGGAAGCTCTCTGAAGGCATGTTTCATATTGAAGACTGTTTAAGTTAAAGCTTATCAGACTGTCAAAAGTAATGCTACTATTTAGAAAGCAGTAAAAGCCAGATGCAGGAACACACGTCTGTAGTCCCAGCTACCCCAGAGGTTGGGTCGTGAGAATCCCTTAAATGCTTAAGAAGTTCATTCTAGACAATATAGTGAGACTTTCTCTCTTAAAAAAATGATAATAATAATGGGCCGGGCGTGGTGGCTCACGCCTGTAATCCCAGCACTTTTGGAGGCCGAGGTGGTTGGATCACCTGAGGTCAGGGGTTCGAAAACAACCTGACCAACGTGGTGAAACCCCATCTCTACTAAAAAATACAAAAATAAGCCGGGCATGGTGGTGGACGCCTGTAATCCCAGCTACTTGGGAGGCTGAGTCAGGAGAATTGCTTGAACCCAGGAGGCGGAGCTTGCAGTGAGACAAACCACTGCACTCCAGCCTGGGTGACAGAGCAAGACTCCATCTCAAAAAAAAAATAATAATAATAGTAATAATAATAATAAAGAAAAGAAAACAGTAAAAGCCCCAGCAGGATGGGATACTAGTAGCACAAGGGAGTACATTAAAGAAGAGTCCAGAGAAGGGATTTTGAGGAACACTCCACATTAAAATTATCCTTCTACAGAACCCTTTTCCCTTCAAAATGGCCTAGGAGATTTGGCTATCCCTAGTTTCACCACCTGGAGTTGCAATATGAAAAACTATGAAAGATAAAAATGATAGTGCTAAGGTACATAAGCATATGCATGAACTTATAACGTATTACATCTTTAAATTGGTACTATTGCCACGCATGGTAGCTCACGCCTATAATCCCAGCACTTTGGGAGGCAGAGGCAGGTGGATCACTTGAGGCCAGGAGTTCGAGACCAGACTGGCTAACATGGCAAAACCCCATCTCTACTAAAAATACAAAAACTAGCTGGGTGTGGTGGCACATGCCTCTAATCCCAGCTACTCAGGAGGCTGAGGCATGAGAATAGCTTGAGTCTGGGAGGCAGAGGTTGTACTCCAGCCTGGGCGACAGAGTGAGACTCTGTCTCAAAAAAAATAAAAATAAATAAAATTGTTACTATTATCAATTTTTAAATCGTTATCTTAAGGCCTCCTTCCAAATTCCAAAGACATCTTTGTCTTTTGCTTTCATTTGATATTGTTCTAACAGGTACTTACTGATCTAAGCTATCTTGTTGGGGGGCAAGTTCTTTTTAACACATCTTAAGGCTTGATTTAACAAATAAAATATCTTAGTTAATACTGTCTAACCTCCTAGCCAGATCTTAGAAAAAAGCAGATAAATAATGCAAACAGAAGAATATGTTAACAAAACAGTTAAGACTTAATCTTCAAAAAATTCCATTGTCTTCCATTGGAGACATGCTTTCTTTCCTTCTCCTGAAATAACTTTTATTTATTTATTTTTTGAGACAATGTCTCATTCTGTTGCCCAGGCTGGAGCACGATGGTAACACTATAGCTCACTGCAACCTTGAACTCATGGGCTCAAGTGATCCTCACACCTCAGCCCTTGAGTAGTTAGAACTACAGGTACACAACACTATACCTAGCTGATTTTTTTATTTTTGTAGACAGGTTCTTTGTATGTTGCCCAGCCTGGTCTTTAACTCCTGGCCTGAAGCAATCCTCCTGCCTCAGCCTCCCATGTGACAGCCATCGCACCTGGCCTGTGAAATTCCATCCCTCTGAAAGCAAGAAGTATGGGAAAAAATGCACTCATAGAACTTTATCTGAAAGCTCCCTTAAGCACAGGTTTGCCCCACTACTTCTACTACCTTCACAGCAAATCTTACCAGTATTAAACATCCCCTTGAAATCATCTTTTTGGAAGTCTGGTAAAACTGGATTAATCCACTCTTGTACTTGAATACCATGCTCCTTTGATAGTATTTTTAAGGTCGTTGTCTTTCCACATCCAGGAGGACCTGTTATTAATAAAATAGATCCACCCTAAAATCAAATACAAATATGAATTAAAAACCAAAATCACTGGAATGCTAGAATATTATTTCTGACTTTTCATTCTAAATATATTTACTTCTATAAATATTTGCTGAATGTCTCATATAAGCACATTAAATTTCATAATAATGCTTGCTGGAATAAACCAGCTTTATTTTTTTCTTTTTTAAAAATTGCCTTTTTCCCCCCTTTTCCATACAAAAACATCTGCAAATATGGAAATAAGAGAATCTTAATTCTTCAACTCTCAATTCCGCTTCTGATAATTTCTCAATTTTTGCATTATGTCCCTCTCAAGGACTATTTAGTAGCCAAATACTAAACTTTGGCTAAATTAGGGAGGTGATGTCTGAAACAAAGATTTTTAGAGGTTACCTGAACTCATAAAATTTATTCTTTTTTTTTTTTTTGAGACGAGTCTTGCTCTTTCACCCAGGCTGGAGTGCAGTGGCATAATCTCGGCTCACTGCAAGCTCCGCCTCCCGGGTTCACGCCATTCTCCTGCCTCAGCCACCCGAGTAGCTGGGACTACAGGCGCCCGCCACCACGCCCGGCTAATTTTTTTGTATTTTTAGTAGAGACAGGGTTTCACCGTGTTAGCCAGGATGGTCTCAATCTCCTGACCTCGTGATTTGCCCGCCATGGTCTCCCAAAGTGCTGGGATTACAGATGTGAGCCACCGCTCCCAGCAAAATTTATTCTTAATATAGACATCTCATTGGATGATATAAGTTACTGTTATACAAATACAATATTCTTATGGAAAGACCTCAGTTTGGTTATTAGATTCTTTAAGAAATGCATATTAAGACACATATTTGGGAAGAGCACGGCGGCTCACACCTGTAATCCCAGCATTTTGGGAGGCTGAGGCAGACGGATTCCTTGAGCCCAGGAGTCTGAGACCAGCCTAGTCAACATGGCAAAACCCTGTCTCTACAAAAAAAATACAAAAAATTAGCTGGGCATGGTGGTGTGCGCCTATAGTCCCAGCTGGTCAGGAGGCTGAGGTGGAAGAATCACTTGAGCCTGGGAGGTGGAGGCTGCAATGAGCCAAGATTGCCGCTGCACTCCATCCTGCACATTAGAGTAAGATCCTGTCTCAGAAAAAAAAAAAAGGAAAAAAAAGAAACATATTTACCAGAGATAGGACTCTAACGAGAGACTAGAGGTTGTGGATCCCAGTAACATTCCCTCATACCGTAAATTTGATTAAAAAAAAAAAAGTTGAAGCTACAGAAATATCAAAAGATTTCCTACATACAATGGTAGGCTATAATTCTTGTTTATTTTCCTTTAATAAGAACCTATGTACTTGGACAAAGAGAGCCTGCTCCACTTTTGAAAGGGGCAGTGCATGAGTTATAGCGCTGTTCACCATGAGTTCAAACTATATGGATCAACAATATACAGTCATGTGCCAGATAATCAACTTTCAGTCAATGATGAACCACATATAAACAGTAGTCTCATAAAATTATAATGGAGCTGAAAAATTCCTAGTAACAATAATGCAAAACATCACTCATGTTTGTGGTAATGCTGGTGTACACACACCTACTGTGCTGTATAAAAGTGTAACACGTATATCTCATTATGTGTAACACATAATGCTTGATAATTATAATAAACAACTATCTTACTGGTTTATGTATTTACAGTGCCCATCTTTATTATTAGAATCTACTTGTTTTTTAAAAAAAAAAGTTGGCCGGGCACAGTGGCTCACGCCTATAATCCCAGCACTTTGGGAGGCCGAAGCAGGCAGATCATCTGAGGTCAGGAGTTCAAGACCAGCCTGGCCAACATGGAGAAAGCCCATCTCTACTAAAAATACAAGAACTACCCGGGCGTGGTGGTGCACTCCTGTAATCCCAGCTACTCAGGAGGCTGAGGCAAGAAAATCGCTTGAACCCGGGAGGCAGAGGTTGCAGTGAGCCAAAATTGCACCACTGCACTCCAGCCTGGGCAACAAGAGTGAAACTCTGTCAAAAAAAAAAAAAAGAAGTTAACTATAAAACAGCCTCAGGCAAGTCCTTCAGGAGGTACTGCAGAAGAAGGCACTGTTGTCATAAGAGATGACAGCTCCTTACGTGTTGTTGCCTCTGAAGACCTTCCAGTGGACAAGACATAGAGGTGGAAGACAGTGCTATTAATGATCCTAATCCTGTGTAGACCTAGGCTAATTGGTGTGTTTGTGTCTTCATTTCTAATTTTAAAAGAAGCTTAAAAATTTTTTTTTAAATACAAAAAAAATTTATAGAATAAAGATATAAAGACAAAATATTTTTGTACAGCCGTACCATTTATTTGTGTTTTAAGCTAAGTGTTATTATCAAAGAATCTAAAAGTTTATAAAGTAAAAAAGCTACATAAAGTCCTTCACATGGCCTTTACAAAAAGTTCCAGTAAGTGAAGGTTAATTTATTAAATAAAAAACTGTTTAAGTTTAGTGTAGCCTAAGTGTACAATGTTTATAAAAGTCTACAATAGTGCACAGTAATGTCCTTAGACTGTCACTAACCACTCACAGTCACTGACTTAACCATTTTCCAGTCCAAGCTCCATTCATGGTAAGTTCCCTATATAAATGTATACTAGCATTTTTTTTATCTTTTATAACCATGTTTTTACCAAAAAATATTTTTTTTTTGAGACAAAGTCTCTGTTCTGTTGCCCAGGCTGGGGCACAGTGGCACTATCTCAGCTCACTGCAACTTCCGCCACCCGCTTTCAAGTGATTCTTGTGCCTCCCATATAGCTGGGACTACAGGCACATACCACCATGCCTGGCTAATTTTTGCATTTTTAGTAGAGATGGGGTTTCACCATGTTGGCCAGGCTGGTCTCGAATTCCTGACATCAGGTAATCCACCCACCTCGACCTCCCAAAGTGCTGGGATTATAGGCCTGAGCCACCAAGCCCGGCCTTTTTACTGTACTTTTTAATGGTATGCTTTAGGTATGTTTATTTACACATATAGTTCCCACTGTGTTATAATTGCCTACAGTATTCAATACAGTAACAAGCTATACAGGTTTGTAGCATAGGAGCAAGAGGCTATACCATATAGCCTAGGTGGAGGTTTGTGTAAGTACACTCTATGATATTCTCACAACAATGAAGTCACCTAATGACACATTTCCCAGAATGTATCCCCATCATTAATTGAAGCATGACTGAACATTAAATAACTTTAAATAAAAACACATATACAACAAGGCTATATATTGATGGGTTGACAAAAATGTTGTTACCAGAGGTTTGCAAAAACCTAATTTAGTGTTTTTCTTAGAATAATGGTTCAGTATTTGCTAATTCAGCAACTTTACAGAACATAACTACCTTGAATAATGAGAACTACAATACCAGACAGATCACTTCTTTACAAAGAAAAAGAAGCCTATGCACAGGCATTATACATTTTTCTCATGTAATAATATACTTAAGTGCCTGTTTTCTGACAGAGTGGGTACAGCCACATAGCAAGTTTCCCTTCCAGTAAGAGAACTAGGAGGTAGTTTCTTATCAGGACATTATAATGTGAAGAATCTTGTTAATCCCATTTGTCTACACTGTAACAGAGTTTTACTGAATTTTGAAGGAAAGAAGCTGTCCTGAAAAATTAAACTCTGCAAATATTTGGTATATCGTACTTAAAATAAATTTTGAAAAGTAAATTTCGTTTGCCCATTGATAAATCTAGATCTTACCAATTTTTTTGAATAAAAACATTTTCTAATTACTGACATCCCTGAAACTTCTGTAAAATAAATGGTAAGTGATTTGGGCCAGGCATGGTGTGGCTCATGCCTATTGATTCTGACACTGTGGGATGCCAATGTGGGAGGTCTACTTGAGGCCAGGAATTCAAGACCAGCGTGGGCAACACCATAAGACCCCATCTCTACAAAAAAATTTTTTTTTAATTAGCCAGATGCGGTGGCACACACTTGCAGTCCCCAGCTACTCAGGAAGCTGAGGTGGGAGGACTGCTTGAGCCCAGGAGTTCAAGGCTGCAGTGAGCTATGACAGCACCTCTGCAATCCAGTGTAGGCAACCGTCTCTAGCAAGACCCTGTCTCTAAAAAATTAATAAACAAATAAACAGAGTATATGATTAAAGTCCAACTCCTTAGGGGGAAAACTTTTGAAACCATAAAGAAAATACTTTTCCCAATACATATATATATGTATACATATATATGCATATATATATGTATACATATATATGCATATATATGTATACATATATATATGCATATATATACGTATATATACACATATATATACGTATATATACATATATATACGTATATATGTGTGTGTGTGTATATATATATATATATATACACACACACACACACACACATATACCTAAGTTTATCCAACTGGTAGAATAATAATAGTAACACCAATGTAGGTTTATGATGTGACAATGTTTATACTGACAGAGTATTGCTAAGTGAGAAAACACAATGGACACTGAAAAATAAAAACTATTAGCTAAGCTGACCAAAAACAAATCAATGAGAAAAAGCCTGGATGTAAGAGGTGTGTCAGATAGACTGCCCAAAAATCTGTATTCGGAGACAAGAGACGAGATTTCTATGAAACATCAGAGGAATACCAATGCTGACACTGAAAATCCAACTTGAATTCATGATCTTAGCCCTAAACCAAAAGGTTTAGATCCACAGGCCAGAGAGAAAGGAGCTTGGTTCAAGAGAGGAGGATTGGCTGGGCGTGATGACTCACACCTGCAATCCCAGCACTTAGGGAAGCCGAGGCGGGTAAATCACCTGAGGTCAGGAGTTCAAGACCAGCCTGGCCAACACGGTGAAACCCTGTCTCTATTAAAAATACAAAAATTAGCTGCGTGTGGTGGCGCATGCCTGTAATTCCAGCTACTCGGGAGGCTGAGGTAGGAGAATCGCTTGAACCCAGGAGGCAGAGGTTGCAGTGAGCCAAGATCATGCCACTGCACTCTAGCCTGTGTGACAAAGCAAGACTCTCGAGAAAAAAAAAAAGAGAGAAGGATCTGTTACCATCAAAGCAACTAAAACACCAACTCCTTCATCTCAAGGTTGAAAACTAAAGGAAAGACCTAATGTAAACAATGGACTCTGGGTGTTAGTGATGTGTCAATGTAGGTTTATCAGTTTTAACAAATGTACTACTCTGGTGAGGGAAGGTTAGTAACGGGAGAAGGCTATGCATGTGTTGGGGCAGGGGATATGAGGTACATCTCTGTACCTTCTACCCAATTTGGCTGTGAACCTAAAACTGCTCCAAAAATAAGTCTATTTTTTAAAAAAGGAAAAGATACAAAACTTATCCTGCCTTTCTAGTTGGAAATGTATTTCAAGGTAACTAAACAACCCTAGCTAGTGATGGCAAACTTTTCTTTGTAGAAAAATGCCAGTAATAACTGTAGAAATAACAGAACTATAAGAAAGTCACTACTGTACAACTCTAATAAAATAAGTGATTCAGGCAAGGATTGAAAAACTGAAGCTACAGCACTTAGGTGGACGACTGATGGAGAACTGGGCACTCACATGCTGCCACGGTATCTCCCCATGGATTATGTGTCAGTTGTGAGGGAAAGTTACTCTACAATGAAGATTTTTGACTTTCATCTCTTTGATCTAGTGACCAAACTTAAGACAGCAGGAGAACCACAAATACTTTCCAATTTGACGCCCTATACAACATACAACATGACCTTTATTCTTGCAAAAATGTTCAACTTGAGTCTAATCAAGCCCTTGATTCAAAATTTCAGGTTATAGGAAATGCAGGATAGACGAATAAGTTAATCATTATTAGGAGGAAACAACCTAACAAATCCAGTGTGAGACTTCTACAAGTCAACCGGCCTGGTCTCCTTCATAAGTCAGTGCCTTGGAGAAAAGAAAGGGTTAGTAAACTATTATTAGATTCAGGGAAAAAAAAAAAGGCCTAAGATATATAACAGCCAAATGCAACGTGTGATCCTATCCTGTTTGAAACAAACCAGCTACAAAAGACATTTTGGGGACAAATGCAGAAACGTGAATATGAATTCATCATTAGACAGCATTACGGCATCCTGGTTAACTTTGTTAGAGAGAATAATGGTATGCATAATTAATTAGGAAAATCATTTTTTTAAAAAAACAGAGACATACTGAAGTATCTAAAAGTCTAACTGAAATGTCACAATGTTTATAATTTACTTTAAAATACTTAAGGGGGAAACAATGAGTATATTCTATATATATTTTTTTATTATTCTATTTTCTTTTATGCTTGAAAAATCTCAAAATAAAAAACATTTAAAAAGGGAGACTGATGGAAGGAGAGAATATTCTACCTTGGGGGTTCAAGGTAATTGTGCAGTAAGGAAGTGAAACAAAAAATATCAGTCTAAAATAAATAATGACTGTTTTTGGCTATATTTAGTAGAGAAACTAACATGTAATTTGCCTGCTTTCCTCAGCCTGAGATAATCTGATGTGCTAAATACACTAGCACCCTAATTGGTTTACTGATTCTTTATGCTAACAATAAGACATAAAGAAAAAGAGTTACAAATAAAGGGGAAAACTCAAAGTCTCTGAGTCTTTTAGTCAAGTTGGAAGTAGTAAAGTCATGAAGCTTTCTTTTTCGCTTTTTGTTTTGTTTTGCTTTTTACGGTTTTTGGTATTGCTCTGTTGCCCAGGCTAGAGTGTACTAGTGTGATCACAGCTCACTGCAGCTTCCACCTTCTGGGCTCAGGCGATCCTCCCACCTCAGCTTCCCAAGTAGCTGAGACCAGAGGCATGCACCACAATGCCCAGCTAATTAGCTGTAGAGACAGTCTCCCTATGTTGCCCAGGCTGCTCTCGAACTCCTGGGCTCAAGTGATCCTCCTGCCTTGGCCTCCCAAAGTGCTGGGATTACAGGCATGAGTCACCATGCCCCACTAGGGAGCTTTCTACTGCAGGAGATCTAGACTTATTTTGAACAAAATCATCATAAAACTTTAACTTCTAACAACACACTGTAAGTCAGAAAAATATTTGATGTTAAATATTTAAAAACACATTTCTTAGTTACCTGTTTTGGTTGCCTTTCTAAAACTTGAGCTTTTAACCAGGTTTCGACTTCTTCAATTTTCTTTTTATGCACAGCAAGTTCATGCTACAACAAAAATTTCAAATTTAAAACAAAACTTCTTAACTGAAGATTTTTTGGTACATCAGCACATATGAACCTAAGCATTATTAACGAAAAGAAGTAGCAAATCAGTAACAATCTATATAATAAAATGATCCTTTTGATTATACTTGAATTTTTATACTATTATGGAAAAATTATATTCTTAAGTTGATACCTCTGTATGATAATTTTGGCAAGTTTGCAGTTATAACATTTTTTAAAATTCAGAAATACATTTTGAGAAGACAGTAGAGAGGAGTATTACATTTAGTACAAAAATTTTTAAAAAGATCAATTCTATGTTGGGATTAAATTAAATCTAAGACAACTAATCATACAACTTTAGAATAACTATTGAGAAAAATCTAAGCCTTGGAAAATAAAAAAATCCAGAATTTTTTCTAACACTTAGAAAGATTCTTATGAGTAAAAAATCTGAAAATGTAAATCCCTCTGCTTCCCATCTACCCTTATGCACCCTGAAATTAAATTATGTAGATATGTCTGCATGCTTTTCAGTACCTGAGTTTCTGGTTTATATTTATCCACCCATGGTTCATTTTCAGACAGATATTCTTTTGAATTTTCTAAACCATAAATCTGTTCTAAGGAAGATAGATTTCCTCTTTTTCTCGCTGGAAATCTGCTGCTTTCTAATGTAGAAGGCCCATTTTTTCTTCTATGACTTGAGTTATTCACACCTAATGATGTGGCAGTAATAGTAGAGACGCCACTACACTCTAGAAAATCATCAAATGATGGGTCAACCCAGTCTGTTACCTGAAAAAAAAAGAAATCATGTAAATATAATCACATTTTCTCCCATCTATTCCCCCAAATAACTGAACTACTCTGGAAACAACATATTCATATATTTATAACCTTTAAAACTTAAAAAAAAAAAAAAAAAAAAAAAAAATTTTTTTGAGACCGGGTCTCACTTTGTCACCCAGGCTGGACTGCAGTGGTATAATCTCAGCTCAAGCAATCCTCCAGCCTCAGCCTCTTGAGTAACTGGGACTACAGGCATGCACCACCATGCCCAACTAATTTTTTTGTATTTTTTGTAGAGATGGGTTTTTGCCATGTTGCCCAGGCTGGTCTCAAACAATTCTTGGGCTCAAGTGATCCTCTCACATCAGCCTCCCAAAGAGCTGGGATTAAAGGTATAAGCCACCATACCCGGCCTAAAAATCTTACAAATTAACTCTTTTTAAATAAAACTCTGTCTGTAATAGTTGTTTTTCTACTTTACAGTAAGTGCAAGTGCATACTTGTCTACTTGACCTTAAAGGAGTAAAGAACACAAACTTATTTTTATTAATTGTAACCTTCCCAGCATAAACACTAGAATGATTTTTTTAAACTCTCTGTAGGATTGAAACATAAATATTAAAATTACCTATTAAAAAAAGCAAAACAAAATAAACAAATGATAATATTTTAACAGAAACAGCAATAAGAGTAATATATCTGCCTTGGCCAGGTTAATACATTCACAAACTAAGAACCATTTCATACATCCAAATAATCCGTATCAGCTTGAAGACTTAGTGAAGATATAGGCCAAAGATCATAACGTAATCTGTAATTATGACTGGATTATATTTTTCTTCAGTGTATGAAGCAACTAATATTTTTATAATTGAGGCAGGCTTTCCAGAGGGGGAACTGTCACTCAGAAATGCCTGGGAATGGTTGGGTGTGGTAGCTCACACCTATAATTCCAGCACATTCAGAGGCAGAGGCAGTAGGATTGCTGAGCCCAGGAGTTTGAGAACAGCTAGCATAACATAGGGAGACCCCAACTCTACAAAAAATAAAAAATTAGCCAGGCATGGTGGCGCACGCCTGTATTCCCAGCTACTTGGGGGGCTAAGGTGGGAGAATCACTTGAGCGCGGGAGGTCAAGGTTGCAGTGAACCATGATCACCCCACTGCACTCCAGCCCGGGCAACAGAGTGAGACCCTGTCTCAAAAAAAAAATTTTGCTAATAATTAGAAATTATTAGCTAATAATTACAAATAATTAGAAATTAGAAATTTTTACTAGATTTTTTAACACTCTAATAGCATAAATCTAGAAAAATATAGCTTCAGATCTGGTTGTAGAATCTACTGCCTGGCTAACAAAAAGAAACCAAGTTATATATTTCTTTCAAGAATACTCAGCCACAGTTGAGCTATTTATTAGACAATGTTCCTCTCTTGAAGAAAATGAACCAGAAGTTGGAGCTGAAAGTAGGCTTAGGGGAGACAATTTGGGGCTTATAAATACTTTACGAATGCTAAGTCACACTTCACTCTTCTTTTAAGACAGAGTTAGGAATATTATCGGCAGTGGATTAAAAAAGGAAGACCACTGGAAAAAATTTTAGTCATAGCTACCTGATTCATTTCGTCCTCATCAAAAGATTGTGACTGGTACTATAATCTTGGCCCCTTTCCTCTATATTTTTGAGAGTATGAAAATATCTTTCATTATAGTAAAACTTTCGACAGCAATTCTGATTTGCAAATTATTTATACATTTTATAGTTTCATTTCTTACATAAATGTGGACTCCCATATACTGAAAAAAAGAGAAAGATAAACAGCAAAGTTAAGTAACTTACTTAACATCAAAGAAAATTTAGAGCTACCACTTAGGGAAATAGCTACCCTGCATGCATGAAACTGTCTGACCCCCATCCCACCTTAACCCCTATCTTGCTGAGAACTCACACACTGAATTACATTACTTCTAAGAAGCAGTGCTTTTGGTTAAGCTATAACACCAACTACCACTCATATTTCTCTCTTCTATGTTCTTTCATTCAAATGTTTTCAGCCTTTGTGACTGGGACTGTAAAACACTTTTTCAAAATTAAGGTTGTGCTTTTAGAGAACACTTGTTTCACAACTTATTACCAGACTTGCTTAAATCATTAATTACAATAGATACTCGGCTCTATTACTTTGATAGCAGTAATAAGTTATTAAGAATATATATAAAAATTTATAATTATTTTAAGGCAATTATTACATGGCCATTCCAGTGTATCATACCTTTGTGGAAGATACCTTTGGTCTAAGAAAAGTTTTTGACATTATAAACTGTAATAGTTCCCATCCGTAGTTTAGGACTTGCAGTACATTAAACTATAATTCACCTGGGGGGGGGGGGAAGAAGCCCTCAAATGAAGAAAAACTGTAAATGCCCAATTATAGTAATAAATGTATACTGATATAATCAACAATACAATAAAGGCTCAAGAACTAGTGAAAAAGAACAGTAAATTTAAGTGATACAAGAAATCAAAATTCTAAAATAATTTTAATGACTATAACTGTATCAAATAATCTACTTGTGGTGTTAAGAGTTTTTCACATGAACTCAATGATGTATTAGAAAAAAAAAAAACAAAAAAACCACACATACTATGTACTTACCTTTTGTCATTAAAATCAGGCAATTCTATTTGAGCAATTTTTATACTGAAAATTAAAGTTTTCCTTATTTCAAATTACAGTTGCAGGTCTTCATTTCCAGTATTTCCCAAAAAAGTAAAATACCATGAATTCACTTGCTGTGGACGAAGAATTTAAGTCTTAAACTGTAAAATTTTTGTCTTCATTTGAACATGTTATTACAAAATTTCTTGGTAACACTGTTTTTCAACCGTGTTTTCAAATTCTTAAATGTTTATGCAAACTAGTGAATTCAACGATTTTAAGTTAGCCAGAAGAAAAGTTTAAGGTCTACAAACTTATACATTGGAAAGTATACTGGACTACTTTACAGTTTGGAGGCACACATAGCCTATAAACACCTCGACACACTAGAAAACACATTGTTCAGCCCTCCGCCCCAAATCGTTCACGATTAGAGACTGTGACGTTTCAAAAGGTATACAGGTGGAAAAAAAACACCTATTTGAGTAAATATAGTTTGTAGCTCGAAATAAAAGATGCAGACCAGGGGCCGGACGCGGTGGCTCATGCCTGTAATCCCAGCACCGTGGGAGGACGAGGCGGGCGGATCATCTGAGGTCAGGAGTTTGAGACCAGCCTGGCCAAAACATGGTGAAACCCCGTCTCTATTAAAAATGCAAAAATTAGCCGGGCGTGGTGGTGGGCGCCTGTAATCCCAGCTACTCTGGAGGCTAAGGCAGGAGAATCACTTGAACCCAGGAGGCGGAGGTTGCACTCCAGCCTGGGCGACAAGAGTGAGACTCCGTCTCAAAACAAAACAAAAACAAACAAACAAACAAAAAAAGGTGCAGACTGTTGTCACGGTCAGGTCTCTATTCACTCTTGAAAACAAGATTGACAATTACCTCCTTTAAAAAGCAGATAACTGTCCCTGAAGATGCGAGGTTACTGAAATGAGATGTCAGAGGTAGACCTTCAAGACTATTCCTAGCCGACCCACCACCACCCCACACAGTGAACAGGGAATACTAAGCTCAAATATTCGTCCAACGTAATCCTGTAATCAGTGGGGTGCCGGGTTGAGCTCGCAAATCCCCGCTGCAGGACAGGGCTCTGCACCCTCAATCTTCTCATCCCCAGATGGGATGGGCGGGTCGGGAGGAGGAGCGACGAGAGCCCAGGAAAGCTTGAAGGCAGAGATAGACTCGCGTCTCTAAGACATATACATAATATAGCCGCAACCGCGGCGGCCTTACTTTCCCGGAGCTGCATCCCCTTTTGGGCGAAGAGCGGAGGCGACCAGGGACTACCCTAGGTGAAAGGGCAGCCACCTGGCCCTACCCGGGCTCAACGCCGAGCCTCTCGGAGGTACGGCCTCCCGGGGACCTTCCAGACTGGTCGGCGCAAGCGAAGGGCGGGGACCACCGAAGGAGTGTGTGACTTAGGCATCCAGCGCACTGCCTGACCCGAAGTACCGACCCGAGTTATGCCCACCCTCCAACTTTGCGACGGAAATGTGTCATCGAAAGCCAGGTAACCAGTGGGCCGCGGCTGGGCCGCCGGGGCAGGCTAGGGGCGCCGCGGTGGGCTTCGGGGCCTTTGGGGCCGTGGGCTTTTGCTGCCGCCCGCCCCTTCCGGCTCCTCCCTGTAGAGCAAAGGGCACGTGAGCGAGGCGCCCGAAGCCGTCGCGGCGGGGACCATGTTGCTTCCGAACATCCTGCTCACCGGTCAGGGCGCGCGGCCGGGAGGGACTGGGCTGGGGCAGGCTGGGGGCGCAGAGTGCTCTGGGCATCGGGCGCCCAGGTGGGGGCCCCTCACTGCCCTCTTCAGAGGCCGGCCGAGGGCCACGAGGCGGTTGTCAGCGCCCCGGGAGCCGACCCTCGCGGGCGTTGCGGGAGGCGAGGGAGGGGACGCGGAACGTTAATTCCGTTGGCCTGAGGCTCCGGGGGGGGCGGGGGGGGTGGAGAGAGGTCGGCAGATCCAGCTCTCCAGCTTGGCAACCTGCTTAGTCTTTCTGAATCTGGTATTTCGTTTGTAAAATGGGTTGTTGATTCTTTGGCAGGGTTGGCCTTGGGATTTTTAGCGAAATAACGTAAGGCCATATCTGCTTCCCGGTAGAGTCATTAATGGTGGATGCCTCACTCCTTAGGCCTCCGTGGGCCGTATTTTATTTTTTCTTTGCTTCTGATAAACGCCTCAGATTAGATTTCGGTAAACGAGTTCAGATGTTTGTGACGTGACGAAATTGCTGTATGCTTTTGTTGAGTTACATCAAAGGATCCCCCCGCCCCTTAAAAGGAAGGCATATAGAGCATTTCGGGTCGTTTCTCGCGTAGGAGTGGGTCTTTGAAGCCATACTCAGGGTGCGTGTTATCAGTGAAGGGAATTAAAATGCTGCATAACGACTTTAACGAATATTTTTGCTAGCCGTTTAGTCCTGAAAGTGTTTATCAAATTGTAGGCCATTCGTGGAAAAATCTAATGCATGTAGATTTTATTACAAGGTACAGAAAAATTAAGACTCTTTGTGGGAACAGTAAAGTTACATCATTCACCCAAAGGTAAAATTGTTGGCAGCGCACAAGACATGTCTGTTTCTGAGAGGTGCAGATTAACCACCCCACAAATAACGTTTAGAATTTTAGATTCCTTAAGCGGAAGATTTTACATCTTTTTGCATGGATCAAACATAGTGCCCTGGTTATTAAGTCATTGTCAAAACTTTAAAGTGAACATTTTATTGAAAACATGTTGAGTCCAGGGTTCAGACTTGGTGTATTATAGTGGACTTGAGGTGACCGTTATTCTCCTGGGTATGGGAACTGGATTATCCCTGTTATCTTTATGCTTAAGTTTAATTTCAGGGATGTTAAATCTGAATAGCTGAAAATTATGAATTTGATGATCTTGAAATGTAATTTTAATAGGTATCAGAAGGGGAAGGTAAAGAACAATGTATATAGTATTGTCATTTATGTAAAAGGGAATATGTGTTGTATTTATATAACAAAGAGTATGTACATATATGTACATTTACATGCAAACATAAATAGGGTTTCTTTGGGAAAGGAAACTGGTTTACAGTGGTTATCTCTAGGGAAGGGCGCAAGGGGTCAGTAGAGGTAATTTTCAGACTGCTTAATTTTAACATGAACAGTTTTGTTTTTGTTCTTGTTTTTGTTTTTGTTTGAGACAGAGTCTCATTATGTTGGCCAGGCTGGTCTCGAACTCCTGCGCTTAAGCGATCCTCCCGCCTTCTCCTCCCAAATTGCTGGGATTACACGCGCGAGCCACCACACGTGGCCATGAACAGTTTTTAAATCTTTATAAGTTAAAGCAAATAGGCCAGGTGGGTGGCTCATGCCTGTAAATCCCAGCACTTTGGGAGGTGGAGGTGGGGAGATCGCTTGAGCTCAGGAGTTTGAGCTTAGCCTAAGCAACATAGCCAAACCCCGTCTCTACAAAAATTAACCAGGGCATGGTGGTGCATACCTGTGGTCCTAGCTACCGGACAGGCTGAGATGGGAGGATTGCTTGAGCCCAGGAGGTAAAGGCTCTAGTGAGCCAAGTTCCACTGCACTCCAGCCTAGGTAACAAAGAGATATCTTGTCTTTAAAAAAAGAAAAAGGTAAATAAATTATTGTAATTGATTCGAGGTGGCTAATTTTTTTTTTTTTTTTTTTTTTTGAGATGGAGTCTCTGTCGCCAGGCTGGAGTGCTGTGGCGCGATCTTGGCTCACTGCATCTTACAACTACCTGGTTCAAGGGATTCTCCTGCCTCAGCCTCCTGAGTAGCTGGGATTACAGGCACGCGCCACCACGCCCGGCTAATTTTTGTATTTTAATAGAGATGTAGTTTCACTATGTTGGCCAGGATTGTCTCAATCTCCTGACCTTGTGATCTGCCCGCCTCGGCCTCCCAAAGTGCGGTGATTACAGGCATGAGCCACTGCGCCCAGCACGAGATGGCTAATTTTATTCTCAGCAGTTCCCCGGTAGCAGCAGGCAGTTTGAATTGGCGTCAGAATCTGCTGAGCCCCACCCCTGGAGAATCAATACACTGGGTAATATTCTGACATTCAGTTAGCTTTGGAAAATTTTTATTAGATCGTAGTACATGCTAATTTACATATGGCCAGGCATGGTGGCTCACGCCTGTAATCCCAGCACTTTAGGAGGCCGAGGCTGGCAGATCACCTGAGGTTAGGAGTTTGAGACCAGCCTGGCCAATATGGTGAAACCCGGTCTCTACTGAAAATACAAAAATTAGCTGGGTATGGTGGTGGGCACCTGTAATTCCAGCTACTGAGGAGACTGAGGCAGGAGAATCGCTTGAACCTGGGAGGTGGAGGTTGCAGTGAGCCAAGATTGTGCCACTGCACTCCAGCCTGGGCGACAAGAGTGAAACTCTGTCTCAAAAAAAAAATTTTACATATGATTGCTAATTAGGAAATTTTTCATTTCAGTCGTCAAGAACTTTTAAGGGCAGAGGCCAGGTGAGACTCTGTCTCAAAAATAAAAGGAAAGGCAGAAGGTGGACCGCAGTGTGATAAGTAGTATTTCACAAACAGTATTTTTCTGTGGCTTGTCTTACAGGTACACCAGGGGTTGGAAAAACCACACTAGGCAAAGAACTTGCGTCAAAATCAGGACTGAAATACATTAATGTGGGTGATTTAGCTCGAGAAGGTAAGGGACACTTTGGTGTTAGATTTGTTTTGTTTTTTTTTTAAGGTCTGGTAAGTGGAGTGTTAGTGCTGGGTATTGTCATAGGGTACAAAAAACAGAGATTGCCATTAAAGAATATATACTCTGTTAGGGAATCCACAGAAATATTAAGTGTCTAATGCTATGTCCTGGTTATTTTGACCATTTTCCCTTCTGCCTTCAAAATGGCTGGCAATTCTTGTGAATAGTTGGGAAGGCTCCTATAAAGAGACTGGATTTCGGATAGGTAGAATGTGAATAAGGAGAATGTTTTTAAGTTGAACAAACAAAGGTTTGGTACTGCTAAACATATATATGAGCACAGTGAGTATATTGGTCTCACTGGAAAGAGACTGTTTTGAGCTCAGGTGTGGGACCTGACTATGCTATGGTATCTTAGATTAGTGTGAGATTTGCATGCAACTGCATATATTCTAAGATGATCATTGTTTTTATTTATTTTACCCTGTTTTCCCCTAATCTTTCATCGCTCCCTTATTTGTGTCTTCATCTTTTTATAGTCGACAATGATTTGTACATGGTAGGAACTCAATAAATTAAAGCGACCTTAAGTTGCCTCATTAAAATTAAGAAAACATATGGTTTAAATTTTAAAAATTTTTTTACAGTTTAACATAGATTTAAAATTTTTTTAAGTTCCTGACAGTTGCTACTAAAGTAACTATTTCAGATTGATCTAATGTACATATTTTTTTCAAATGATCTAAAGTCTGATCATCGGATATCATGGAGTCTGGCAAGACGGCTTCTCCCAAGAGCATGCCGAAAGATGCACAGATGATGGCACAAATCCTGAAGGATATGGGGATTACAGAATATGAGCCAAGAGTTATAAATCAGATGTTGGAGTTTGCCTTCCGATATGTGACCACAATTCTAGATGATGCAAAAATTTATTCAAGCCATGCTAAGAAAGCTACTGTTGATGCAGATGATGTGCGATTGGCAATCCAGTGCCGCGCTGATCAGTCTTTTACCTCTCCTCCCCCAAGAGATTTTTTATTAGATATTGCAAGGCAAAGAAATCAAACCCCTTTGCCATTGATCAAGCCATATTCAGGTCCTAGGTTGCCACCTGATAGATACTGCTTAACAGCTCCAAACTATAGGCTGAAATCTTTACAGAAAAAGGCATCAACTTCTGCGGGAAGAATAACAGTCCCGCGGTTAAGTGTTGGTTCAGTTACTAGCAGACCAAGTACTCCCACACTAGGCACACCAACCCCACAGACCATGTCTGTTTCAACTAAAGTAGGGACTCCCATGTCCCTCACAGGTCAAAGGTTTACAGTACAGATGCCTACTTCTCAGTCTCCAGCTGTAAAAGCTTCAATTCCTGCAACCTCAGCAGTTCAGAATGTTCTGATTAATCCATCATTAATCGGGTCCAAAAACATTCTTATTACCACTAATATGATGTCATCACAAAATACTGCCAATGAATCATCAAATGCATTGAAAAGAAAACGTGAAGATGATGATGATGACGATGATGATGATGATGACTATGATAATCTGTAATCTAGCCTTGCTGAATGTAACATGTATACTTGGTCTTGAATTCATTGTACTGATATTAAACATGCATGCTGGATGTTTTCAAGTTGTGTTTTAGAAAACTAATAATAATGAGTAAACACAGTTACCATACTTTTCAATTGAAATGAAGGTTTTTCATCAGCCTTAAAAGTGTAAGAAAAATAAAGTTGTCATTCATTCGATTGTTGGTGCTTTGGCAGTTATGTTTTTAAAAGCAATTTTCTCCTTGTTGTCACCAAGAGGAGTAACAGTTGGCAGTTGCAGCAATTTGCAGTACTGCAGTCTATTTTTGACCACTAGAGTGTCACCTTAAACGTCTTCAGATACATAGATCATAGTATGATCTCTGGTGTGTACGTCACTCTTGTGATCTGTTCTCTCAGATTGCTGAAGTATAACCATGACTCCCCTTTGGAGAGACCAGTTGGTCAGGATTTTTATTCATAGTGAATTCTTAACCTGCTTTGATTATCTTCCTCAATTGCCCAACTTCCTAGGTCCCATTTTTCTGTCCTTTTGGTTATATTAAGGACCCTTAGTGTCTCCCAGTATGTCTCCACTTTTTAAAAAAAAATTTATAAGTGTCTCTTTTTGCAGGTTAATTTTGAGCATCTTTGTTTTTCATATTCCTGATACTATAAGCCAGTATCATGTTCATTTTTGATCCAGGGCTGATAATTAGGTTATAGTGTTTATATATATATATATTTTTTTTAATTTAAAATATTTTTTTGTCCAAAAGAACGTCAATTTATCAAGGTTATAGTTTCTAAAACCTAGATTTTTATTTGCTATCATACAACTACTCATTTTCCATTTCATTTTATTTTATTTCCTGAGACAGAATTTCATTTTGTTGCCCAGGCTGCAGTGCAGTGGCACAATCTCAGCTCACTGCAACCTCTATGTCCCAGGTTCCAGCTATCTTTGCACCTCAGCCTCCCAAGTAGCTGGAATTACAGGTGTGCACCACCACACCTGGCTAATTTTTATATTTTTAGTAGAGATGGGCTTTTGCCATGTTGTCCAGGCTGGTCTTGAACTCCTGGCCTCAAGTGATCTGCCCACCTCGGCCTCCCAGAGTGCTGGGATTACAGGTGTGAGCTACCTCACCTGGCCTTTCCTTTTTTTTTTTTCTTTTGAGACGGAGTCTCCCTCTGTCGCCCAGACTGGAGTGCAGTGGTGTAATCTCGGCTCACTGCAAGCTCTGCCTCCCAGGTTCACGCCATTGTCCTGCCTCAGCCTCCCAAGTAGCTGGGACTACAGGCACCTGCCACCACGCCCAGCTAATTTTCTGTATTTTTAGTAGAGACGGGGTTTCACCGTGTTAACCAGGTTGGTCTCGATCTCCTGACCTCGTGATCCACCCACCTTGGCCTCCCTGAGTGCTGGGATTACAGGCGTGGGCCACCGCGCCCAGCCCGGCCTTTCTGTTTTATATCTATATGAAATGTGGTTTTGTTCCTCACTGTTGAACACCACCATTTTTGACAAGTGATTTCTGAGTCACATAATAGTCAATTTCATTCATGCATTCCAATGTTACTTTCACTCAATTTAACATTTCTAAACTAATTAGAGCATTAATAGCATTGAGAGCAATGGTGACACCAGACCAAGGACAATCCAGTATAAGGCACTTGTCTTCCTCTTCTTTGGGTCCTCTCCTACCAGTACTTAAACCATTTCATTTGGTTGAGACAGAGTCTTGCTCTGTTGCCCAGGCTGGAGTGTGGTGGCCTGATCATAGCTCATTGCATCCTTGAACTCCTGGGCTAAAGTGATCATCCTGCCTCAGCCTCCCTTGTAGCTGGGACTACAGGCACACACCATCCTGCCGGGCTAACTTAAAATTATTTTTGCAGAGACAGGGTCTGGCTTTGTTCCCCAGGCTGGTTTACTCCTGGGCTCAAATGATCCTTCTGCCTTAGCCTCCCAAAGTGCTGGGATTGCAGACGAGAGCCACTGTACCTCAAGTACTCAACACCATTTTAGTCAGTTGTGTATAGTCCCACCCATCCTCTTTGTTATTAGTGAGATTATTTCATGAAATGGGATCTAAGTCTTAAAGGAAAAGTATTTTTTCCCCCTCCTGTAATGCCAGATAAAAGATTTCTGGTCTGACTTGACATGGAGTTTGATGGAGGTACTTTGTGGGGTTTTTTTTGTTTGTTTGTTTGAGACAGGGTCTTGCTCTGTGGCCCAGGCTGGAGTGCAGTGGCACAGTTTCCCCTCACTGCAACCCCAGCCTCCCGGGCTCAAGTGATCTCCTGCTTCAACCTCCCCAGTAGCTGGGACTACAGACACAAGGCCTCACTGTGTTGCCCAGGGTGGTCTCCAATTCCCCAGGCTCAAGTGATCCTCCCACCTTGACCTCTCAAAAGTGCTGGGATTACCGGTGTTAGCCATTGTGCCCAGCCTGATGAGGTACTTTGTAAGGTTTGACATACCAGATTTTTTAACCCAGATCCTGTTTGAATATATCTGGAAATATTCTGGGGCAACTAACCTCATTTTTATTTCAAGTGGGGATATATTTTTAAGGGAAACCAGGCAATCATCTATAATGAAGTGATTCTCAACTAGGTGATTTTTGCCCTTTGGGGGTATAGCAATGTGTGAAGACGTTTTGGGTTGTCACATGGAGGGGGAGGTGATGGCCAGGGATTCTACTAAAGATCCTGTAGTTCACAGGACAGTCCCCTGTCTCCCTTAGTAACAATTACCAGACTCAAAATGTCATTAGTAATAAGGTTGAGAAATCTTGCTGTAAAGAAATAAGGCTTATTCCGATGCTCACTAAAGTCGGAAAAAAAGCTTTTAAGAAAACCCTATTTTAAACTTATTTCTAAAAGTTTAGTATCATCCTGGTGATCATGTGGAATTGCAGTAGTAGTTGAGAGAGGTCATCTTCACTCCCAAAACCAAGGCAAAAAAAAAAAAAAAAAAAAAGGGAATCAAGTTTAAGAAAACTGGCCGGGGGTGGTGGCTCATGCCTGTAAATTCCAGCACTTTGGCCCAGCACGGTGGCTCATGCCTGTAATCCTAGCACTTTTGGGAGGCCGAGGCGGGTGGATCACCTAAGGTCAGGAGTTCAAGACCAGCCTGTCCAACATGGTGAAACCCCATCTCTACTAAAAATACAAAAAAGTAGCCAGGTATGGTGGTGGGCCCCAGTAATCCCAGCTACTCGGGAGGCTGAGACAGGAGAATCACTTGAACCCGTTAGGCGGAGGCTGCAGTGACCCGAGATCACACCACTGCACTCCAGCCTGGGCAAGACAGAGCAAGACTCAGTCTCAAAAAAAAAAAAAAATCAGTCCGGCGTTGCTGAGGGTGCCTGTAATCCCAGCTACTCAGGAGGCTGAGGCAGGAGAATCACTTGAACCTGGGAGGTGGAGGTTGCAGTGAACCGAGATCATGCCACTGTACTCCAGTCTGGGTGACAGAGAGAGATTCCGTCTCAAAAAAAAAAGAAAACTATTAAAGAGTCTTACTGTGGGCCGGGCGCGGTGGCTCACGCCTGTAATCCCAGCACTGTGGGGAGCCGAGGTGGGCAGATCACGAGGTCAGGAGATTGAGACCATCCTGGCTAACACGGTGAAACCCCGTCTCTACTAAAAATACAAAAAATTAGCCGGGCGTGGTGGCAGATGCCTGTGGTCCCAGCTACTTGGGAGGCAGAGCTTGCAGCGAGCCAAGATCGCGCCACTGCACTCTAGCCTGGGCGACAGAGTGAGACTCCATCTCAAAAAAAAAGAGTCTTACTGTGGTATGACTGTAAGAGTGCTTCTCTTATTGCTATTCTTCCAGTCTCAAGACTCCTCCTCACTTGATACCCTTTCCTATATACAATCATTTTTATACTCTTACTAGCATCCTTAATTTTCCTGGCAGCAGTTTTTCGGTCTTCGGCCTCTGTTCCTAACTGCAGAATACCCATAGGTCTAGACGAAGTAATATATTGACATTGGATCCATTTCCAGTAGAAATTGTAAAGCATAGCTTGGCTTGAACACTTAGAATCTTGATATATCTCTAACCTAGGGGTTGGCAAGCTACTGTTGTTTTTGTATGACTTCTGAGCTAAAGACTAGCTTGCAAAGCGTAAGGTATTACCTGGCCCTTTACAGAAAGAAAAAATGCTGATCCCTGTTCTATCCTTTTCTGAATCCCATTTTTCTCTCCCCTTATCAACTCCCACTGGAAGCCTTGGAAACTAACTCCTCTATTGACCTCTCTGACACTGCTCTCTCCCTATCTTTGCCTCTGGTCTTTCCCCTTCCACCTGTTTCCCCCATGATTTCATTGCAGCCATATTGTAATTCTGCCCCTCCCACTAGTAATCTCACTCATTCAGGACTATTCACTCCCTTGTGCTGATGACTTAAATTTATAATTAAAACAGCCCAATTTCTAGATACCTATTAGACAACCATCTGGATAGTTCCCAGATGTTTACAGCTCTAAATTAGTATGTTTAAAGCACGTGCTCTGAAAGCATCCTTGACTATACTTGCCCACTCCTCTGATTTCTACCTCCCAAGCATATAAATACACATTCACTCTCTCCACACAGATCCACTTGGCCTTTAAATCTTGACGGTTTCTCCGACACATCCCTACAGTACCCCTATTTCATCAAGACCCCTGGTGCTGTGCCTAGAATCCTACCTAGAATCTCCTGTTTGACTTCTTCAGTATCTCTTTCTTCCCTCTTCTACACTATCATTTTCTTAAAAGTGGGGAAGGAGAATGACATGATTTGAACTTTTTACTCACATAGTCCATTCTCCTTCAGGAAATATAGGAGATTCTTTATAAAATGGCCACAGTTTACCTGCAGCCGTTCTCTCCCCTATGTCCCCTTCAGTGCAGCCATCATACCCTGTTCTCACTAGGAATTTTCCACCTCGAGTATTTATGCATGCTGTTCTCTTTATAGGTTTCCTTATCTTCCTTACAACTCCTTGGAGGCCCAACTCCAATGTCATATCTTTGGCTGTCTAACTTCACTATGCAGAATTAATTGCCCTTTTCTTTTCGCATAAAAAGCCAGGTATTTTAAAGGCACCCAATCACTCTAAACCAGTTAATTTCTTGTTCTAATTGCTTTAGAGTTATCAGCTTCTTGTTGAGTTGAGGTAAATGTGGTGAATATGTTTTCAAAAGAAGAAATATGAAAATAAAAATTTTAAGTATTGGCAGCAGTGTCAAAACAACCAGCATCCCAATATGATTAAAGAACAGCTTTCACTTGAGTGTATATAAGTTCTAGGATGGCAGTTAAACATAATGTCATGATTTTACAGTTTGACAAACAGCAGCAGCTGGGAAGGTTTTTTAAGGTAAGAATGAGCTTTAAAAAATTTTGTGGGGCCTGGCGCAGTGGCTCACACCTGTAAACCCAGCACTTTGGGAGGCCAGGGCGGGTGGATCACCTGAGGTCAAAAGTTCAAGACCAGCCTGGCCAACATGGTGAAACCCCATCTCTACTAAAAATACAAAAATTAGCCAGGCATGGTGGCGGGCACCCGTAATCCCAGCTACTTGGGAGGCTGAGGCGGGAGAATTGCTTGAACCCAGGAGACGGAGGTTGCAGTGAGCCAGGATCATGCCATTGCACTCCAGCGTGGGTGACGAGAGTGAAACTCTGTCTCAAAATTTAAAAAAAAAAAATTTTTTTTTTTTTGAGACAAGGTATCACTGTCACCCTAACTGGAATACAGTGGTGCAATCCTGGCTCACTCCAGCCTCAAGCAGTCCTCCCACCTCAACCTCCAGAGTAGCTGGGACTATAGGCTGGCACCACCATGCTGGGCTAATTTTTTTTTTTTTCTTTTGGTAGTGGTGGGGTGTTGCTATGTTATCCAGGGTGATCCCGAACTCCCAGGCTCAAGAGATCCTCCCACCTCGGCCTCTGAAAGTGCTAGGATTATAAGCGCGAACCACCATGCTCACCCTTTTAACTCTGGCCCCACAATTGATTTTTTTTCTGCAAGCAATATATCTGTACCTGGAATTTAAAAAAATAAACTGCAAAACTTTGTTTAGAAAGTTGATTTAATTTTCTAATCTCTCAGTCCTTAAACAAATCAACCTTTTTGATCTTTGCTTAAGATCCTATGTATAGGCAAGTATAAATTTGGCTTCCAATTGAAACTTTCTAAAGTAGCATAAAATTTATTCTTTTTTTGAAATTTGAAATGAAGTTTAGGATCCGTTCATTTCTCTGGTACAGGCTACAATCATCACTTACCTAAAAATCTGCAGTAGACTTGATAGCCTCTGGGACTCCGTCTCAAAAAAAATAAAGACTTCAATCCTAAAAGTTAACACATCTATTTTAGACAGCATATATTGGTTCAAGTCATCTTTCTTTTTTTTTTTTTTTTTTTTTTTTTGAGACAGAGTCTTGCTCTGTCACCCAGGCTGGAGTGCAGTGGCGCGATCTCAGCTCACTGCAGCCTCCTCCCGGGTTCAAGCGATTCTCCTGCCTCAACCTCCCAAGCAGCTGGGATTACAGGCACCCGCCACCACGCCTGGCTAACTTTTGTATTTTTGGTAGAGATGGGGTTTCACCATGTTGGCCAGGCTGGTCTCAACTCCTGACCACAGGTGATCAACCACCTCGGCCTTCCAGTGTGCTGGAATTACAGGCATGAGCCACCGCACCGGCCAGAGTCATCTTTTAAAAGTCAAAGATTTAAAGTATGAAGGAACCTCCGTGTTTATCTATTCAAGATTACCACATAGTACAGAATCAGCTATAGGTATTCTTAGATTTTGTGGTACTGTTAAAAAAATATGCAATACTGTAAAAATAGTATATGGAAAAATACTCCAAAGCTTTTGTTTTTCTTCTAATCTTTGTCCCTAGTAAGGACAACTTTGAATTCTGCTTTTTGTGTTTTACACTTGTATATGTGAGCATTTATCATGTTGCTGCCTAGTCTATACTACATAGTATTTTTAAACTATGTTAACTATAATACTATAACTCTAATACTTATTAATTTTAATTACATAATTTTTACAAAATTAATTACATAATATTTTATAAAGTTATAAAGTTGGTAAATCAAGATTTAACTTTTCTTATTGTTCAACATTTTTTATTATTTTCTAATTTTGTCCAATTAGAAATGAAATGGTAGTGTAAATATCTAAATGGATTGAACATATAACAGGCATAAATATAGACTCATTTTAATTTGCATCTCTTTAATAGCTAGGAAAATTCAGTATTTTTTCATGTGTGTTTACTGATTTTTTCCACTCTTCCATCTTGTGTGAATTCTTTTCTTGTTTATTGAGCAATTGTTATTTTGGTTTTAAGGTCTTTATATTATCTACATTTCAGTCCTTTGTTATTTCTCCCATTCTGTTACTTTTCTTAGAATTTGATTATTTCTCAAGGAACAGAGAGTCAACATTTTAAATAACTGGATCAGTCTTTTTATTTCTTCTGCTACTCAACAAACTCAAATGAATCATTCCTTTATAGCTCCATCTGGGGTTTGTGGTATAAAGTAAGGATTTAGATTGTTTTCTAAATTGTTAACCAGTTTTCTTCATACCAAGACAGTTTAATTTTTTAGGTTGGTAGAGTTCCTGGTAGGTGAGCAATAGCCCAAGGAGGCAGAGGCCACACTAGAGTGCTAGAAAGGTGGTTTATGTGCCTAGAATCAGTCCACAGACCCTCCAGGCAAGACAAGGAGTTACAACTGCTTTTGTGCCCTCCAGTGTCCATCAGACTGCCCCCGCAGTGACCATCAGACTACTCCTGTGTCCCTTCAGAATTTATGTTCATTTTAACCTCATTTCAACCCGTACCAAAATATTAAGGGGAAAGAGGTGGGAAGACTGCTATATAACATGCTCTCAGAGATGGTTAATGGATGATCTGAGCTTGCCTTAGATTAATACCTCCTAAGGGCTGGGGCTAAGGGTAAGATGGTATGTCTTACCTCCTGAAAGAATACTTCTTTTGAAAACCAGCTGTGATTTGTTGGAAAGTTCTTATGTTAAATTTAAATTTGCCTCCTTTGTAACTTTGAACGTTATTTTTGTTTTGCCTTCTGAAATGAGACTATTTAACTCTTATGAGGAACGGCAGTTTGGAATACTGGAAATCTAGAAGTAAAGATACTGTTCAGGAGCATTTGGATCCTGACCCTTCTCTATTCCCATGAGGATGTGAGCTCAGTGACAGAGGGTTCATTTCTGGAATAAAGAATCTGTTATTGCTTTTTTCTTTCTTTCTTTTTGGAGACAGGGTCCTGCTCTGTCGCCCAGCCTGGAGTACGGTGGTGTGATCTCACCTTATTGTAACCTCCACCTCCCAGGCTCAAGCAATCCTTCTGCCTCAGCCTCCCAAGTAACTGGGACTACAGGTGTGCACCACCATGCCTGCCTAATTTTTTTTTTTTTTTTCTGTAGAAACAGGTTCTCAACATATTGCCCAGGCTGTCTTGAACTCCTGGGCTCAAGAGATCCTCCTACCTCGTACTGGGCTGGGATTACAAGCGCAAAGCCACCATGCCTGGCCTGTTACTGCTTTTGATAAATTAATCTGCTTTTAAATGTATGTGAGTGTGTTTGTATCTGTTCAGGTGTTTCCTCTTCCCGCCAATCTGTAGTTCAACAAAAATAGTGTAGTCCTCTTCTAGTAGCCCCACAAATTCTGAAGTTGGTTATTCACTCTTTTTAGTTGGTTTCAGTTTTGATATTTAAAGCAGTTTCAGATATATTGCAATCCAAGTTTCCCTCTAAACAAAATTCCAATTTATCAGTTAGTATGGCTCCTTTATATTTGGTGTTTATGTAACATTTATTTTGTTAGTATCCACCCTTGTATCTAAAAGAATAATTGATGATACATTTCCTTTCCTGAAGTCTAGAATTAATTGAAAATTACTTAAAGTTACTTAGAAAATATTTCAACAAGCAATTCTAAATCTCTTTTAGAGCAATTGTATGATGGCTATGATGAAGAGTATGACTGTCCCATTTTAGATGAAGACAGAGTAAGTATGACTTTTTCATAAAGTATGCATTTGTTGAATTTCATAGGAAAGTTGACTTCAGTTTTCTTAAGAAGCATTTTTTTTTAAACTTTTCTTACAGGTAGTTGATGAGTTAGATAACCAAATGAGAGAAGGTGGAGTTATTGTTGATTACCATGGTTGTGATTTCTTCCCTGAACGCTGGTTTCATATAGTTTTTGTGCTGAGAACAGATACCAATGTATTGTACGAAAGACTTGAAACAAGGTAAGAAAGGAAAAACATTAGATTCTTAAAGCATAATGTTAACTTTTATTCAGATTTCTGAAATTGGCCATGATAAAAGATTGTTGTTGTTTGTTTTGTTTTGTTTTGTTTTGTTTTTTTGAGATAGAGTCTCGCTGTCACCCAGGCTGGAGGGCAGTGGTGTGATCTCGGTCCACTGCAACCTCCACCTCCCTGGTTCAAGCAATTCTTGTGCCTCAGCCTCCTGACTAACAGACCACGGGCACATGCCACCTTGCCTGGCTAATTTTTTTATTTTTTGTAGAGATGGGGTCTCCCATGTTGCCCAGACTGGTCTCGAACTCTTGGGCTCCAGCAATCTGCCCACCTCAGCCTCCCAAAGTGCTGAGGCTACAGGTGTGAGTCATAGCACCCAGCTAATAAAGGGTTTTATTTGAAAATATGACTACTTTAAAATATGGGCAGTACTTTTTGAGTAAATTAATATCTCAACTGACAATCTGATTGAGTAAAATGTACTGTGTAGAAACCCAATTTAGTCGGCCGGGCACAGTGGCTCACGCTTGTAATCCCAGCACTTTGGGAGACCAAGGTGGGAGGATCACAAGGTCAGGACATCGAGACCATGCTGGCTAACATGGTGAAATCCTGTCACTACTAAAAATGCAAAAAAAATTAGCCGGGCATGGTGGCAGGCACCTGTACAGTCCCAGCTACTCTGGAGGCTGAGGCAGGAGAACGACGTGAACCTGGGAGGTGGAGCTTGCAGTGAGCTGAGATCACACCACTGCACTCCAGCCTGGGCAACAGAGTGAGACTCCGTCTCAAACAAAAAAAAGAAACCCTATTTAGCCATGCTTTTTCTTTGATGTAAACCCTTGCTAGGAAAACAGC
The DNA here is from genome assembly GCF_000001405.40 of Homo sapiens. Lineage (NCBI taxonomy): Eukaryota > Metazoa > Chordata > Mammalia > Primates > Hominidae > Homo > Homo sapiens. The sequence continues at coordinate 21,599 of NW_025791777.1, read as the reverse complement.
CAAGCCCCTAACATATTCTTTGCTTATTGACTGAACACTACTCACTCAAATTATCCCTGCATCAGGAGTGGGAAAGCTTATGAAAAACTAACAAAATAAACCAGCATTTCACAGTCTTTAATAGATACCGAGTTAAACCCACAAATAGAGCATCAGATTTAATGCGGAAGAACCAGTAAAGAGAAACTTTTAGGGAAGTCTTTTATCCCCACTGTCTTTTGATCAAAGCTGTGGGAATATGGGGATTCTAGAGAAATTAGAGAGCAATCTCAGAAAGGAAAGCTCCAGAATTTTGCTTAAGGTCGGGGTCAGAATGTGTGGTTTTCACTGATTATAGTCAACTCTGACTAACCACTATTATTTGCGATACTTGTAAATCCTTGCACAGAATAGTATGGCAGCAAATATACATATAGAAAAAGTTAAATTGGGGCTAAACCTAAAACTTTTATCTTTTTTAGGCAGTGAAAAGCCATTAAAAGTTTTGGGGCAGAGAAGTAATAGAGACTATATGGTACATATGCTTTTTTTCAATCAAGACAATTTAAAATTTTGATTAAAAAATTACTGTTTTACATATATAGCCAAGGGTAAGACTAAGGTATGAAAAAACTATGAGAGAGCTAGTTAGTATTTTTAACTATCGAAAAGGTTGTAAAAAAGTAACAGCTTTAGGCTGGGCATGGTTGGGTGGTGAGGGGGAGGCAGGACGGCTCACACCTCACACCTGTAATCCCAGCAATTTGGGAGGCTGAGGCAAGGTGATTGCTTGAGCCTAGGAGTTTGAGACCAGCCTGGGCAACATAGCAAGACCTTGGTCTCTACAAAAAAATAAAAAATTTAGCCAAGTGTGGTGGCATGCACCTGTGGTCCCAGCTACTTTGGAGGCTGAGGTGGGAGGAATGCTTGAGCCTGGGAGGTTGAGGCTGCAGTGAGCTGTGATTGCACCACTGCACTCCAGCCTGGTTGACAAAGCAAGACCCTGTCTCAAAAGCAACCAAAAAACAAAAATATCCACTTTATTGAGATTTAGTTTACATTCACCCACTTAAAGTACATAATTCAGGTTTTTTTCTAGTTTTATGGGTACATAGTAGGTGTATATATCAGTTGCTCATTTGTTTTTTTGTATATCAAAAAGTTGTACAATCATTACCACAAACAATTTTAGAAAATTTTGGGGGTGGGCGCGGTGGCTCACGCCTGTAATTCCAGCACTTTGGGAGGCCAAGGTGGCTGAATCATGAGGTCAGGAGTTCGAGACCAGCCTGACCAACATGGTGAAACCCCGTCTCTACTAGGAATACAAAGATTAGCTGGGCGTGGTGGCTTGCACCTGTAATCCCAGCTACTCAGGAGGCTGAGGCAGGAGAATTGCTTGAACCCGGAAGGTGGAGGTTGCAGTGAGCCGAGATCACACCACTGCACTCCAGCCTGGGTGACAGAGCAAGACTCCGTCTCAAAAAAAGAAAATTTTTGTCACCCCAGAAAGGAACCCCATACCCAGTAGTAGTCACTCCCCATTTACCCTCAGTTCCCCAGCCCTAGGCAACCAATAATCTACTCTCTGTCTTTATGGATTTGTCTATACTAGATATTTCATATGAATGAAATCATACAGGATGTGGACTTTTATGCCTGTCTCCTGTCAAATTAGTTTGTTTTCAAGGTTCATTCATATTGTATCATAGACCAGTACTTCATTTCTTTTTATTGCCAAATAATATTCCATTGTATGGATGTATCATTTTTAAAATACATTTATCAGGTTGTGGACATTTGGGTTGTTTCACTTTTTGGCTGTTATGAATATTGTATCCATAAACATTCTTGCACATGTTTTTGTGTGGACATCATGTGTTTATTTCTCTTGTTTATATATCTAGGAATTGAATTGCTGGGTAATATGGAAACTTTGTATTTGACCCTTCCAATAACTGCCAGATTGTTTTCCATAGTGGCTGCATCATCTCATATTCACACTGTGTATGAGGGTTCTAATTTGTCCACATCCTCACCAACAGCTGTTATTGTTCATATTTTGGTTGTAGTCATCCTGCTGGATGTGAAGTAATATCTCATTGTAATTTTGATTTGCATTTCCTATACAGCTAGAGATGCTGAACATCTTTTCATGTCCTTATTAGACAGTTGTGTATCTTCCTTGGAGAAATATTTACTCAGATTCTTTGCTTAAGTTTTAATTGGGTTACAAATCTTTTTATTACTAAGTTATGAGATTTTGCTAATTTACTAATTCATTGGGAATTTATTGAGTAGCTGACAAATTGTGGGGGGGGGAAATTCAAACAAACCTAGATGCTGGTTTGGTGATCTTTAGTTTCACCCTAGTGTCAAGAAACTGTGTCATATAAACAGGTACCAGTCACTCCTCTCTAGGTGAAGAGACCATTTCTGTAATTTTTCACGTATTGAAAAGTGTCCAGTTTCTGGTATGTTTCTGAAACTCCAGTTAATGCCATTTATTTTGCTTCTTGTTTGCTTAACCTCCCTGCCTTCTAGGGGTTATAATGAGAAGAAACTAACAGACAATATTCAGTGTGAGATTTTTCAAGTTCTTTATGAAGAAGCCACAGCATCCTACAAGGAAGAAATCGTGCATCAGCTGCCCAGTAATAAACCAGAAGAGCTAGAAAATAATGTAGATCAGATCTTGAAATGGATTGAGCAGTGGATCAAAGATCATAACTCTTGACTTATAAGGCTAGCTACTTAATAATCACTCTTGTTGATATCTCTGCCGACATCATAGAAATTGTTCAAGTGTCAGTAACACTTTATTAAAATCATGTTGCAGAACCAGCAGGTGGATAGTATATAGGTTTATGCCTGTGTTTCTTTTTCTCCATGAGAAAGCTAAACATGAAATATAATGAATATAGTATTATTAAGGATTGAGACAAAAACTGTGATTTTAATACTTAAATTGCTAAAGAATAAATAAATCTGACAAAATGGGTGGATATCTTTTAAGTTTATTACAGAAAAAAATGCAGATGATCTCTTAAAATAAAACTAAAGATAAAGCAACAGAGTATTCCTTTTTTCTTTCTTTAAATTAGAAAAAAAGTTAAGTGTTGTACTCGATACAAAGTTCAAAAGGTACAAAAGAGCATGTTGAAAAGTTAGGTCTCCCTTCCAGACCACCCTATCCCCAGGCACCCCAGGTTCCTTCCCTTTAGGAAATAATGTTACTGGTTTCCTATATGTCTTTTTAGAGGTTTTATGCCTGCACAGTGTATATGTACATGTGTACATTTTTTAAAGAATATAACAGTATATTATGCACACTATTCTGTACCTTTCTTTTTTCACTTACTATATTTGAAGATTATATCATCTCAGTACAGACCTCCCTGTTCTTTTTTTTAGTTGAGATAGATATACATATCATACAATAAAATTTACCATTTTGAAGTGTATAATCAGAACCGGGTATGGTGGCTTATGCCTGTAATCCCAGCAAATGGGGAGGCTGAGGTGGAGAATCGCTTGAGGCAGGAGTTCAAGACCAGCCTGGGCAACATAGTGAGACCTTAGACTCTAAAAATAAACATAAATAAAATTTATAATCCGTTGGTTTTTAGCTTATTAACAAGGTTATGTAACTGTCACCACTGTGGAGGAAGCAGTGATGATAAAGGGAACTCCTATACCCTTTAGCAGTCACTCTCTATTCTTTCCTCCTCATCCCCTTGCAGTCACTAGTCTACTTTCTGTCTCTATGGATTTGCATATTCTGGATATTTCATATAAATGGGATTATACAGTATGTGGCCTTTTGTGTCCAGTTTCTTTCACTTAGCATAATGTTTTCAAGGTTCATCTAAGTTATAGCATGTACCAATATCTCATTCCTTTTTATGGTTGAATAATATTCCATTATATGGATTTACCACATTTTGCTTATGTTTCCATCACTTGCACAATTGGGTTGTATCCACTTTGGGTATTGTGAAGTTGAATACATAATAGTAGCATACTATGAGCATTCATGTACAAGATTCCATGTGGATGTATGTTTTCAGTTTTCTTAGGCATATACCTGGGAGGGGAATTGCTGGGTCATAGGGCAACCATGTTTAACTTTTTGAGGAAATGCCAAACTGGTTTCCAAAGTGGTTGCAGCATTTTATGTTCCCACCATCAATGTATTAGGGACTCAGTTTCTTCACATTCTTGCTAACACTTGTTACGGTCTATATTTGTTGATTTTTACCATTTCAGCGATTTTTATTAGGCTAAGTGTGTGTGTATGTTCTGTAACTTACTTCACTTGCAGGCATGACAGGGTGAGGTCTGTCTCTCTACATGGGCCACTCCCGGGGTCTGGTCACAATATACCACCACAGGGGGCAAAGCTTCAGTCCTAGACCACCAGTTGGGATTTCCTCCTGCAGCTGCTTAACCTCTCACTCCTGGCTTTGCCTCAGCAGTTTCTTCCACTGCTCTCTCTTGGCTAAGTAATCAGGGTACATTGCCTTCTCAGAAGGATTCCAGTCATCTAAGCACCACTCCAGAGACTTGTAGCATATCACTCGTATCTCTCATAGGAAGTACCCCCAGAGAGTCAGGGAAGAGAATGGCTGTGAATGCTGACGATACCAGAATTCCTCTGCCTCCCTCAGCAGTGGGGTAGCCTCCATCATACCCTTTTTTTTTTTCCTATGCTCTTCAAACCAGGCTCTCATCAAACAGGCAAAATATACCATTATTTATCTCTGGATGCACCATGGCTTGAGGTGGTACAGCGCCTGGTTACAAAGCAGCAACACCTTCTGGTGATAGGTCAAGTAGGCCCTCCAGCATCGAGAACACCATGACTGCTTGATCCCATCTTTTTTTTTTTTTGAGACGGAGTCTTGCTCTGTCGCCCAGGCTGGAGTGCAGTGGTGCAATCTCGGCTCACTGCAAGCTCCACCTCCCGAGTTCACGCCATTCTCCTGTCTCAGTCTCCCAAGTAGCTGGGACTACAGGCGCCTGCCACCACGCCCGGCTAATTTTTGTATTTTTAGTAGAGACGGGGTTTCACCATGTCAGGCAGGATGGTCTCGATCTCCTGACCTCGTGATCTGCCCACCTTGGCCTCCCAGAGTGCTGGGATTAGAGGCGTGAGCCACCGCGCCTGGCCTTTTTTTTTTTTTTTTTTTTTTTTTTTTGAGGCAGTCTCACTCTTGTTGCCCAGGCTGGAGTGCAATGGCGTGATCTCAGCTCACTGCAGGTTCAAGGGTTCAACCTCCACCTCCCAGGTTCAAGCGATTCTCTTGCCTCAATCTCCCAAGTAGCTGGGATTACAGGCATGCACCACCATACCCGGCTGATTTTGTATTTTTAGTAAAGACAGAGTTTCTCCCTCGAACTCCCAACCTCAGGTAATCTGCCCGCCTCAGCCTCCCAAAGTGCTGGGATTGCAGGCGTGAGCCACCTTGCCTGGCAACTCCCATCTTTTTTATTATAACTATACTAGTGGGTGAGTAGTATATCACATTTTGGTTTTGATTTACATTTCTCTAATGATTTATGATGAGCATCTTTTCATGTGCCTATTGGTTTATCTTCTTTGGATCCCTCATCTTTTTAATGTTTGCATAAAATGGCATTAATGAGGCTAGGCCCGGTGGCTCATGCCTGTAATCCCAACACTTTGGGAGGCCGAGGTGGGTGGATCACCTGAGGTCAGGAGTTTGAGACCAGCCTAACCAACATGGTGAATCCTTGTTTCTACTAAAATACAAAAATTAGCCGGGCGTGGTGGTGGGTGCCTGTAATCTCAGCTACTTGAGAGGCTGAGGCAGGAGAATCGCTTGAACCGAGGAGGTGGAGGTTGCAATGAGCCGAGATTGCACCATTGCACTCCATCCTGGGCAATAAGAGTGAAACTCCCATCTCAAAAAAAAAAAAAAAAAAAAAAAAAAGCCATTAATGATATGCCAAGTACCCAGGCACTGTGGCTCACACTTGTAATCCTAGCACTTTGGGAGGCCAAGGCGGGCGGATGACTTAAGCCCAGGAGTTTGAGACCAACCTGGCCGACATGGTGAAACACTGTTCCTAAAAATAAATAAATTAATTAATTAATTAAGTAAATAGGCCAGGCCGGGCGCGGAGGCTCACGCCTGTAATCCCAGCACTTTGGGAGGTCGAGGCAGGCAGATCACGAAGTCAGGAGATTGAGACCATCCTGGCTAACACGGTGAAACCCCGTCTCTACTAAAAATACAAAAAATTAGCCAGGCGTGATGGCAGGCACCTGTAGTCCCAGCTACTCGGGAGGCTGAGGCAGGAGAATGGCATGAACCCGGGAGGCAGAGCTTGCAGTGAGCCGAGATAGTGCCTCTGCACTCCAGGCTGGGCCACACTCTGTCGCAAAAAAAAAAAAAAATAGGTCAGGCATGGTGGCTCACTCCTGTAATCTCAGCACTTTGGGAGGCCTAGGTGGGAGGATCACTTGAGCTCAGAAGTTCGAGACCAGCCTGGGCAACATAGTGAGACCTCGTCTCTATTTAAAAAAAAGAAAAAAGAGGCTGGGCATAGTGGCTCATGCCTGTAATCCCAGCACTTTAGGAGGCCAAGGCAGGTGGATCACTTGAGATTAGGAGTTCGAGACCAGCCTGGCCAACATGGTGAAATCTCGTCTCTACCAAAAATACAAAAACTAGCCAGGCATGGTGGTGCATGCCTGTAATCCCAGCTACTCCGGAGGCCGAGGCAGGAGAATCGCTTTAACTCAGGCAGCGGAGGTTGGAGTGAGCTCAGATTGTGCCACTGCATTCCAGCCTGGGCAACAGAGTGAGACACTGTCTCCAAAAAAATGAATAAATAAATAAAAATAAAATAATAGCCCAGAGTGGTGGCATGCACCTATAGTCCCAGCTACTCAGGAGGCTGACGCAGGAGGATCACCTGAGCCTGAGGAGGTCGAGGCTGCAGTGAGCTGTGATTGAGCCACTGCACTCCATCCTGGGCGGACAGAGTGAGAACTTGTCTCAAAAAAAAAGACATGCCAAGTTTGATTTAATCAGTCCTCTCACTAATGGACATTTAGGCTGTTTCCAGCTTTTTACTATTACAATGATGCAAGAATAATAAAGAGTAAATATATTACTATGACATAAACTTCTAAACACATTTCAAAAGTGAATTCTTTATCCACATGACCACTCTCTGAGGTAGATGTTATTATTATTTCCATTACAGGAACCAAGGCACAGAAGAGTTAAGTGGCTTATCCAAGATAATAGCTAAAAAGTATTAGCTTCAGTGTTCTATCTTAGGCAGGCTTTCACTCACTAAGTTGTGTTCCCTAATGCATATGCGTTATGCATATGAGCAAGTTTATCTGTTGAGTAAATTCCCAAAGACAAATTGTACGCAAGCTTAACATTTAGTAGACTAATTTTTTTTCTTTTTTTTTTTTGAGACAGGCTCTTGCCATGTCACCCAGGCTGGAATGCTGTGGCACCATCATAGCTCGCTGCAGCCTCGACCTCCTGGGCTCAAGTGATCCTCTGACTTCAGCCTCCCAAGTAGCTAGTGAAACCCTGCCTGTACAAAAGATACAAAAATTAGGCCAGTGGTTCATGCCACTGCACTACAACGTGGGCAACAGATGAGGCTGCATCACAAAAAAAAGAAAAGAAAAGAAAAAAGAAAAACCAACAAAATTAGCTGAGTGTGGTGGCATGTGCCTGTAATCCCAGCTACTCAGGAGACTGAAGCGGGAGAAGCGCTTACACCCAGGAACTCGAGGTTGCAGTGAGCTGAGATCGCACCACTACACTCCAGCCTGGGTGACAGAGTGAGACACCATCTTAAAATTTTCAAAAAGGCCAGGCACGGTGGCTCCCGCCTGTAATCCCAGCACTTTGGGAGGCCAAGGCTGGTGCCTGAGGTCAGGAGTTTGAGACCAGCCTGGCCAACATGGTGAAACCCTGTCTGTACTAAAAATGCAAAAATTAACTGGGCGTGGTGCTGGGTGCCTATAATCCCAGCTACTCAGGAGGCTGAGGTAGGAAAATTGCTTGAACCTGGGAGACGGAGGTTGCAGTGAGCCAAGATCACGCCACTGCACTCCAGCCTGAGCGACGGAGCAAGACTCCGTCTCAAAAAAAAAAAAGCCTGGCCAAAATGGTGAAACCTCCTCTCTACTAAAAATACAAAAATTAGCCGGGCATGGTGGCACACATCTGTAATCCCAGCTATTCCAGAGGCTGAGGCATGAGAATTGCTTTAACCCAGGAAGTGGAGGTTGCAGTGAGCTGAGGTTGCAGTGAGCTGAGATTGCACAACTGCACTCCAGCCTGGGCAACACAGACAGACCCTGTCTAAAAAAAAAAAAAAAAAAAAAAAAAGCAAAGAAATCTGCACATATGGGCACATTTTTAAAAATGTTTTCTTTTTAAAGTTTTTCCCCCGCGCCCCCCACCTGAAGCTGACAGTAGTTGATGGGCCATTTTTTTATTTTGAGACAGGGTCTTGCTCTGTCACCCATGTTGGAATGCCATGGCATGCTCTTTGCTCACTGCAGCCTCAATCTCCCCAGGCTCAGGTGATCCTCCCACCTCAGCCTCCAAGTAGCTGGAACTACAGATGCTCGCCAGTACACCTGGCTAATTTTTTAACTTTGTGTAGAAACAAGGTTTCACCACGTTGCCCAGCCTGGTCGGGAACTCCTGGGCTCAATGAATCCTCCTGCCTCAGTCTCCCAAAGTGTTAGCGTTACTGGCGACAGCCACCGAGCTCTGTGGCAATTTTTGATGGAAGTCCAAAGGCAAGTCAATGGGGGAAAGAATAATCTTTCAACAAGTGAAAAAATTTAGTGTCTTGGATTAGAAAAAAGATTTTTCTGATAAGACACAAAAAGCACAAACCATAAAGGGACTGATACATGGGACTTCAGCAAAATTCATAACTCTTTCTCTCTTCAAAAGACAATGTTAAGAAAACGAAAGCACAAAGAGCCAGGGCAGCAGTGCTCACCCTAGTCCAAACTACTCCCAGCTACTAGGGAGGCTGAGGTAGGAGGATCACTTGAGCCCTGGAGTTGAAGGTTGTAGTGAGGTATGACTGTGCCTGCAAATAGCTACTGCATGCCAGCCTGGGCAACATAGCAAGACTCCATCTCTACAAATTTTAAAAAAGAGAAAGAAGATGAAAGCACAAATCACAGATTGGAGAAAATGCAAAATGAATATCTGATATCAGGTGTGTATCTAGAATATGTACAGAATTATCAAAATAATAAAACAACTTGATTTAAAAAAATCAACAAAATCGGCAAACCTTAATCTAGATTAACAAAAAAGAGAAGGGAGGGGATATCACTACTGACTACGGAAATCAAATGGATTATAAAGGAAAACTATAAACAACTGTATGCCAACAAATTAGATAATTTATATTAAATGGACAAATTCCTAGAAATTCACAAACTTCTGAAACTGATTCAAGAAGAAATATAAATTATGAATAGGCCTATAACAAGAAAATATAATAAATTAGTAATTTTAAAACTTCCTACACAGAAAGGTCCAGGCACAGATGGCTTCACTGGTGATTTTTTTAAATTAATTAATTAATTTATTTATTATTATTATTTTTTAGATGGAGCTTCACTCTTGTTGCCCAGGCTGGAGTGCAATGGTGACACATCTTGGCTCAGTGCAACCTCTGCGTCCCGGATTCAAGCAATTCTCCTTCTTCAGCCTCCCAAGTAGCTGGGATTACAGGCGCCCACCACCACACACAGCTAATTTTTTGTATTTTTAGTAGAGACGGGGTTTTACCTTATTGGCCAGACTTATCTTGAACTCCCAGCCTCAGGTGATCCACCCACCTTGGCCTCCCAAAGTGCTGGGATTACAGGTGTGAGCCACCACACCTGGCGATTTTTTTTATTGTTTATAAAGAAAAGAGGTTTAATTGGCTCATGGTTCCACAGGCTATATAGGAAGCATGGCTGGGGAGGCCTGAGGGAACTTATAATCATGGTAGAAGGCCAAGGAGAAGCAGGCACGTCTTACATGGCTAGAGCAGGAAGAAGAGAGAGCCACTGGTGAATTTTATTAAATGTTTAAAAAAGAGCCAATACCAATTATTTTAAAATTTCTCCCAACAAATAGAAGATAAGGGAATAATTCCCAACATATATTAAAAAGTTTACATTCAGGATGAATTGCTGTTGGCCCAGCACAGTGCCTCATGCCTGTAATCCCAGCACTTCGGGAGGCCAAGACAGGCAGATCACCTGAGGTCAGGAGTTTGAGACCAGCCTGGCCAACATGGTGAAACCCCATCTCTACTAAAAATACAAAAATCAGCCAGGGATGGTGGCAGGCGCCTGTAATCTCAGCTACTCCGGAGGCTGAGGCAGGAGAATTGCTTGAACCCGAGAGGTGGAGGTTGCAGTAAACTGAGATTGTGCCACTGCATTCTAGCCTGGGCAACAGAGCAAGACTCCATCTCAAAAAAAAAAAAAAAAAAGGATGAATTCTGTTAAGTTGAAAAATAAACAAATAAATAAGGCTGGGCATGGTGGCTCATGCCTGTAATCCCAGCACTTTGGGAGGCTGAGACAGGCAGGTCACCTGAGGTCAGGAGTTCGAGACCAGCCTGGCCAACGTGGCAAAATCCCATCTCTACTAAAAATACAAAAATTATCTGGGTGTGGTGGTGGGAGCCTGTAATCCCAGCTACTTGGGAGGCTGATCCAGGAGAATCGCTTGAATCCACGAGGTGGAGGTTGCAGTGAGCTGAGATTGCCCCACTGCACTCCAACCGGGTGACAGAATGAGACTGTGTCTCAAAAAAAAAGACCCGGCCGGGTGCAGTGGCTCATGACTTTAATCCCAGCACTTTGGGAGGCTGAGGTGGGTGGATCACGAGGTTAGGAGTTCGAGACCAGCCTGACCAACATGGTGAAACCCCGTCTCTACTAAAAATATAAAAATTAGCTGGGCCTGGTGGTGCATGCCTGTAATCCCAGCTACTCAGGAGGCTGAGGCAGGAGTATTGCTTGAACCTGAGAGGTGGAGGTTGCAGTGAGCCGAGATTGCGCCACTACACTCCAGCCTGGGCAATACAGTGAGACTCCGTCTCAAAAGAAAAGAAAAAAAGAAAAAGAAAAGAAATTAGCTGAGCATGGTGGTGCATGCCTGTAATCCCACCTACTCAGGAGGCTGAAGCAGGAGAATTGCTTGAATCCAGGAGGCAGAGATTGCATTGAGCCAAGATCGCACCACTGCACTCCAGTGTAGGCAAAAGAGCAGGACTCCATCTCACACACAAAAAAGAAAGCTATCCCATCTTCATGCATCAGAAAACTTAACATTGCTAAAATGGCAATACTTGCCAATTGATGTACAGTATTAGCACAATCCATATCATAATTCCCAGCTGGCTTCCTTGTAGAAACTGACAAGCTAATCCTAAAATACATACGGAAATTCAAGGGACTCAGAACTGCCAAAACAAAGTTGCAGGACTCACATTTCTTGATTTTCAAACTTACTACTAATGCCACATTAAGACAGGGTAGTACTGGCATAAGAATAGACATATAGATTAATGGAATAGGATTGAGAGACCAAAAATAAGCCCTTATATTTATAACCAATTAATTTTCATAAGCTTGCCAAGACAACTGAACGTAGAAAGAACAATCTTTTTTGTTTGTTGTGTTTTGTTTTTGTTTTTTGTTTTTTTGTGTGTTTGTCTTTTTCTTTTTTTAATTATACTTTAAGTTTTGGGATACATGTGCAGAACGTGCAGGTTTGTTACATAGGTATACATGTGCCATGGTGGTTTGCTGCACCCATCAACCCATCATCTACATTAGGTATTTCTCCTAATGCTATGAAAGAACAATCTTTTAAACAAATAGTGCTGAAACAACTGGATAACTACACACAAAAGAATAAAGATGACGCCAGGCGCAGTGGCTCACGCCTGTAATCCCAGGACTTTGGGAGGCTGAGGCGGGCGGATCACCTGAGGTCGGGAGTTCAAGACCAACCTGACCAACATGGAGAAACCCCATTTCTACTAAAAATACAAAATTAGCCAAGCGTGGTGACACATGCCTGTAATTCCAGCTACTCAGGAGGCTGAGGCAGGAGAATCGCTTGAACACAGGAGGTGGAGGTTGCAGCGAGCCATGAGTATGCCACTGCACTCCAGCCTGGGCAACCAGAGCAAAACTCCATCTCAAAAAAAAAAAAAAGAAAGAAAAAGGAATAAAGATAAATCCTTTCCTCACACATACACAAAAAGTAACTCTAAAGCTCTAAAGGATCACAGATCTAAATGTAACAGCTAAAACAATACATTCTTAGAAGAACATATAGGAGTAAACCTTCATCAGCCTTTGTGAGGCAAAGCCTTCTTAGGTATGACACCAAAAGCATAAGCAACTAAAGAAAAAAATAGATAAATCAGACTTCACCAAAATTTAAAAACTTTTGTGGTTCAATAGACACCCTTAAGACTGTGAAAAGACAACCTACACAATGGTAGAAAATATTTGTAAATTATATCTGATTAGAGTCTAGAACTCTAATCAGATAACAAATTATATCTGATTAAGTAAGAACTCTTATAACTTAATCATAAAAAGATAAATAACCCTGTTGAAAAATGGACAATGAAATTTAATGGACATTTCTTCAAAGAAGATATGCAAATTGCCAATAAGCACATAAAAGATGCTCAACATCATTAGTCATTAGGAAAAATGCAAATTAAAACCATCATGAGAGATTGTTTCACACCCACTAGAATGACTAAAAGCAAAAAGACAAACAATAACAGGTGTTGGTGAGGATGTGGATAAATTGGAACCCTTACACATAACTAGTGTTAATATAAAATGGTGTAGCCACTTTGAAAAACCACTTGGCATTTCCTCAAAATGTTAAATATAGAGTACTATATGGCCCAGCAATTTCACTCCTAGTTCTATACCCATGAGAAATGAAAACATACACCCATACAAAAACTTGTCCATGACTGTTTATAGCATTATTCATAATTGCCCAGAATTGGAAACAATCCAAATGTTCATCAACTGATGAATGGTGTAATTCTTTTTTTTGAGTTGGAGACTCACTCTGTCACCCAGGCTGGAGTGCAGTGGCACGGTCTTGTCTCACTGCAACCTCCACCTCCCGGGTTCAAGCGATTCTTCCACCTCAGTCTCCTGAGTAGCTGGGATTACAGGCACTCGTCCACACCCAGCTAATTTTTGTATTTTTAGTAGACATGGGGTTTCACCATGTTGGCCAGGCTGGTCTCAAACTCCCGACCTCAGGTGACCCGTCCACCTCAGCCTCCCAAAGTGCTGGGATTACAGGCGTAAGCCACCACGCCCGGCCTGAATGGTATAAGATAATTGTGGTATGTCCATAAAACTAAATATTATTTGGCCATAAAAAGAATGCAGTACTGGCTGGGTGTGGTGGCTCACACCTGTAATCCCAGCACTTTGGGAGGCCGGGGTGGGCAGATCACCTGAGGTCGGGAGTTCGAGACCAGCCTGACCAACATGGAGAAACCCCATCTCTACTAAAAACACAAAATTAGCCAGACGTGGTGGCACATGCCTGTAATCCCAGCTACTCGGGAGGCTGAGGCAGGAGAATTGCTTGAACCCAAGAGGCAGAGGTTGCAGTGAGCCGAGATTGTGCCGTTGCACTCCAGCCTGGGCAACAAGACTGAAAATCCATCTCAAAAAAAATTAAAATAAAATTTATTTTTAAAAAACATGTGCTCAGGTAACAAAAAAAGACAAAAAATACATGTACAATGCTGCTAAACTATTGCTTAACAAATATATGCCGAAAGTCTTTAAAAGCTATATGTACAATTTGAGTACGTCTCAAGTAGCTGGGATTACAGGCACCTACCACCATGCCTGGCTAATTTTGTGTTTTTAGTAGAGACAGGGTTTCCCCATGTTGGTCAGGCTGGTCTTGAACTCCTGACCTCAGGTGATCTGTCCGTCTCAGCCTCCCAAAGTGCTGGGATTACATGTGTGAGCCACCGTGCCCGGTCCAAAAATAAATTTTGTATCCATGCCTCCACAGTTCTAAATTTTGGAAAAGTTTTGACAAAGAAATCAGGGTTATCTTAGAGGTTATCTTAAAGTTTTTTTAAGGGGGACAGGTGGGAGTAAGCCTTGAAATATTTTTAGAGTGAAGACTGTTGTTTTAAATACATGTCAGAGTTTTAAGTGAAGAAAAATTATTTTTGGTTTGCAAAAGCTATTTGATGTGCCTACTCTACCATAATAGATACTAGGCAAACTGACTTTAAAATTATAAATGTATTAATCTTTTTTTTTTTTTTGAGACGGAGTCTAGCTCTGTCACCCAGGCTGGAGTGCAGTGGTGTGATCTCGGCTCACTGAAACCTCCACCTCCTGGGTTCAAGCGATTCTTTTGCCTCAGCCTCCTGAGTAGCTGGGATTACAGGCACCTGCCACCACGCCTGGCTAATTTTTGTATTTTTAGTAGAGACGGCGTTTCACTGTGTTGGCTAGGCTGGTCTTGAACTCCTGACTTTGTGATCCACCTGCCTCGGCCTCCTAAAGTGCTGGATTACAAGCGTGAGCCACTTCACCCAGCCTATGTATTAATCTTTTAAAATAATCTTAAATCCTTGAGCATCTAATGTGCACATAGCATTGACCTTATTTATAATCAGGAGAAATTTTAGAGCCTCAATTTTAAGTCTCGTATATTTCCCAGTATACCTAGATATGTTTACTTTTGGGGTATAAGTGGTTAAGGCAAATGTGAGCTGGATCTGGAGAAGAGAAAGAATAAAGAGGTTTGTCACTGCGAGGAAAGTGTTTATTACTTGTCTTTGTTGTTAATGCAGAATGATCTTTAGACCCAGCAGTTTTTTGACCACTACCACGTCCCTTTGGTTATTCCAAGGTTGTAGGATATTAGGAAATAAAACCAAAATTATTTCACCAAGGTAATGAAGTTATGATGCAGCATGTTTTCATGGGGTTATAGGTAGGTAGCACCCATCTCAGAAAACCACCAGGAATAGGTAACAGTCCCCAGTAGTAGCTTTCTAAGCCCACAGGGCCATTCCTGTTGGTTTCCACTTCCATGACTTTGCTCCAGGAATTCCTTTGGCCTACAATGCCTGCTTGGTTTCTCAGTAATGAAAGCCTGCTTTTCTTTTGTTCTTTTTTTTTTTAAATTATCAGGGATTTTATTGATTTTACAAAGGATGATGTAGTTTCACTGACACTGCAGTATAAGAAATATAACAGCAAAAAGATACTGCCTTCCACCTCCCCCAACCCCAAGAACTTTCAGTAATGGAATTTCAGACTAAACCTTTCCTTTTATTTTCTTATTTTCTCTTCTCTTCTCTTTTTTTTTTTTGAAACGGGGTCTCACTCTGTCACTCAGCCTGGAGTGCAGTGGTGCAATCTTGTCTCACTGCAACCTCCACCTCCCGGAGTGATTCAAGTGATTCTCCTGCCTCAGCCTCCCAAGTAGCTGGGACTACAGGTCCGCACCACAAGGCCCAGCTAATTTTTGTATTTTTAGTAGAGACGGGATTTCACCATGTTGGCCAGGCTGGTCTCAAACTCCTAACCTCAGGTGATCAACCCACCTCGGCCTCCCAAGGTGCTGGGATTACATGAGTGAGCCACCACGCCCAGCCAGACTAAACTTTTCTAAATGTCATGTGGAAGATAAAATTATTTGTACAAATGTTTTCATAAATATATTAAAGCATTTCAACACCTAGCAATCCATTACTAAAGACATTAATTTAAAAAAATTATTGCAATATTTGGTGCCATTATATAATGGAAAATAAGGTAAACATGCAGACTGTATATAGTCTAATTCAATTAACAAATATAAGGAAAACCTATTAGCTAAATTTCTGGCATTTTTGAAGAAACTAAAATCAAGTTAACAGCACCCCATGGTCTCAATGTAACAGGAAAGGGAAGGGATGCTAAAACCCACCTCCTTTGATAACTTCCAAGTAGATGACCATCTGGCCTGATTTGCGTGGGATTGAGGGTTATCAGGATGTGGGACATTTAGTGTTAAAACCAGGGCAGTCCTGGCCCAGTAGGGACAGCTGGTACTCTTCACCCCTCCAGTTCTTTTAAAAATGTGTGCAATTGGCCAGGCGTGGTGGCTCACACCTGTAATCCCAGCACTTTGGGAGACCAAGACGGGTGGATTACAAGGTCAGGAGATCAAGACTATCCTGGCTAACATGGTGAAACCCCATCTCTACTAAAAATACAAAAAATTAGCTGGGCGTGGTGGCGGGCACCTGTAGTCCCAGCTACTAGGGAGGCTGAGGCAGGAGAATGGTGTGAACCTGGGAGGCGGAGCTTGCAGTGAGCCGAGATTGAGCCACTGCACTCCAGCCTGGGTGACACAGAGAGACTCCATCTCAAAAAAAAAAAAAAAAAAAGTGTGCAATATCCACATTGCTTTATTCTGGGACTTTTCTGCTTGCATATAAGGCTCTCCAGGAAGTCACGAAGCTGCACGATGGCGGGGCTGGAGGAATCAGCCACATCTCCGGGGCATCCACCTCTTGCATTAGAGGTGTCTTCAACTCTATCTTCAGGTGTCCAGGCTGCCACCAGGTAGCTAACAAAGAAATGTCCTGGGTGACTTTTGTCTTTGGTACTCTGTGCTTTCCCTGTTGACATCCTCAGCTCCTACCTCCACAGGCCTCGCACTGTATTCCCTGTGGCTCATGCCCGTGGACACTCTCTACAGGGACTTGCTCTAAGCACACTGTTAACTAATTGACAAAAATGCCAGCTATTGGCCGGGTACGGTGGCTCATGCCTGTAATCCTACCAATTTGGGAGGCTGAGGTGGGCAGGTCACCTAAGGTCAGGAGTTTGAGACCAATCTGGCCAACATGGTGAAACCCTGTTTCTACTAAAAATACAAAAATTAGCCGGGCGTGGTGGCGGGCACTTGTAATCCCAGCTACTCGGGAGGCTGAGGCAGGAGAATTTCTTGAACCCAGGGGGCTGAGGATTCAGGGGGCTGAGGATTCAGTGGGTCGAGATCGCGCCATTTCACTCCAGCTTGGGCAAAAGAGCGAAACTCCGTCTCAAAAAAAAAAAAAAAGGCAGTTATTGAAGCTCAAAGTGTGACCTCTTCTAGGAGTGTTGAGAGGTTTTAAAAGGGCATTCTTAGACCTCAAAAATCTTTCAAAGACACAAAGCTAGACAGTAAAAATTGTTAGCTCTGTGAAAACCATTAGCTCTGTGAAAACCAAAGTGCAAAGCACTTAATAATAGCAATAGTTGTTTCTTACTGTGAACCATGTGTCAGGCACCATTCTAAATATTTCACAAACAATTCATATAGCAGCCCTGTGTGGTAGGTACTGAATCAAGCCAATTTCACAGGTAGAGACGCTGAGGCTGAGCTTGGTAATTGTCAGAGCTTGATTTGAACCCAATGCCATGCTTATATACCTCCAAAGTCAGGCTCTTTTTTACTTCACGATGAATAGTTTTTTTTTCTGATATCACACACACATACACACACTAAATATATATTATATATATAATGTATATATAATATATACATTATATATTATATATTATGTATATTATGGTATATTATATTATATATTATGTATATATTATATATTATGTATATATTATATATATTATGTATATATTATATATATATATATGATTTTTGTAGAGAGAGACAGGGCTCACTGCATTGCCCAGGCTGGATTGCAGTGGTGCAATCATAGCTCACTCTAACCTCAAACTCCTGGGCTCCAGCAGTCCTCCTGCCTTAGCCTCCCAAGCAGCTAGGACTATAACTATGCTCATCCAATTTTTTTTAAGAGACAGGGTCTTACTATGTTGCCCAGGCTGGTCTTGAACTCCTGGGCTCAAGCAATCTTCCAGCCTCAGCCTCCCAAAGTGCTGGGATTACAGGTATGAGTCACCATGCTGGGCCTCACATGTTAGGTTTTAATGAGGTCTCTTAGTTTGCCGCTAGGATCAAGTCCTCTCTCTTTTTTTTTTTTTTGAGACGGAGTCTCGCACTGTGGCCCAGGCTGGAGTGCAGTGGTGCAGTCTCAGCTCAATGCAACCGCCGTCTCCCGACTTCCAGCGATTCTCTTGCCTCAGCCTCCCGAGTAGCTGGGATTACAGGTGCGTGCCACCACGCCCGACTAATGTTTTGTGTTTTTAGTAGAGATGGGGTTTCACTGTGTTAGCCAGGATGGTCTTGATCTCATGACCTTGTGATTCACCCACCTCAGCCTCCCAAAGTGCTGGGATTACAGTCATGAGCCACCGTGCCCGGCCTCAAGTCCTCTCTCTTACCTCTCACTGATTCAGCCACATACAATTATTTTGATCACCTGCTATGCACCCATGGTGTTCTTGGCACTAGGAATCCTGCTGTGAGTGAAGCTGAGCTCCTGCCTGGGTAGAGCCTGGGCCACATGGGTCTCCCAGCTGTGCTTTGAAGTCACTGTCAAAAGTCCTGGGCACTGGAGAATTTCATGTGTCTGTTGCTAAGGCAAGATGCCAAATTCCACATTTGCCTCCAACAGGAACAAATGTCAGTTTCCACCAAGCCCCACCTTGTTCAGGTGACTCCTGTTGTGAGTCTTTTCATACCATCTCCCCTTCACCCACAAGTGCCACCAACAGGCAGAGGTGGGGAGCTGGGTTTGGAGATACTGGTCTGATCCTTAGGTGAACTCCTCTCCCCTGATGTTGCAGGAGAATGGGTGCTCAGATGGAGAATCAGCACTCTTCTCAGGATTGGAAGGTGCTGTGGCTGGGGGAGTCTGCATTATGTTCTGGGCTGTGAGCTTTTCCAGAATTCTGCTCCACAGGCACACATCTGCTGTGTATGTATTTCATGGTATAAATCAGATGTCCCTGAGTTCTCTAGTATTGAATGTCTATGTAAAAAGTGTCTAGCCCCAACTGAGGATGCTGGAAGTCTAGTCTGTTAGGAGGCCCCTGAATATGTGCTTGTCTTGTGTGACCTTCCAGGAGGTGACTCAGTTCTCTTTTGTTCTGTTTCTTGCTCTAGGCTATTGCTCCATTTTTTTGTAGGTCATCTCCTGCCACCTCTTCTCTAGGGTAATGCTGTTTGCAATACACAGTTCCTTGTCTTGGTTTCCCAAGCATCTTAGTTCTGAAAGTGAGATATGGGCTTGTCTGGGACGTGGGGGACAAAGATCAGGTGCCTCCACAAGTGACTCTCCTCAGCTCCCAGCCAGCTGACAACTGCATGGACTGATGGTCTCTTTCTTTCCTTATCTGCATGCTGGTTTCCAGGACTTTGCGCACCCTGAAGGAGCCTCATATGACCCAGTAGTTTCATTCCTAGGCAGCTTTTGTATCTTTTATCATTTTTCTAAGCTTAAGACACCTTTGGTCAGCCACGGTGGCTCACGCCTGTAATCCCGGCACTTTGGGAGGCCAAGGCGGGCGAATCACCTGAGGTCAGGAGTTCGAGACCAGCCTGACCAACATGGAGAAACCCCCTGTCTACTAAAAATACAAAATTAGCTGAGCGTGGTGGTGCAGACCTGTAAACTCAGCTACTCCAGAGGCTAAGGCAGGAGAATCACTTGAACCCGGGAGGCAGAGGTTGCAGTGAGCTGAGATCTCGCCACTGCACTGCAGCCTGGCAACAAGAGAAAAACTCTGTCTTTAAAAAAAAAAAAAAAGACTCCTTTTCTTTCCTCATTAATTTGGCGGCCACGTCTGTCCGGAACTTGTGGGACGTCCTCGTCTTCATCAGGTTGGCAGATACTCCAGCATGGCCTGCCGGCCGCCGAGGCCACCATCCACAGGCTCAAGGGCTCCGTGGTCGCTCCTTCGTGCTCCCGCCTCCAGAGGGAGCCAGACAGTGCATCCTTGCAGTGGACGCCGCCCGCCCGCAAAAGCCTGTTTTTCAATGACTGCCTCTACCTCTGAACCTCAGCTTAGATTTCTCTCTCTCTCTCTCTCCCTCCCTCTCCCTCTCTCTCTCTCTCTCTCTCTCTCTCTCTCTCTCTCTCTCTCTCTCCCACCCCCCCCTCCTCTTTTTAAGACAAAGTCTTGCTCTGTCACCCAGGCTGGAGTGCAGTGGCGCGATCTCGGCTCACGGCAAACTCCGCTTGCCGGGTTCAAGAGATTCTCCTGCCTCAGCCAAGCAGCTGGGAATACAGGCACCTGCCACCACGACCGGCTAATTTTTTTTTTGGAAGAAAATGACTTTATTCTAATTAACTCACAAAGAATAAAATCATAACAGCTAGTTTAAGGAGGCCACACAAACATTTGCCCTGTCACAGATTCTACAGAGTAGGAACACCCCCCTTCCATTTCAATTCTGAAGCAAGGAAGCTAGGAATGACAGGAGAGGTTTAACTCATGGTTACACTTTATACCCTCACTATCAATTCTATTTTTATACTAAATTAACTTAGTTATGAGAGCTGATTTTCCATCTCTCCAGGTTGAACTTCTTGATTAGGCCAATCCGTTTGCAAGTCGGCACTGTTTCAGCACCTCATTGAAACCCTCACAGAGCTTGATGTCACCCTGGTTCTGGGCACACTCCAGAAACTGATCTCATAGAAGCAAGGCTGCTGCTGCTGTGCCGGCTGGGTTCCCTGAGGCTCCTGGTAAGTGATGTCAGGCCTCGCAGGCTCAGCATTACTTCCTCCCCTGAAAGCCCCAGTAATGGCGTGACCCACAGCAGAGCCCACAGCCACGCCAGCTGCAGTGGTTGCCATCTGGGCCATCAGACCTGGCTGCCGGGGCGCAGCAGCAGAAGAGCCAACTACAGATGGGGGTGCCGCTGCTGGTGGCTGAACGACTGGTACTGGCCTGGGTGCAGCTCTCATCTGAGGGGGCCTGGCTGGCCGGAGGGGCCATGCGGGAGGTGCGGCTTCGGCTTCCACGCGGCATCCTAGGTACGCGACGGCTCGGCCTCCGGACGTGTGACGACCGGCTAAATTTTGTATTTTAGTGGAGATGGGGTTTCACCATGTTGGCCAGGCTGGTCTCAAACTTCTGACCTCAGGTGATCCACCCACCTTGGCCTCCCAAAGTGCTGGGTTAACAGGCGTGAGCCACCGCACCTGGCCCGATCTACCCTTCTCTTACAGGATTCCTAGAGACTTAATATTTTGGTTTTGGTTTGTTTCTTTTTTGAGACAGGGTCTCCACTCCGTCGCCCAGGCTGGAGTGCAGTGGTCACTGTAGCCTGGATCTCCCAGGCTCACGGGATCCTCCCACCTGACGGCCTCCCGGCCTCCTGAGTAGCTGGGACTACAGGTACGCACCACCACACCCGCTACTTTTTAATTATTTTTTTTTTTTTGAGACGGAGACTCGTTCTGTTGCCCAGGCTGGAGTGCAGTGGCACGATCTTGGCTCACTGCAAGCTCCGCCTCCCGGGTTCACGCCATTCTGCCTCAGCCTCCTGCGCAGCTGGGACTACAGGCACCCGCCACCACGCCCGGCTAATTTCTTGTATTTTTAGTAGAGAAGGGTTTTCACTGTGTTAGCCAGGATGGTCTCG